>NT_187601.1:0-302222 GCF_000001405.40 Homo sapiens
CAGGGAAGAGTGTGAGGAATGGGGATCTGGACAGAGGAAAGGGCACGTGCAAAGGCCCTGTGGTAGGAAGGAGCTTGCTAAGTTTGAGGCTGAAAGTGCATGTTTTGTTTTGGAAATGGTGAGGGCTTTTTGAGTGGGAGGGAAGGAAGGTGAGGGTTGAAGTGTGAAGGGCTTTGAATGCAACCCCAACGTGCTTAGATTTTATCCTGTAGGTAGTGGGAATCTGTAGGCAGATTCTGAGCCAAGGAGAAACAGAACACAACAATGGCAATGATGGTGTCCTATACTGTGCACCCAGGGAGCTAACTTCAGAGTAAATCTCACAGAAAGGCAGCCCTGGAGCCTCCCTGATCACTTCACCATCCCTTGGGGGCTCTGGTGCCCCTGTTGGTGATTGGAGCCACTGAGGTTTTCAGCAGGGGAGAGCCTTGGCCAGATCAGCTTTTTAGAAAGACCTGCAGGCAGTAACACAGCAGACATGTAGAGGACATCAAGATAGGGACAGCGAGATGGTAGGGGCAGGATAGGGGTGGCAATCGTTCTGGTACAAAGTCATATGGGCCTGACCTTGGTGGCCGTGGGTGGAGAGGGTAGCAAATTGCTGAGTAATTAGGAGATAAAATGGAAAACTCAGGGGGCTGGGGAGTATAATGGAAAGAATTTTAATTACAAAAGTAATATTCGAAAATGAGGTAATTAAAAATGATACAGTTGACTCGAAGGCGAAGGCTTAGGAATAAGACATTCTTGGAATGGCAAGGAAGTCTATCTCTCTGAGAGGCAGTTCCAGCACCTGTGAGCTGAAGGTGTGCCTACACCCATGCAATTGTTGGGAGGAAAAAAATAGGGAACATAGAATTCATCACGTTCCCTCTCTCTCAGACCTTTAAGCTGAAAGGGCTGAGCCAGGAAGGCGTGCTGTCATTTTTATCATTCTGCAAACCGAGTTGCTGGGGGCCCGAAAGCCTTGTGTTTAGAAGAAGCGTGCTTTCCAGGTAAGCAGAGAGCGGCGGAGCCAATCGCCATCAGAGGCGTTAAGTGGTTTCTGAACGGCTGCAGCATGATTAAATTAACCACTTAACCAAATTGCTTTCTATTGCCTTGATCAGATGCAATTGCAAGGAGATAAAGGGGCTTAATGTGAAAAGCATGGCTGGCCTGAGGACTAATGAATTAACTGTTCCCTTCCCCACGCAGCCTCCTGCCTGCTGGCACCCAGCTGGCTCACTGGTCCCCTCTCCTGCCTGCCTATTCCCTGGGCCGAGAGCACTCATGTCATGGAGATCATGGCACCAGGAGGATGGCCAGCATGGGTCCCTCGTTGCATGCAGCCCTGGCATTTCCCCCTCGTTAGCATTTTCTCCCCACAGCTGACAGTGGTCAGGTGATTCTCTCAGGAAAAAGACAGCATGGTGGAGCGAGAAGAATTATCACTCAGAGCTTGGGCTCTGGGGCCAGCTCCCACTCCAGTTAGTGCTAGTCCTTACTAGCATGGGGCCTCAGGCAAGCAACTTAGTCACAAACAGAGCTCCAGGACCTAAGCACTTGTGCACACCAAGAGCCTCACTAGGTACTTTCCCACGTTATCTCTGCACTTGTTCAAGCTCCCCTCAGCTCTGGGAGAGTGGATGTCTTATTGACCTCTGTGTCACCAGCTCTGAGTTTAGGGACTGGCACACAGCAGGCTCTCAGGAAATGAGCTGTGCAAAATGATGGGTACATGGGAAAATGAATAGTTGGGAAAGTGATTAGGTGGAAGAAAATGGATAAATGAAGAAATGGAGGATTAATAGATGAGTGGAAGGATGAGTGAAGTGATGGATGCATAGATGAACTGACAGAAGAAAGGATGGATGGCTCATGGACAGAAGGATGAAGGATGGAAAGATGGAGGGCAGGAAGAATAAAAGGATGGATGAATGGATAAGTAGATGGATGGAAGGAAGGGTAGATAGATGCATAGAAGGATGAATGATGTTTGGATGGATGGATGGAAGGAAGGATGAAAGGATGGATGGATGGGTGGAAAGAAGAATACTTACAGATTCTGCTCCTCACACAGAGGTAGTGGTCTGAGAGGTCAGCCCAGCCTTTTTTGTCTAAAGCCATCCGTCACATGCCTGGAAGTGACCCAGTTGTCCTGAACTTAAGTCTCTCTCATGCCCATCTTACAATCATGGGTTAGACTTTTAGGTAATCTCTAAGGTCTTCATATCAGTTCCTCCCCAGTGAGACATTAATTCTCACTGGAGGGAGAATGATAATAGTTATCATTGTATCCAGTTTTATAGTTTGAAAGAATATACATGAGCATCATTTCATGTGAGCCCCAAACAACCCCGTGAGAATTGCAGGGCAGCAATATTATTATCGTCCCCATTCCACAGATAGTATTGCGTGGTATTTAGAACATGTACGCTGGAGCCAAGTGCCACTGAGGAGCTCCCTAAACCTCTCTGTGCTTCTGCTTCCTCATCCAAAACATGGGTAGAGCAATACTTGCATGAGGGCTATGTGAGGATTCATAAGATCATTCATTCACTCATCCACATAGGAGCCTACCACATGCTGTGCACTGTTCTAGGCACCAGAGGTGCAGCAGGAAGAAAAAATCGTAACCCCTACCCTCATGGAGCTAATAGTCTAATGGAGGAAGACAATGATGTATAAATAGGTGGGAAGCTCTAAAGAGTGACAGCTGGTGATGTGTTCTAGAGAACGATGAGGCAGAGAGGGCCTTACCTGGAAGGTGACATTCGAGTCCAGACCTGAAGGAGATGAAGGAATGAGCCAGGTGTGTATCTAGGACGTTGCGTTCCAGGCAGAAGGCATGATAAATGCAAATTCTGTGATACAGAAGCAGAGCTGGTGTGTTTGAGGGGTGGTATGGATGCAGTAGGGGAAGAAGATTGGAGATGATGTCAGAGAAGTAACAGCGGCAGGGGGTGAAGATCATGTATGGTCTTCAGGGTCACTGTGAGGCCCTCAGATTCCACAGTGAGTGAGATAAGAAGCCATGGGAAGGTTTTGCACAGAGAAGTGACACGATCTGAATAAAGTCTTAAAAGGACCACTCTGGCGGTTGGGTTGAGAAGAGACAGTAGGGGTGGAGGACAACAGCGGAGTGAACTGTTAGCAGGCAAGAGCCAGGTGGCTTGAATCAGAGTGGTAGCCATGGAGGTGGAGAAAAGTGGGTGGATTCTGAATACGTTTTGAAGGTAGAGCCATGGGGATACTGAGGAGTTGGATGTGGGTAAGAGAGAAAGAAGTCAAGGACGGCTCCATCATCTTTGGCCTGAGTGCCTGGAAGGATGGAGTTGCTGATTCTTCAGATGGGGAGAACTTCAAGGATCACATTTTGAGGGGAAGGAAAGGCATTTGCCATGAAATGAATGGGATCATTAAGGGAGTTATAACAGAGGAGGAGCCCTAGGTCTGAGGTTGGGGAGATATGGAGGAGCCAGCTATGGAGAGTGAGAAGGAGCCATCACTGGGGTAGAAGGAAAGCCAAGAGACTAAGGTTCCTGGAAGCCAGGAGAAGAATGTGTTTCCAAAAAAAGTGCATGTGTCAAATGTTGCCAAGATCTAGTAAGCTGATGACTGACACTGGCCCTAGATTTAGCAATGCAGAGGTCACTGGCAACTTCCTTCAGCACAGTGTTGGTGGATTAGTGAAAGCCTGATTGGAGGTGGTGCAAGAGAGCATGTGAGAAGAGGAAACAGACTGGTATAGTGGATCACTCTTGTGGGAGTCTTTGTTATAAAGAAAGGGAGGTGAAGTAGAATCAAGGGAGTTTCTTGCTTTCTTTTTCAGATGGGAGAAATTACATGTTCATATATTGAAGGAAACAATGGAATCCATCCACCCACTCATTCATCCATCCATCCATCCATCCAAGCATCCATCCATCCATCCACCCATCCATTCATTCAACCATTCATCTATCCATCCTACCAACACTTTCTGGGCACCCCTATGTGCAGGCCCTGAGCTTGGAGCTGGGGTGAATAAGCCATCTGCCTCACAGAACTCACAAGCTGAGAGTGAGACAAAGACAAATCAATACTATTAATGGCAAAGTGTGATGAGTGCTGTAGTCAAGGGGTGTGCAAAGGATTATGGGAGTACAGAGTATAGGGTGCCTGGAGAAACTAAGAAGGCTTCACCATGGAGGTTGATCTTAGGGTCTTAAAAAAAGAAGAGTTTGTTTTGTAGACAAGAGAGGGGTGGCATTACGGAGAGATAAATGCTTATGCAAAAGAAAAGATGCATGGAACTGGGGAGGGCTTAGCTTGGAGCCAGGTTCAGAAGGCCTTCTATTCCTTCCTGCAGACATAAGGAAGCCCACGGAAGATCTCAGGCAAGACAGTGATATAACTAAGCATGACTTTTAGGAACAGGGGCCATCCTGAAGGATGGGCTCAGGTGTGGAGAGGAGGGCATGGTCAGGCTATAGGTGATAGCTGAAGTCATGAGCATGAATGAGAACACCCAGAAGGAAGGTGTAGAATGTGAGGCCAAGAGGGAGCCTGAGGGAACACCAGCCTGGAAAGAGAGGGAGCAGTCAAAAGAGGTGGGGTCAAAAGAAGAGGGGAGCAGTCAAAAGAGATGGGGTCAACAGAAAAGAGGAGCAGTCAAAAGAGGTGGGCCCCTCCACTGCCTCCAGCTCTGGTCCGTGCCCTGCCCTCCCTCCATCTCAGTGAACTGGCTCAACCTTCCCACTTCCTGGGGTTCTAGGAGGCACCTGGCCCAGCCTCCATTACTGCAGGACATCCCTCCTCAGCACCCAGCTTCAGCCTGGACACTCCCAGGGACTGGAGAGAAGAACTGCCTAGTTGGAAGCATTCTGGTTGCCCTTCAGGGGAAGTCTTGGCCTCCCTTCATCCTCCTACTCCTCTGCTCAACCCCAGCCTGGCCCTGGCTGCCTGCGATGGTTTCAACATATGACCCGAAAAGTATTATGTTGAAACCTAATCATTGGTGTGATGGTATTAGGAGGTAGGGCCATTGGGGGGTAATTAGGTCATAGGGGCATGGGATTAGTGCCCTTATAAGAGAGGCCCCAGAGAGCTGCCTTGCCCCTTCCACCATGTGAGGACACTGTGAGAATATGGCCATCTATGAACCAAAAGCAGGCCCTCACCAGATATTGGATCCACTGGCACCTTGATCTTGGAATTCCCAGCCCCCAGAACCATGAGAAGTAAATGTGAGTTGTTTATGCCACCCAGTCTAAGGCATTCTGTTATATCAGCCCAAAAGGACTAAGGCACTATCCATGCAGTCTCAACCCCAGTGGGCCCTGGAGAGGCGGTTCCCCTGGCCCTCAGAGTTGGAATTCTCTGTTTGAAAAAGAAATGACATTATTGTTTTTGCAAATTGAAAAAGTAACACGTGCTTGCTTTATTTTAAAAATTAAATAGTAGAGAAAGATAGAAAGATAATTGAAATTTGCAATCCCCTTCCAGAGTGAAAATCACTGTTTCTGTTTTCCATGTGTACCCTTGCAGAATGTTTTTAAGCAACAGGCACATGCACGCACACACATATCTTGTTAAATGAAAACAGCAACACACTCTACATGCTGTTCTGTAACCTGCTTGTGTCTTTCACTTACATTATGAGAATGTTCCCCTGTCAGTACGCTCAGATCTCTATCATTATTTTATCAGCTGCAGAATATTCTGTTGTAAGAAAGGGCCTTCCTTTAATCACACCCCTCTGATAGATACTGTGGTTCAGCACCCCTCCCAAAAACCTTTCCTATTATAAATAGTGCTCTGTATACATCCTTGCTCATAAATCTTTGAGCAATAAAATTGGACTGCTTAAACTTGGGGGTTAATGTGACCCTCTGACTCACGTCATAAAGGAAATTGATTTTTATTTTCAAAGTCAATGGTGAGTAAATGAACAATGGTTGCCAGGCAACCTGTGAGCAGGGATTGAGTAGAGACTAAAGCAAACAGCAGCCTCCACCCGCCACCCCAGGAACCTCGTGCTTCTAGGTAATGAATCTCCCACCACAGCTCCACTGGATGGAACCGCCCCAGCTTCCTCCAGCCCAAACTGCTGCACCCACCACCCAGAGAAATGGAAGTCAAGGACTCAGCAGTCCAAGGCAGCCCTTCTGAAGCAACTTCAGGGGCTCAGCAAATATTTGTTGAGAACCTCCTCTGTGCCTGGCTGGATCAGGGTGGGGCTGTAGAGCTGCACATCATAGTCTGCATCCGGGTCAGCCCTGAATCTCAGGCACTGGAAGGTCAGGGTTAGGAATCTGGGGTTGATATCCTGTAGCATCTGTAGTGTAAATCAGCAGTTTTCAATGTATTTACTGTTTCTCTTTCTGCCTCAGGTTACCCTGATGGGCAGGACCCACTCCCATCACTAAGAGAACATCAAAAGGGCAGGTGTGGGGGTGGATAGGAAGATCAGGATCTCTGAAAGGGTAAGTGTTTGATAAAATCCCCTTCCCTGTCCCCACAGCCTGGGACTCCTGGCACCCTGGGGAAGGGCTGTGCCTTCAGGGCTCGCCTTAGACCAGGAGAAGCCATGGAAAGATTTTCAGGAGAGGAGGAGTGGAGGTAAATCTACAGTTCAGCACTTCTCCCTCCACACAGTGGAAGGATTGACAGGCGATTGATTGGCAGGGGAGGTGCCCTAGTTTCTATCAGGAAAAGAAACCCTATGACCTGCATGAGCTCTAGGCATTGTGTGGGAAAGAGCAGAGAGAGCCAAGAAGCTCCCAGGGGGAGTGGACAGCACCCAGTGAAAGGAGAGACACTGAGGGAGGGGACAAGGATGCTCCTGCAGCCCCAGGGGAAGGAAGCCAGTTATCAGAGCCAGGTTCCAATCCTGCCTCAGCTACTACATCCCTCCCTGCCCTAAAGCTTAACAATCATAATCACACAAAAGTCATCCTCAGTCTCAGGTGTGGGCTGGGACTTTACACATTTTCTCATTTAACACTGAAACCACCTTTGCAAAGATGATGACAGTGAGAGAGTCCAGCATGGCTAACTCCGTCTTATTTCTAGCCCCACAGGCTGGCTGTCCTCACTCTTTCCCGAACGTAGGCCAAGCAAACCTGGGGAGGAACTTAGTTTATAGTTTAACTTTGAAGCAAGGATGATAATAGTCCCTCCCTAAAACTAACCCCTGAAACCACCTTTGTAAAACTAATGAAAGCCTACTAGATTAGAAATGTGGGAAGGGCCTGAATTCTGCTAAAATGTCTGCATAGTTAGATGATAACCAGTCATTGCTCAACATCACTATTGTAGAACCTAAGATTGGTCTTTTGAGATGTTTTTCAGAAATTTGCATTGTGGTAACCTACAGACTCCACCTGGACCCATGATTCATGACTCAACCAGTCCACCCAGAAGCTGACTCAGAGCATAAGGAGCATTTTCCACACCCCTAGGATTTCATCTCCAACCAATCAGCATTCCCCATTCTCTAGCCCCTGTCCACCAAACTATTCTTTAAAAACCTTAGCTCTAAGCTTTATTTATTTATTTAAGTAATACACTCCTGTCTTCCACTTAGCTGGTTCTGTATTTATTAAACTCTTTCTCTACTGCCATACCGCTATCTCAGTAAATTAGCTCTATCTGTGCAGTTGGCAAGAAGAACTGGTCAGGTGGTTAAAACACTACAGATAGGCATTGTTAAACAAAACAATGGACTAAGCCCCTGCACTAGGCTCCAACAGAACAGACAAAATCAAAATGGAGTCACTCATGCTAAATGTCATATAATCAAACTGAAACTCTAAGGAAGCTGATAAATCCTAAAACAGACCTTTTTTTTTCCTGAAAACAGGAAATTTCAGTCTACCAGAGTCAACCTAGTAAGAAAGTTGCCTCTTCTTTGACCTTTATGAGAAAGTAACCTGAAGTAACCTGACATTAATGAATCAGCTTCTCTTCTACTATTCTGTTTCCTTACTCCCACCTTACAAAGCTCACTGCTCTGCTTGCCCTAGTGAGAGAACTCATTCTATTGTGTAGAGTAGAGTCAGCCATGATTCATGAATTATGAATAAAAGACAATTAGATCTATAACTAAGTTTGCTGTAATTTTATCTTTTGACAGCACTATTGATATGGTTTGGATGTTTGTCCCCTCCAAATCTCATATTGAAATGTAATCCCCAGTGTTGAAGTTGGGGCCAAGTAGGAGTGGTGTGGGTCATAGGGGCAGATCCCTCATGAATGGCTTCGTGCCCTCCCTCACAGGAATGAGTAGTTCCCACTCTACTATTCATGCAAGAGTTGGTTGTTTAGAAGAGGCCCGGCATCTCTCTTGCTCTCTCTCTCTCACTATGTGACACGCTGGCTCCCTTCCCCTTCTGCCATGATTAGATGCTTCCTGAAGCCCTCGCCAGAGGCAGATGCTGGCATCATGCTTCTGGTGCCATGCTTGTACAGTCTGCAGAACAATAAGCCAAATAAATCTCTTTTCTTTAGAAATTACCCAGCCTCAGGCATTCCTTTATAGCAACACAAAATGTACTAACACAACTATTATCGCCCCTATTTTACAGATGTGGAAACTGAGAATCAGGATATTTTGTTGTCTTAGCCAAGGAAAAATAGCAAGTATTGTGGTGGAGATTTGAGGCCATCTGGTCCAGTGTCTTTGCTTTTTCCTACACCACTTTTTAAAGATGAGGTTTTAAAAAATGGCCCTAGTTCCTGAATACTTGCTGTTGGGAGTAGCTGTGTTAGGAAGAGAGCTTTGGCCCATGTCCTACCACATATGACTTCAGCCCTGCCTCTCTGGCCCACAGCCTGTCACCCTGTCAGAGAAGGAAATCAGAGTCCACCAAAGTTACAGTAATGCCCCCTAGATGGCCAAAGAGAGAAGTAGACAAGAGTCCATTGCCATGGTGTTCAGCTTAGACTGGTGGGCTGGAGGCTGTTCTCAGGGTCCTACCAGCCCCACAGCTCTGGGGGAGGAGTTGGTGCAGCCACTCACAGGGGTGGGAGAGACAGCCAGATGGGGCTGGCTCATGCAGGCAGGGGTGGGTAAGCCTTTCTCTCCAGGATGTCAGGGTTATTAGGAGGGTGCCCAAGTCACTACCACAAGGTAGCCTAGAGTCTGCATCCCCCAGGATGTCCCCAGTCATCCTCACCTCCTGGTATTCATGCCATGGTCCAGTCCTCACCCACACTGAATAGAGCTGACCTGTGTGACCAATAGGATATTACAGAAATGATGGTAAATGACTTCTGAGGCCAGGTCGTAAAAGACATTACAGTTTCCAGCTGGCAGTTTCTTTTGGATTATTCTCTCTGGGGGAAGCCAACCACCATGTCAGCAGGATGCTCAAGCAGCCCATGGAGACACCCATAAAGTAGGGGACTGAAGCCTCCTACCGACAGCTAGCACAAATTATTTTTTGGAGACAGGATCTCAATTTGTCTCCCAGACAGAGTGCAGTGGTGCAGTCATGGCTCACTGCATCCTCAACCTCCCAGGCTCGAGAGATCCTACCTCTTCAGCATCCTAAGTAGCTGGGACCACAGGCATGTGCCACCATGCCCAGCTGATTTTTTAAAACTTTTTTATTTATAGAGACAGGGTCTCCCTGTGTTGCCTAGGCTGGATCACCAATTTTTCACTTGTGTGTGAGAGCCACCTTGCAAGTGGGTCCTCCAGCCCTAGTCGAACCTTCAGATGACTGCAACCCTGGCCCACAACTTGACTGTGTTAACCTAAATAACAAATATAGAGAGGCTGTCTAAAAGAAAAGATGTTTATTTGGGACTAGAGCATTGCAATGGGAATATGTGTGCCATAGTAAATTATGTGCATATTCATGGAGGTAAAGGAGGGCAAAAGTTTTTAAAGGAAAAATGAGGAGGATTACATAATTGTCTTGAAATAATTATCCCTGGCTACAAAAATCAGTAACAAGGGTGATGGCAGTTCAAGGTTGCACAGGCATTTGCCGGGCAGGTGTCCTTGCAGATGTATTTTTTGTGTAAGGTTGTAATGGCCTCTGTGCAAGGTTGTGGTTTTTGTAGTCTTTTTCATTATCAGGCATACAAGCGTGAGAAGCCTCTATTCACAGCCTTTCCTGGCTCTATTTGTCAGGGTTTTCTTAGCATTAGTGACTCCATTTTGATTCTTACACTTTCACAACTACAACCACTTGACCACAGCCTCATGATTCTGAGCCAGAACCACCCAGCAAAGCCACTTCTGAACTCCTAACCCTCAGAAACTGTGATAATAAACATTGAGAGTTGTTTTAAGCCACTTTGTTTTGAGGTACAGTTGTCCCCCATTATCAGAGGTTTCACTTACTGTGGTTTTTATTACTTTTGGTCAACTGCAGTCTGAAAATATTAGGTTGAAAATGTTATACATTAACGAGTGTTTTAAATTAGTCGCCATTCTGAGTAGCATGATAAAACCTTGTCATTCCATCCTACCCGGGATGCGAATCATCCCTTTGTCCAGCATATCCACCCATCAGTCACTTGATAGCCATCTTGGTTATCAGGTTGAAAAACATAGTATATATAGGATTTGGTATTATCTGCGGTTTTAGGCATTCACAGGGCAGGGGAGGGTCTTGACACATATCTCTCATGGATAAGGGGGCACTGCTGTAATTAGTTACACAATAATAGATGACTAATACTAACAGGATATATCCAGAGAAACTGGCATAGCTTGAGCACTGTAAGGGTCTGGATGATTCTGGAAATAGAATAGATACATAGATAGATGATAGATAGATAGATAGATAGATAGATAGATAGATAGATAGATAGATAGATAGTCTCTTTCTGTCATTCAGGCTGAAGTGCAGTGGTGCAATCATAGGTCACTGCAGCCTCGAACTCCTGGGCTCAACTGATCTTCCCACCTCAGCGTTCTGAGTAGCTGGGTGTGCACCATTACGCCCAGCTAATTTTTTTATTTTGTAGAGATGGGATCTTGTTGTGTTGTCCAGGCTGGCCTTGAACTCCTGAGCTCAAGCAATAACACCACCTAGGCTTTCCAAAGTACTGGGATTACAGGCAAGAACCACCATGGCTGTCTGGAAAAATATTTAAAACAAAGTTTTCACATTAGGACTCAAGAGTGACATCCAAGAGACATTAGCCTTGGGACACGTGTTAGTGAGAGTTCTTTCATTTACAAAGGATGGAAACTTAAATGAGCTTAAACACATTTTTTTAAATGTAAGGGAGGTCCTATCCTATAACTAGATGATGTGACTTGGAAGGAGGGGTGGAGTTGCCATTAGGCAAGGTGGGTTCTGGGTTTATCCAATTTCAGGCTCCCTGGACTGCAAGGACATGAGCGAGGGGCGTGGACCTGGGAAAGGGGCTGGGTCAGCAGAGCACGAACCTCCAGCAGACTCAGGACTGGGAGTAAGAACATGGGCGTCAGAAACACACCTGGGGGCCAGGAGGCAGAAGGTGCCAACATACTTGTAGGCTGGTCCTCCGTGGGTCCCTTAAATCCCAGTGCCCTCGAGCTTCTGTTCTATTCCCTCCACTCTCCCCAGCCCACCCTCCCCATTTCACATCAATGCCTGTGCTCCTGTACTCTGGTCACCTCTCCCTTGCCCCTGGTCCCGGGCCCTGACCCTCACCACAGCCAATACTTCTTCCATCTGCTCCAGGCCTGGTGCTGCCCTTCAGGACTGCAGCCACAGGCAGCGCCATCCATTTTACCATCTGAGCCTGAATCCAGTCTTTGCCCCTTCCCCCCTCGCCAAGCCACCCCGACAAACCCCCAAATCTGCATTCCCACAACCTCCACCCTGCTCCCAGCCATTACCTCCTCCCCTGGATGACAGAAACCATCCTCAGCTGGTCTCCCTGCTGCCTGTTTTACCTTCCCTTTTCTATCCGCACCGGCAACATTTGCCCAAGTCATCTGCCTAAAACAGACGTCTCTGGGATACTAATCCTGCTCACCACCCTGAGCTCCCAAGACTGCCGGCAGCTCCTTCATGCTGCATGCTCTGACCCTCAACACGATCCTGCCTTAGGCTGCAGGCTCTGGCTTTGTGCAAGGAACCAGGATGCCAGGGGGCACGATGGAGCCAAATCATCGACAGTTTATTTCTTCGTAAACAAAAAAGGTCTGAAGCAAATAGCAAACGTGAAAATGTGAAACCTGGATTCTTTTCTGTATTTAGGAACTATTTCATGATTTTAAAATACATTCTCTGTAATCCCAGCACTTTGGGAGGCCGAGGCGGGCGGATCATCTGAGGTCGGGAGTTCGAGATCAGCCTGACCAACATGGAGAAACCCCATCTCTACTAAAAATACACAATTAGCTGGGTGTGGTGGTGCATGCCTGTAATCCCAGCTACTCGGGAGGCTGAGGGAGGAGGATCGCTTGAACCTGGGTGGCAGAGGTTGTGGTGAGCCGAGATTGCGCCATTGCACTCCAGCCTGAGCAACAAGAGTGAAACCCGTCTCAAAAAAAAAAAATTCTCTAAATGTAGGGGAGCGGGGCACAATCCTATGCAGAAGGTGCTGTTGTTGTCCTCACTTTACAACCAGGAAGCTGAGGCACAGAGAGGTAAAGTGACTTGACCAGGGTCACACAGACAATCTAAGGTGGAGATAGGATTCAGACTCAAGCAGCCTGGGTCCTCTTGGACCCTGCAGGCACACCCTGCAGTCAGGTGGGCGAGGCAGACACAGCCTCAGTCAACCAGGAGGGGTGCAGGCAGGCTGTGGGTGGGGAGTGGGGCTGCCACGGAGGGGAGGAAGTTAGGAGAGGAAACTCACATTTGTGGAGCCCTGACATGTTCCAGGCACTGGGCTGGACTCTTTATCTGTATAACCTCATTTAATCTTTGTAACAACTCCAGAAAGTATTATTGGCCACATTTTTACACATGTAGAAAGTGAAAGCTCAGGAAGGTGATGTGACTCACCCAGTGTCACAAGCTGTGTAGGATGGAGGCGGAAACTGAGCCCCATTTCTGCCAGACTCCGCAGCCTCTCAGCTCTGGCACACTGAGTCCCTGCAGGCTCAACTGGAGGGTCTTGGGCTCAGGACCAGGTCTCTAGTCCACTGGAGGGGAGCAAAATGAGGACTTAATTAGCCTGGTCCATGGTAGATTTTCCCCTCCCTTGTGTTGGGGGATAGACTTCTAGTAATGCAACCTGAGATGACCCTGGCTTTGGGGTTTCATCTTCCCAATCCAATCCTGGCTCACCTGTAGGCCAGAGCAGGACAGCCCAGTGCCAGCCTGCCTTCTGTATCATACTTAAAATTAACTTTCAATTGCAGTGAGTCCCAATTCATGCCCCGCCCCTGCTGGATCAACATAAGGATTTCCACAGCTCAATAGCTCACAGCTCCTGGTGCTAGATGATGGGTGTATGGTGGGGTGGGGGCCCTTTTCCCTTTGTGGGGATAACTTCCCTCTGTTGCTCAGCTTCGCTCAGCAACCACCCACCTCCAGCCTTCCCAGCTAATTAACCACTTTCTGTCAGCCCTGATGCGATTCACCTGAGCCACCACCCTGAGCAGCAGGAAGTCTGACTCGGACTCCAATTAGCAGAGGAAGTGGCTGACTCCGGGAGGCGGAGGGGCGCACGGGGCAGAGGGGGGAGGGATGAACAGAGTTGTTGGGGGGCACAGAGAAAATTCAACGACCTCCCTGGAACTTTCATCCTTTGGAAGCCACAGAGGATGAGTTCAGACATTCAATAAGTATTAAGTGAGCACCTACTGTACACATACCCCGATTTTTGGCATGCCAGTAAGAAACAAGACAGACAAGGTCCCCATCCTGTCTTCATGGGGCTGATGTTCTAGACAAATAGAAAATACGCTGCTAGTTAGTGATAATTGCTATAATGAAAAATGATATCTAAGCCACCCTCCCTGTCAGAGCCTCCTGGAGGTTTAAAGCCACCTCTCATGCCCCCATCTGATTTTTCTCCTGCGAGCAAAAGCCCCCTGCCTCCCCTCCCCACTCCTCATATGGCACGTCCTTTACTATGGCATGTCACCTGCTGAGCACAGCACTGGTCTGCCCTCAGATGTTTGATATTGTTATTCTACAGAAAAGGAAACCGAGGCAGACGGGAAGAGAAAGATGGAGCCGGGGTTAGAGAGCAGGCCCTGGTGCCACATTCCTCATTCTCCTGGGGGCTGTGTTCCTGTTCTGGGAGGGCATGAGATCAGGAGGCCAAGGGGAAGCTGTGCCTCTGGTTGGCCCATGAAGAGCCACGCAGGGAGCTGGTGGCTCACACACTCTGGACACACAGGCCACGTCCACAGAATATGTGTCCACTTCCTGCTGTTACGACTCGGGATGTAAGCATTTGTGGGGTGGCTGGGAGTCAGGGAAGAGGGCCCCTGCAATTTCACATTTGGACAGAGTTGGCTGGGAATAGAGGAATTCAACTGTGCAGGAGTCTGGAGGTAAAATATTCTCATCTTGGAGTCACCGATCATCCAGTCCAGCCCTTATCCAACTCCTCTCAATACATCCGCTTCTGGGCAGGAGTCCCCAGCACAAAGCGGACAAGAGAGGAGCTGTTGGCTAAGCAGGACACAGTGGGAATGGCCACCCTGTTGGCCACGCTGCTTCACTTCCAAACATAGGTGTATTCATCTGTTTTCATACTGCTGTTAAAGACATACCTGAGACTGGGTAATTTATAAAGAAAAAGAGGTTTCATGGACTCACAGTTCCACATGGCTGGGGAGGCCTCATCATCATGGCAGAAGGCGAAAGACACATCTTACATGGTAGCAGGCAAGTGAGAAGGAGCGCCAAGAGGAAGGGGTTTCCCCTTATAAAACCATCAGATCTCGTGAGACTTATTCACTATCACGAGAACAGTATGGGGGAACCACTCCCCATGATTCGGTTACCTCCCACCAGGTCCCTCCCACAACATGTGGGAATTATGGGAGCGACAATTCAAAGTGAGATTTGGGTGGGGACACAGCCAAACCATATCAACAGGGCAACAGGCAGAAGCCTCTATCAGTGACCAGGGCCACCTGGGCTGAGAGGAAATGCTTGGGTTCCAGGCCTGGCTCCAACTGTCAGCTCTCCTGGGGCTTGGTTCGTGGATGAGTTAGGATGAGCGAGGTGATTCTGCAGTAACACCTTAGGCTCAAAACAGCAAGAGTTTATTTCTCACTCATTTAAAAAAATGCATTGCTGGTGTGGGCAACTCCAGGGTCACTGTCCTTTATAAGGTGGCTCAACAATCCAGCTACTTCAGTCTGCTAGCACCTCCATTTCACTGCACTGCTTCAGGGCTGCCAGTGCAGGCAATTGAGCAGGGAGCAGGCCCGCGGGCTTCTAACTGCCTTCCTCTGGAAGTGACACACATCACTTCTGCTCACATTTCATTGGCCAAAGAAAGTCATGTGGTCAACCTTAATTCAGGTGAGCAAGCTAGTATCATCAGAGGATAACAATGTATGTCTATAAATTGTTGGTGAGTGGTCAGACATGGTGACTCACACCTGTAATTCCATCACTTTGGGAGGCCAAGGCCAGAGGATTGTTTGAGGCTAGGAGTTTGAGACCAGCCTGGGCAATATAGCAAGACCCCATCTCTACATAAAATTGAAAAATTAGCTGTGCATGGTGGTTCACATCTGTAGTCATAACTACTAGGTTGGCTAAGGCAGGCGATCACTTGAGCCTGGGAAGTCAAAGCTGCAGTGAACCATGATTGCACGGTTGCACCACTGCACTCCAGCCTGGGCAACAGACTCAAAACGAAACAAAAGCAGAAAAAAAAAAAGCCAGATGCAGCGGCTCATGCCTATAATCCCAACACTTTGGGAGGCTGAGGCAGCTGGATTGCTTGCACCCAGGAGTTCAAGACTAGCCTGGGCAACATAGTGAAACCCCATCTCTCCAGAAAAGAAGAAAAAAGAAAAGAAAATACAAAAATCAGCTGGACATGGTGGTGCACACCTGTGGTCCCAGCTACTGAGGAGGCTGAGGCAGGAAGATCACTTGAGCCTAGGAGGTTGAGGTAGCAGTGAGCCGAGATCATACAACTGTACTCCAGCCTGGGTGACAGACTGGGAAGGAGAGAAAGCCCTGTCTCAAAGAAAGAAAAAAAAATAGAAATTGTTGATGAGCACTAGAAATGCCAACCATGGTTCCCAAATCTACAAAATAGTCAAGATAATATCTACTATCATTTCTTTTCTTCTTTTTTTTTTTTTTTTTTGTGATACAGTCTCACTGGAGTGTAGTGGCGTGATCTCGGCTCACTGCAACCTCTGCCTCCCAGGTGTGAGCGATTCTCCTGCCTCAGTCTTCTGAGTAGCTGGGACTACAGGCATGTGCCACCATGCCCTGCTAGTTTTTTTATTTTTTAAATTTAATTTAATTTTTTTTTTGAGACAGAGTCTTGCTCTGTTGCCCAGGCTAGAGTGCAGTGGCATAATCTCAGCTCACTGCAAGCTCCGCCTCCCGGGTTTACACCGTTCTCCTGCCTCAGCCTCCCGAGTAACTGGGACTACAGGTGTCTGCCAGCATGCCCGGCTAATTTTTTGTACTTTTAGTAGAGAAGGGGTTTCACCGTGTTAGCCAGGATGGTCTCGATCTCCTGACCTCGTAATCCACCTGCCTCGGCCTCCCAAAGTGCTGGGATTACAGGCGTGAGCCACTGTGCCCAGCCTAATTTTTGTATTTTTAATAGAGACCAGGTTTCACCATGTTGGCCAGGCTGGTCTCAAATTCCTGACTTCAGGTGATCCATCTGCCTCAGCCGCCCAAAGTGCTGGGATTACACATGTGAGCCCTTACGCCTGGCTTAATTTCTTCACTCACTCATTCATTTATGCATTCAACCCATGAATTTCGAGTGTGTAAGGTGCTGTAGGTTTGGAACTCAGGTCTCCTGACTCCTCAGCCAGGGCATCACTATCTTCCTCCTCCTCCTCCTCCTCTTCCTCCTCTCCTCCTCCTCCTCCTCCTCCTCATGCCTTCCGCAAGCCTGGCTCACATTTTGGTCTTAGCTTGAGCTCTTCCTAAAGCAGAGCCTGAGACAAGGACTCGGGTGCAGGGAGTTGACATGGAATCCATGCCAGGAAACCAAAGTGAGGGCGTAGGAGAGTGAGATCAGGAAGGAGAGAAAACCACTCAGTGCATTACTGAGTTGGCTACTGATGTGGGTAACTGGGCTTGATTCCACTGGGAACCCTGTGAGGAACGGTGTAAAATGCACCTCAGGATTGTCTTGAATGATGATGAGGCTGGGGTGTGTACCCACGGACCACTGTCCCCCAGTCCCCACGCTTTGCTGGGAAAAAATCTGAAGAACAGAAGCTGAGAGACACAGTAAAGCTTTGAGTTGGGAAGCCACCATCAAGCACGAGGACAAACCACCAGGGACACAGCTGATGTCAGCGTGGGGCTGAGGGGACATGGCTCAGAGCAACAGCGTTTACTACAGATGCCAAGGGAGAAGCAACGCCTGTACGAAGCCACGTGGAAACCCGACCCAAACCCGGCACTGGCCAATCAAGGGCAGTGCGCGACTCAGGACAGCTGTCACACTATTTTCTTCCAACCTCCTTTCCCGATTTGGAAGGAGGTAACTCCTCCGCATGAAAACAATAAGAGAAAACAACGGAACTCGGGGACCAATTGATTGAGGCGTGGGAACGGGATGGCAGGCAGTCACAGGGGTCCGAGAGGGAGGCTTCTTGCCAGCTCAGGCACAGGCTGTTCAGAAGTCAGGAAAATGTAAATGGGACATTCAAGGACACAGAAATATGTCTATTAGGACACCTTCTGTGATCCGCATGCTGGGAATCCCAGGAGATAGAGGACACCGCCCCGCCTCTCTCAGAACCTTTTCCACAGCAAAAGGCAGAGTGCTGCAGGCAGAAGAGTCCCAGCCTTGGAAGCAGAGATCTCAGGTTCAAGTCTTGATGCCACTAATCACACAGAATATTGTGTGTGAAGCTCACAGCTGGAAGGCGCAGTGATGATGCTCGTCATCTGACCTTCACGAGCCACTGCCAGCCTCCATGTCCCACGACGCAGATGAGGCACCAGAGATCAGAAGGTGACTCACCTGCCCCAGGTCTTGCCTCCCAAACTATCAGACCTCAGACTTGAACCAGCCCTCTTTGAGTCTCAGCTCAAAGGTCCTCTGATCTCGTGTTTCTGGAATAAACCCAAAGGCAGCTTTCTGGGTGGAGACACCCACAGGAAGACCTGTGCACTCCCACTCTGACTTCCTGAGCAGGTGAGGGGGCAGGACACACAGGAAGGGGGGTGACCATGTGACTGGGCTGCATTTCTGGCAGGTGCAAAGATACCCTTTTAGGATATTGGAATGAGGCAGGGAGTAAGGACCAGGGCACAGGTGTCGTGGGCTCTGGACTCTAGTCCAAATTCCACTCGCCTTCAGGCTGGTCTTGGTTTTCTCATCAAGGTGATTGGTAGGGTGCCTTCAGGGTCAATGATCTGACGACCACAAGCTCTGAGAGGTCCGCCAGGGCTGGAGGGGCAGCACAGCCTCCCTGGGAGCTGGCCTCTGGGGGCAGCGGGGAGGGGGAAGGGAAGGCAACCCTGTCCCCAGGGCTCTAGTGACACTGTAACAAATGAGTACAGACCCCCCGTATTTCAGCACTGAGGACCCTCTAGCTTGTTCCCTAACTCCCAGCACCTCTGGATGAGAAGTGGGCTTTCATTGCACTCTGTCTGGCTCAAATCCCTGCGACCTTCTCACCGGACCCAGGGCCTGACTTCTACTTGGTCATGTATGAGGGCTCGGGTGTGTTGAGGTGTGGGAAGAGGCCAGAGGGGAAGGGGAGTCCCATGTTCCCCCACAACGTTTCTCAGAGACCTCCTCCCGTCCTGAGGCCATTGGGTGTGTCAGGGTTGCTGGAAATTCTCCCCAACTCCCAATTCTGAGCATTTAGTCTAGGTAGGCCTTGTCTTGGAGCCAGCTTGTTGGCCTGGGCCAGTGGGTGTGTGCTTAATTTCATGGCAGCCTTATAGAAAAAGCACAAGGATGTAAAAGATTGATGCTAGAATCAGAGACCAGCGAGAGGAAGATGGGGCTTGGGACCTGAGGAGGGAAGTCTTAACTCTCAGATCCAGCTATATTTGGATCACCAGAAATCAGATGGTGACAGATATCTCTCCAATATTATTTTTGAGTGGGCAAAATCATTAACCTTTCTCCACCTCAGTTTCCTCGTCCAGTACAGGGGATAATAATAGTGCCTCCCTGAAAGGGCTGTTGCACAGTAAATGAATTAATACCTGTGCAGCACTCAGAATAGTGCCTGGCACATAAGAAATTCTCAATCATCGGGCTGGGTGCAGTGGCTTACGCTATAATTGCAGCAGTTTGAGAGGCTGAGGTGGGCAGATCACTTGAGGTCAGGAGTTTGAGACCAGTCTGCCCAACATAGCGAAACCCCATCTCTACTAAAAATACAAAAATTAGCCGGGTGTGGTGATGGGCACCTGTAGTCCCAGCTGCTTGGGAGGCTAAGGCAGGAGAATCACTTGAACCCGGGAGGTGGAGGTTGCAGTGAGCAGAGATTCTGCCACTGCACTCCAGCCTGGGTGACAGAGCGAGACTCCGTCACAAAAAAGAAAAGAAGAATGAAATTATCAATCGATGAGAGTAATTTTTTGGTTATTGTTATGATTATTACTATTAATGTTTTCATTCAAGTACAAGGCCTTGCAGGTGCTCAGTTAGTGTCGCATGAATGATTGAAATAAACGTAACTGGATAAAATGTTTGAAGTAGATGACATCAAAGATTGAAATAAACACTTGCTTTGGTCTAATTAGTTATGATCTGGTATCTATGGAAACTGCTAAATATTGAGACTGAAAATAGATAGCTTTTCTCTGCACAGAAAGAACCAAGGTACATGTGTGGTCTCTACACTTTGTATCCCGAGATGAACCGCCTCATTCATCTCTGTCCACCAGTGAATTCTTCGAGAGCAGGGCCTGTGGCTAATGGGCATTCAGAAACCAAGTGTCTGAGTGTTGGTACACAGCGAGTGCTCATTCCTATTTGTTGAACAAGTGAACAAATGCATGAATGTTGTCTGATTGCCTCAGGAAATGGCAGGACTGAGCCTTCAGATAAGGACCTCAGAGCCTTCTTAGGGAGAGGCTGGGGAAGGCAGACAGTGATTACTTCTTGCAGTGGATTAAGTGGTGAAGAGTATGGGCTTTGGGGCCAATCAAATCTGGGAGGAAATACTGGCTCAGCCACTCGCTAGCTTCATGAACTTAGGCAAGCTGTTTAATTCTTCCAGGCCTCAGTTTTAACATCTGTAAACTGGGCCTAATACTGTTTACTTGTTGTGCAGATAAAATGGTCCAGTGTGCGTCAATGTCCATTTCTCCCTAGGAAGGGATCCATACCATCTTCATGGTAGACACCGGGATAACAACAACAGTCCTCTCTTGTTTCAAGGGATTCGGAACCACCCATGGCATAAGTAGTAATGAAAGAGTTCTTTGTAAACTGTAGAGTGCTCCGCACACGTGAGGGATCATAGGGTGGCTTGCGTAACAAGGAGTTGCAGAGAGAATCTGAACTTGGATCACTGCTGGGGAAAGCATCTCAACTAGTGGGGTCGGGACTCAGAAATGCAAAGACCCCAGAAAACTGGTGGGGAATTTCAGCCACAAGACAGGGACTTGGAAGTCAGGCTGCCTGGGTTCAAGGCCTATATTTGCCCCTGTCTACTTTCTGTGACCTTGGATGAGTGACTTGCTCTTGGGAGGCTTCAGTGTTCTTCTTGGGGAAGCTGGGAGGACAGTGAATACTTCACAGGGCTGTTGTGGGGATTAAAGGGGATAGAGCGTGTAAAGTGCTCTGTCTAGTACTGGGCTACAGGAAGTGCTCAGCAAACACAGCTGCCCCATTTCTCCACATTCTCCTTCTCCCATCCACTCTCAAGGCTCAAGGCCTCCTGCCTCAGCTTGTCCCTTCTCTGGTTTGCAGAGTCTCAGGAGAACATAAAGTAGAAGGACAAGCAAGGGGAGGGCAAGTGGGGTTGACTGAACCTTACATGGCAGGGTCGTATGGGGAAGGGACCGTTGTTACCCCCATTTCACAGGGGTGGTCACTGAGACCCAGCTGGTGCCAGGATGCATACCCAGGTCCGTCCACACACAAAGCCTGCGTTCATTCAGCTTTTCCAGGATCCCACGCCAGCTCTGACTCCAAATGCTGTGGAGGGCCCTGCAGCGGGGGAGGAACACAGGGACAGAAACCAAGTGTTTCTGGGGCCCAGCCTGGCACCCCCACCCCTACCCACCCCCACCTCCTACCACCTCCTTCCCCTCTACCCCCCACTATGACCCCTTGCCCAGGAGAACTCTTCTGGGCAGAGTGGCCCTGCCAGCCTCTCAAGGACACGGGGACGGGGCAGGAATCCCCAGCTTGGCCTGAGTCCTTCTCTGCCATGGACACAGGTTGTTAGATAATTGCCTTTGTCCCTTATCTCATTCCCACTCTTTATTACTTCCCTGGGGAGATGCTGCAATCACAGCCTCTCTGCAAATGAAGCCAGCCTCCTGGCTGCAAACACAGGCTGAGGGACCACGACTGGGGGAGGAGTGTGAACTGAAGGGGAGATTATACCTTCAGGTGGCAGGGACACCATGTCCCTCAGCTCAGGGCATGCCGATAGGTTCTGGGAGGCTCCTGGAAGCACACTCAGTGCTTTGCAAAGAAAGCGCTGGATCCTGAGAAGAAAGAATCTGGCCATGGGCTCTGCCCGGACTAGCACTTAACCCCTCTGGGTTCCAGGTTCTGTGTGGGTGAGATGAGGACAGCAACGCTCTCCCATGATGACCAAACCAGCTTGAAACTGGGAGGCATCGACTGTTTTGCCTCTATGCTCGTGGCAGCCTCTGTTTTAAAAACAGCTTTATCGACATACATTTGTACATGTTTAAAGTGCGCAATTTGGTAAGTTTTGACATATGTATATACCTGTGAAGTCATCACCACAATCAAAACAGTGAACACACACCCCTCACCTCCCAAAACTTCCTCCTGCGCCTTTGCAATCACTCCCTCTCTCCACGTTCCACCCTCTCCATCCCCAGGCAACCATGAACCTGCTTTCAGCCACTGCAGATTCATTTGCATGTCCTAGAATTTTATATAAATGGAATTATCCAGAATGTATTCTTTTTGTCTGGCTTCTATTTTGAGATGCATCCATGTTGTTGCATATATCAATAGTTCATTTATTTTTATTGCTAAGTAGTATCTCATTATGTGGATATACCACAACTTGTTTATTCATTTATCTATTGATAGATATTTGGGTTGTTTCCATTTTGGGGGTATTACAAATAAAGTTCCCATGAATATTCATGTACAAGTATCCAAACGCTTTTATTTCTCTTGGGTAAGTACCTAGGAGTGGAATGGCTGAGTCATTTAGGAGGTATATGTTTCATTTTTTAAAGAAACTGACAAATTGCTTTCCAAAGTGATTGTAGCATTTCACATTCCCACCAGCAGTGTATGAGAGTTCTGCCTGGCGTGGGGGCACATGCCTGTAATCCAAGCACTTTGGGAGGCCAAGGTGGGTGGATTGCCTGAGGTCAGGAGTTCGAGACCAGCCTGGCTAACATGGTGAAACCCCGTTTATACTAAAAATACAAAAAAGTAACTGGGCATGGTGGCACGCACCTGTAATTCCAGCTACTCAGGAGGCTGAGGCAGGAGAATCACTTGAATCTGGGAAGTGGAGGTTCCAGTGAGCCGAGATCTCACCATTGCACTCCAGCTTGGGCAACAAGAGCAAAACTCTGTCTCAAAAAAAAAAAAAAAAAAAAAAGAAAAGAAAGAAAAACAAAATACCACTGGGGCTGGGCATGGTGGCTCATGCCTGTAACCCCAGCGCTTTGGGAGGCTGAGGCAGGAGGATTTCTTGAGCCGAGGAGTTTGAGACCAACCTGGGCAACACAGAGAAACCTCATCTCTACAAAAATAAACTAATTAATTAAAATAGAAAAGAAAATACCAGTAGGCATAAAGAAAAAAATTTTTAACACCCATAAACCCACCACCTTAAACAACTATTGTTAACATGATGTATGTCTTCAGACATTTTTCACATATAATGTACATAGGAAGGTATACCATACATGTCTTCTCCATTTATATATCATGAATATTTTACCGTGTTGTTACATTTCTTTTTGTTTTTTGAGGTGGAGTCTTGCTGTCACCCAAGCTGGAGTGTAGTGGTGTGATCTTGGCTCACTGCAACCTCTGTCTCCTGGGTTCAAGTGATTCTCCTGTCTCAGCCTCCCAAGTAGCTGGGATTACAGGTGCCCGCCACCACGCCTGGCTAATTTTTTGTATTTTTAGAAGAGACAGGATTTCACCACATTAGCCAGGCTGGTCTCGAATTCCTGACTCCAGGAGATCCACCCGCCTTGGTCTCCCAGAGTGCTGGGATTACAGGCATGAGCCATTGCGTTCGGCCATGTTGCTACATTTCTAAAGCATTAGTCCAAATGGCTGTATAATACTCCATTATGTATGTGAATTAGTTGATCCCCAGTAGATAGATATCTGGATGTTTTTCATTTGGGGGCTTTCATAAACATTGCCACAAGAAACTTTTATTTTATTTTATTTTTCATTTTATTTTGTTATTTTGGAGACAGTCTCTGTCACCCCAGGTTGGAGTGCAGTGGCATGATCTTGGCTCACTGCAACCTCTGCCTCCTGGATTCAAGTGATTCTTATGCCTCAGCCTCCCAAGTAGCTGAGACCACAGGTGTGTGCCACCACACCCGGCTAATTTTTTTTTTTTTTTGTATTTTTAGTAGAGACAGGGTTTTGCCATGTTGTCCAGGCCGGTCTCAAACTCCTGAGCTCAGGCAATCCACCCGCCTCAGCCTCCCTAGTACCTCCCGAAGTGCTAGGATTACAGGCGTGAGCCACCACGCCCAGTCTGAACATCTTTATATACCCATATTTGCATCCTTGACGAATGTTGGGTTAGAGGACATGCACATTTTAAGACTTTTAAATTTATATTGCCAACATATTTTGGTCACTTTTAAAATCTGAGTGTTTCGGCCTGGATTTGTAATATCAACACATTAACCACCCCCCTCTCTTTCTTACACCACATCATGAAGAAGCCAAAACTTTTCATTCATTCAGTCAGTCAATCAACATTCCATATCATCATTACCATCCTTTTCATCTCCCTCCTTTCCTCTTCCTCCAAGGCCCTAGCCAAGAGAGACCCTGCCTTCCTCTGAAGCAATCTCAACAGCTGGCTCAGAGCCCTCTGAAGTCTCCCCAGGCAATAGAGAGCAAGCCCTGTGAAAAGAGAGGCCCTGCCTGTGTTGTTTGTCGCTGCATCTCCAACACCAAATGCTGGCCCTGGCACATAGTAAATGCTCAGATAAATAGTTGTTGAATTAATACATGAATGAGTGAAATAGTGAATGGTCATTGAACAGAACTGAGTATTCTCCCAAGTTAGTAATGGGGGGCTTCTCCCTGTGAGGCCCACTCTTATCGCGGAAGGACATCCCAAACACTTGCTCCTCTGCACCCAGTTCCAACTGGCAGATGAGAAAACTGAGGCCCAAAAGGTTTAAGAACTATGCTCAAGGTTGCACAGTAAGCTCTGCTCAGAGAAGCACCTGGGTCCCCCAGGCCCCTTTCCCTGGACCGGGTTTTCTTTCTTAGTTGGGAGGTGAGGTTGGGCTTGGAGGTCCCTGGAGTGTTTGTTTGTTCGTTTGAGGCAGAGTCTTGCTCTGTTGCCCAGGCTGGAGTGCAGTGATGCAATCTCGGCTCACTGCAACCTCCACCTCCCGGGTTCAAGAGATTCTCCTGCCTCAGCCTCCCAAGTAGCTGGGGAACTACAGGCGTGCACGACAACATCCGACTAATTTTTGTGTTTTTAGTAGAGAGGGGGTTTCACCATGTTGGCCAGGCTGGTCTCGAACTCCTGACCTCAAGTGATCCGCCCACCTTGGCCTCCCAAAATGCTGGGATTACAGGTGTGAGCCACCATACCCACTCCCCCCAACCATCCAGAGTTTTCTGTATGCATCTTTTGTTCTTCCTTTCTGCTATCAGCGAGGCTATGAGGGACACAAGGTGACCTCCTGAGGACCTTTCTGGCCCGGTGATTCTAGGACAAATGCACTTGAGGCTCAGCTCCCCGCTTTTGTAAAAATTCTCTGCCCTCTCAGTGTCATTGTTCTGTGCCTACTCTGGCATTTATTTATTTATTTATTTTTAATTTATTTTTTTATTGATAATTCTTGGGTGTTTCTCACAGAGGGGGATTTGGCAGGGTCATGGGACAATAGTGGAGGGAAGGTCAGCAGATAAACAAGTGAACAAAGGTCTCTGGTTTTCCTAGGCAGAGGACCCTGCGGCCTTCCGCAGTGTTTGTGTCCCTGGGTACTTGAGATTAGGGAGTGGTGATGACTCTTAACGAGCATGCTGCCTTCAAGCATCTGTTTAACAAAGCACATCTTGCACCGCCCTTAATCCATTTAACCCTGAGTGGACACAGCACATGTTTCAGAGAGCACAGGGTTGGGGGTAAGGTCACAGATCAACGGGATCCCAAGGCAGAGGAATTTTTCTTAGTGCAGAACAAAATGAAAAGTCTCCCATGTCTACTTCTTTCTACACAGACACGGCAACCATCCGATTTCTCAATCTTTTCCCCACCTTTCCCGCCTTTCTATTCCACAAAGCCGCCATTGTCATCCTGGCCCGTTCTCAATGAGCTGTTGGGCACACCTCCCAGACGGGGTGGTGGCCGGGCAGAGGGGCTCCTCACTTCCCAGTAGGGGCGGCCGGGCAGAGGCGCCCCTCACCTCCCGGACGGGGCGGCTGGCCGGGCGGGGGGCTGACCCCCCCACCTCCCTCCCGGACGGGGCGGCTGGCCGGGCAGAGGGGCTCCTCACTTCCCAGTAGGGGCGGCCGGGCAGAGGCGCCCCTCACCTCCCAGATGGGGCGGCTGGCCGGGCAGAGGGCTGATCCCCCCACCTCCCTCCCGGACGGGGTGGCTGGCCGGGCGGGGGGCTGACCCCCCCACCTCCCTCCCGGACGGGGCGGCTGGCCGGGTGGGGGGGCTGACCCCCCCATCTCCCTCCCGGACGGGGTGGCTGGCCGGGCTGAGGGGCTCCTCACTTCCCAGTAGGGGCGGCCGGGCAGAGGCGCCCCTCACCTCCCGGACGGGGCGGCTGGCCGGGCGGGGGGCTGACCCCCCCACCTCCCTCCCGGACGGCACGGCTGGCCAGGCGGGGGGCTGACCCCCCACCTCCCTCCCGGATGGGGCGGCTGGCCGGGCGGGGGGCTGACCCCCCCACCTCCCTCCCGGACGGGGTGGCTGCCGGGCGGAGACGCTCCTCACTTCCCAGATGGGGTGGCTGCCGGGCGGAGAGGCTCCTCACTTCTCAGACGGGGCAGCTGCCGGGCGGAGGGGCTCCTCACTTCTCAGACGGGGTGGTTGCCAGGCAGAGGGTCTCCTCACTTCTCAGACGGGGCGGCCGGGCAGAGACGCTCCTCACCTCCCAGACGGGGTCTCGCCGGGCAGAGGCGCTCCTCACATCCCAGATGGGGCGGCGGGGCAGAGGCGCTCCCCACATCTCAGACGATGGGCGGCCGGGCAGAGACGCTCCTCACTTCCTAGATGTGATGGCGGCTGGGAAGAGGCGCTCCTCACTTCCTAGATGGGATGGCGGCCGGGTGGAGACGCTCCTCACTTTCCAGACTGGGCAGCCAGGCAGAGGGGCTCCTCACATCCCAGACGATGGGCGGCCAGGCAGAGACACTCCTCACTTCCCAGACGGGGTGGCGGCCGGGCAGAGGCTGCACTCTGGGCACTTTGGGAGGCCAAGGCAGGCGGCTGGGATGTGTAGGTTGTAGTGAGCCGAGATCACGCCACTGCACTCCAGCCTGGGCACCATTGAGCACTGAGTGAAGGAGACTCCGTCTGCAATCCCGGCACCTCGGGAGGCCGAGGTTGGCGGATCACTCGCGGTTAGGGGCTGGAGACCGGCCCGGCCAACACAGCGAAACCCGGTCTCCACCAAAACCAGTCAGGCGTGGCGGCGCGCGCCTGCAATCGCAGGCACTCGGCAGGCTGAGGGGAGAATCAGGCAGGGAGGTTGCAGTGAGCCGAGATGGCAGCAGTACAGTCCAGCTTCGGCTCCGCATGAGAGGGAGACCGTGGGGAGAGGGAGAGGAGGGAGAGGAGGGAGCGGGAGAGGGAGCGGGAGCGGGAGAGGGAGAGGGAGAGGGAGAGGGAGCGGCATTTATTATTTATTAGCACTCAATGCCTCAGGAATAAGATCTCTCACTGGGATCTAAGGATGAGGTGGTTGCAACACCTAGGGAGGTCCAGGCTTAAGCGAGGGCTTTATCTACCCACTGGCCCTGAACCACTTGTCCTGGAGCTGGGAGCCAAGGGGGCTGATGGGAGAGGGAGGCTGTGGATTCTTCTGAGCCCCTTCATCAGGGATATGACAGCAGCAGGAGGCCTCTGAGATCCTCCACGCTGGGAAGGCTCCCTGGTTCTGAGGCCAACTCAGTAGCCTTTGCTGTCCTCAAAACCTCCTGTTCAGGCACAGACCTACTCCAGAATGTGTAGACACCTCCCTACTGCTTACATGTGGGACCAAGTGCTTTTTAACACGTGACTTCCAGCAGGAAAGCTGGGATATGGGTAAGGTCACCGCTACATGAGAGAAGAGGAACGGGTGTTTTTGAATGTCCTTCTGCGATGGGAGTGGGTCTCACATGCAGAAGCCCTCCCCTTGTTACTAGCAATTGAAGTAAGGCCATTTGTGAGAAACTGCCTTTGAGCTTGATGCAGGGAATGACCTAGATTTTCTTGTTTATTTTAAAGAGCTTGGGAGGAAAGGCTCACAGAGATGTGAGAGACAGGGGCATTGAATCAGGAGCCACCACTTCAGCAAAGAAAGGGATCTCTGAGATAATCAAGTCCAAATCTTCTGCACCATCACTCCCACCATTTTACTTTATTATTATTATTATTATTATTATTATTATTATTATTATTATTATTTTGAGATAGAGTCTCATTCTGTCACCCAGGCTACAGTGAAGTGGTAAGATCAAGGCTCACTGCAGCCTCTACTTCTTGGGATTAATTGATCCTCCTCCTTAAGCCTCCTGAGTAGCTGGGGCTACAGGCATGTGCCATCATGCCTATTTTTTTCTATTTTTTGTAGAGATGGGAATCTCACTATATTGCCCAGGCTGGTCTTGAGCTCCTGAGCTCAATGGATCCTCTGCGTTGGCCTCCCAAAGTGCTGGAATTACAGGCATGAGTCACTGTGCCTAGTTACTGCCATAATTTTAGAAAGAGAAAATTGAGGCCAATATAGGTGAATTGGCCTGTCCATGTTCACCCAGTCAGTAAGAGGTAAAGCTAATATGATGTCTACAAAATGATGTAAAAATGTGGGAATGCACTACTTCATGGAGCAAGCTGGGTCTTAAAATCATAAAAATATTGTGAGCGACATGATGGAGGAGACATATGACTTCACCTCCAGTTTCTCAAAGGTAAAAAATGTCTGACTATTGGAAATCTGATAAAGCTCCATGAATTTTTGAGAATTTTGAGAAACAAAGCCATGATTCTAATTAATTATCTGAAAATTTCAAAAGTTTAAACAGCTAGAAAAAAAAAGTAAGACGTTAAAACTATAACCCCTGGGAGGTGTTAGATAAGAGTCACCAAAATCAGTACCCAGGTTTCCTCCACAGAAGGTGGTAGTTCAGGACCACGGACAGCAGCCTGCGAACCTTGAGCGCTGCATTCCGCCCACACTGGAGCAGACCCACAGAGCATCGCTTGACCTACTCATCTTTACATGAAGAGCCAGTGTGAGTACTATTCACAGGGTGACACACAGGCAGGGGATCCAGAAAGGACCCCCCGTCATCCCCATCAAACACCTCCCAACCAGTCTCCTACCTTGTGAAAAATCCCATTGTCCTCATATTTGGGTTAAGCTATTTTTCACCTCCATGAAAAAAAAAAAATAGGTCATATTCCCATAGATGTAGGGTCTGGGATAGTTTGAAGCAATGTCCTTCCCCTAAAAAGGCTTGAAATCTAGTTGGGCAGATAAAAGATCTGCATAAGAACCAGGCTCAGTGGCTCATGCCTGTAATCCCAACAATTTGGGAGGCCAAGACAGGCAGATTACTTGAGCCTAGGAATTTGTGACCAGGCTGGGCAACATGATGAAACCCTGCCTCTACGAAAAAATACAAAAATAAGCCGGGTGTGGTGGTGCACACCTGTAGTCCCAGCTACTCCAGAGGCTGATGTGGGAAGATTGCTTGAGCCCAGAAGGCAGAGGTTGCAGTGGGCCGAGATCATGCCACTGCACTCCAGCCTGGGTGACAGAGCCAGACTGTCTCAAAAAAAAAAAAAAAAGATTTGCATACAAAGTAATCTACACAAAGAGCAAAACAGTATTTGGCAGGAGCCAAGTAGTGGTGTTGAGGATGGTAAATGCTAAAAGATCTCAGCAGACAGTGATCTCCTGAGGTGGAAGGCATGGAGTGGAATTGAGCTGAGCCTTAATGTTTGGGGAAGATGAATAAGCAAGAGAAGAAGGCATTCCTGGCCAGGGCACATGTGGAAAGGGACGGAAGCAGAAACATGCATGGCACATGCATATGCCACAGGGGAGGTGGGACTCCCCTAGACTGGTGCAGCTGAAGCTGCATTGCTGATGAGGGGATAAGAGTGGGATAACAAGAGAGAAAGCCAAAGAAATATGACAGGATCATTCTGAGGGTATAAATTTCTAGTTTTTCTGGAAGATAAAAGTGGTTTGGTGCCATTGCCCCACCTGCATGGATCCCCCCATACAGCAGAGAAAATGACCGAGAATGCTTGACATGTGGCATCTCCTGTTGGGAGTGAGTTGGGGTGGGGCTGCTGAGCTTTGACCACAGGGATGAAGTCCTCATCATGGAATTCAGACACAGAAGGAAGAGAAGTCTTCTTGGGCAGGTGGATGAAGATGAAGACACCAGGTCAGTGCCTGGATTGAACTGGGTCCAGGTAAGGAGAAAGGTCCATGATTAAGGCCCATTGGGTCCTGGCTTCTCTGCTGGCCCTTTGAAGGTTGGGGATGCATGAGGAGAAATGGGTAACCAGACTGCTCAGTCTCTAAGCTATGGGGATGAGGGGAGGGTGGAGGAACAGCCTGTCCTTTAGTGGGGAAGCAGCTCAGCTAACTGATTCTGAAACATCATTTGGCAGAAGACAAGGGGCCTCAGCTCTGCCTTGCAGGCCCCACCATTAGGGAGTGCACTGTGCATCCTCTCTCCAGGCCAGAGCTCCCCAAAGACCTTTCTGTCTGTGCCTCTGACCCTCAACTGGGCTGGCTCTGGAGAGGCAGGGTCTGAGGGCTGGGGTCATGAGCTCACCCTCTGCTCCTCAGTGGAGAGCAGGAGCAGCACCCCTCAGTTCACCAGGGACCCCCATCTCATTTCCTGCCTCTCCTTCAGGGGGCACTAGACACAGCCATGTGTAGCTCAACCATCCTGAACATCAGAGATCCTCAGCCACCTGAAAAACCACATCCCAAAGCTACGAGAAGAACAGGCAGGCGCTGCCACTGAGTCCACACTCATCCAAGCCAAACTCTGTGTGACACACCTGATGCACATTAACTCCACGAGGCCTCACAAGAGCTCTAGGAGGTGGGTACTGATATCAACAGCCCTATCTTCCTGAAGAGAAAACAGAGGCTCTCTCAGAAGCTGAGCTGCCAAGTGCTGCTGATGCTGAGGCTTGCAGGGCATGGCTGACTTAGTCAGTCAGCTGCAAATGGAGCCAGGTGAACCCAGGGCTACAGCCGAGGACAGAGCCTGGGGGAGAGAGGGAAGGGAAGAGCTATGACATCCACCTGGGGACAGTCACAGGTGCTGAGCACCCTCAAGGGCCAGGAACTGTGCTGGGACTTCCCCTCCCGTTGCCAACACCGCTGAGCCGGCCCCAACATAGTAGCCACTGATAAATGTTGGTGAGACTGAACCCTCCTAGTGAAATTCACAGAAATCACAGAAGGGATTATTTGGGTCATTTTGTAAAAGAGGAAGCAGAGGCTCAGAAAGTGACTTAATGTTTGCAAGGCCACACAATGGGTATAGGAAGAGCCAGGGTTTAACCCAGGTCTCTCTGGCTCCAAAGTACAGCTGTCCCCACCATTCTTAGATGCTTCTGCCACCCAGGAAAGACCTCTAGGGACATAAACCACCCTTAAGTCACTGGAAGTTTCCTCCCTAGGAGGCCCTATAGGTCAACCATTTTTGAACCCACGAAGTTGAGGGGTTGGAGCCTGGGCAGGGGGTCTTCTCTGTTCAGAGACTTCACTGCTGGGCCCATCTTAGAAACACCTCTGCTTTGACCTCCCTCTCCACCACAATGACTTATCGAAGCAGCCATGTCAGTGCCTCCCACTATCTTCCACCGTGGACCTAACCTGCAGCTTCCTATGTTCTGGTTTGCCGGGTGTGAGTTTGAAGTTTGCACGTCACTAAGCAATTGCCCCGTAGCGCCTTCTTTATGGAGCCTCTACAGTCCCATCTCTCAGGTGATCTCCCCTTGGAAGCAGAAGCTCTGACCTAGCGGTGTCACCCTAGAAGACATCATGTTCAAGAGGGATCAGCATGCCGCTGGACCCCGGGGAATATGGCCCTGGGAAGGAGAGGAGGTGGGGCACAGGGCAGATGTCTCTCACCTCTCGGTGTGGGCCAGGCCCACTCCTTCTTCCAGCCTGCTGTGCCTCGTGCCCCAGCCAGCCTCGGTGTCCAGGGCTTGGTGTGCCTGGCACCCTCCCCCTACCTTTCCCAACACCCTCCTTGGCGGAAGCCTACCGAAGCCCTCCTACACCCACTGAGGAGGCCTGCAAACTGTTTTATTAGATTAAAGCAAACATCTGCTGAAGAAGGAAAGCAAAACCTTAATTGGAAGCCCCCGGGGATGTTTACAGAGACAGATGGGAGAGGATATAATGAAATCACTTCGCTCTAGCCTCCATGCAGACCTGGCAGATAAGGCAACATTGCCAGGCAACAGGGCTTTTCCACCTGGAGGCCTGATAAGGGGCTTGGGGGAGCTGTGTGTTTGGAAAATATGATTTTGTAAGTGGGACGAGGGTGTATTGACTCTGCTGTTCCATGGCCTGGGCCCCAACATCAGATAAGCAGCTGCCGCTTTCCCTGGGGCACAGGCAGGACCCCTGGCAGGAACCACTCACATGGAGAAGTCCTGAGCCTCAGTCAGGGGAGCAGCCACTCACCCCCTGGGATCTGATGCTCACCAAAGGGGACACTTCTGGCTACCAGGGGCTGGTGGTGGCAATGGCTTTCTCTTTTCCTCTCCTGGACTCTGGTTCAGGCCTCCTGGGATGGAGTTGGGTGCTGGGGCTGCTGGGAGCTTGCTAGATTGGAGGGCCCATCCATAGGATGTATTGTAGACCCCAATGCCTCACACCCTCCCCACCCATCTTCTCCCAGTGACTCCTGCCCTTCTCAGAGTAAAAATCAAAGACCCTGCCAAAGCCCATGAAGCCCTGCGTGATGCGAGCCCACACCACGGCATCTCCTACCACCCCGGCCTCACTCTCTCCCAGCCACCTCGGCCTTTTTGCTCCTTCCCAAGCCTGCCAGGCATGCCCCCGCCCCAGGGCCTTTGCACTGGCTGTTGCCCCCCACCCCAGGGCCTTTGCACTGGCTGTTCACTCTGCCTGGAAATTTCTTCCTCCATACACCTATGTGGTTTGCTCCCTGGACCGCTTCAAGTCCTCACTCAAGTTACTGTCTTAATGAGGCTTACCTTGGCCACTTATTTAGTGAGGCCCACGCCCTCCCACCCTGGTATTTTACAGCCATCACCACCTTCTACGCCACTCTAGACTGCACATATTTATTATGGTTTGCTGTTGATGTCTGTCTCAGCCTAGGACATAGGCTCCAACAAGGCAGGGGCCTTGCCTCTTCTCTTTAGCAGCATATTTCAAGAATCCAGAACAGAGACAGGAACACAGCAGGTGCTCAAGACATGTTAGTTGAATGTCTCCCCTTCCCAGACCCCAAACAGCTTTGGTAGAACTGGTGAAAAAGAGGATGGATCCAGAGAGGCCGGAGTGTGGCAGGGCCTGGACTGCTCATCTCCAAGGCAGCTGAGCAACCCTGGGCAATACCTGGGGGAAGCTCATTCCCCCATAGCACGATCACATGGGACATTCAGGGGAAAGCAACCTTTTCCAGGAAGGAAAACCCAATGCTGGGACCCAGGGGAGCTTAGCTCTCAACCCAGCCCTGCTATTGATTTGGATTTGCTGTGTGACTTGGGACAAGACACTATCTGTCTCTGAAACTCAATTCCCCTTTTGTCAGACAAAATTAGCATCTACCTAAAAGCAATAAACTTCCACATTTATCTAAAACCAATAAACATCCACGTTACTGTGTTGGGGACCCACAGCCTGAGGTTAAATCCTTCCTCTGCTACTTGCTAGCTGTGTGCTATTAGGCAACTTAGGCAACCTCTCTGACCCTCTACCTCCTAATCTACAGGTGAGGATGATGATAGTGACTGCATCACAAGTACGTGAGCCTTTCACCTGCATGGACTGCTTCACTCTTCACACACTTGTGAGCAATTCTATCATCCTCCTCCTCATGGGAAGTCATGGGAAAGTGGCTGGCATGGGCCGCTCAGGGAGTTGATGGAAACCCCAGGGTAGGCTGTGTGTCAGGCTGACCCTAGAGCCCCGGGCTCTGCCCACCCCTTCATTCTGTCACTGCACCTTGGCTCATGGAAGGCCCTGTTCAGTTTCCCAACCAAGTGCATTCTGGCCTCGGCCCACCCTCACCATTTGGACCACAACCTTGGTCGGAGGCATTGCAATGACCTGGAGCTGACAAGACACTTCCTAGGTAGGACAGGTGTTTAAAGAGCCACCCTCCACACTAACACCAACCAAACCCCGGAGCCAGGGACAGAGGAGAAACCTGCCAGGGCCCGAGAAGGGATGAGGCTTGAAGGGCACTGAGTTCCATGTGGCCACAGTACCAAGGACCATTGGAGGAACGGGAAAACAGACCACCCACACCTCAGACACAGAGCCGGTGCTGGTCAGCGTCTTAGCTTGGGTTCCCTGAGACAAGGATTTGAGTGCACGTGGCTGACAAGGAATCCCTGGTAGAAGACCAGGAAGGGAAAACGGGGCGGGAGGGTGAATGGGTCGGGAAGGGAAAGGAAGCCAATGAAGTGTGCGCTATCAATAAAGTGTGCGCTGTCAATAAACTTTGCGCTGTCAATAAAGTGTGCGCTATCAATAAAGTGTGAGCTATCAATAAACTTTGCGCTGTCAATAAAGTGTGAGCTATCAATAAAGTGTGCACTGTCAATAAAGTGTGCGCTATCAATAAATTGTGCGCTGTCAAAGTATGCGCTATTAATAAAGTGTGCGCTGTCAATAAAGTGTGCGCTATCAATAAAGTGTGCGCTGTCAATAAATTGTGCGCTATCCATAAAGTGTGCGCTGTCAATAAAGTGTGCGCTATCAAGTGTGCACTGTCGATAAAGTGCGCACTGTCAATAAAGTGTGTGCTGTCAATAAACTGCGAGCTGTCAATATAGTGCGTGCTGTCAATAAAGTGTACGCTGTCAATAAAGTGCACACTGTCAATAAAGTGCACGCTGTCAATAAAGTGTGCTCTGTCAGTGAAGTGTGCGCTGTCAAAGTGTGTGCTGTCAAAGTGCGCGCTGTCGATAAAGTGTGCACTGTCAATAGTGTGTGCTGTCAATAAAGTGTGTGATGTCAATAGTGTGTGCTGTCATAAAGTGTGCGCTGTCAATAAAGTGTGCACTGTCAATAAAATGTGGGCTGTCTAAATGAAGTGTGCGCTGTCAATAAAGTGTGCACTATCAAGCCAGACATCACTGCTGGGAAATGGTACCAAAAAATCCTCCTTCGAATTATCCCACCCAGGGGTATTTACAAGTAAAAGCCTGATATCACCGGCTGAGGGCTGCTCCTGGGGGTAACTCCCTGAACTTGCAGCTTTCTGCAGGCTTCTGGGTTTCTAGGTTGCAGTGAGCCGAGATCGTGCCACTGGAATCCAGCCTGGATGATAGAGCAAGACTCCGTCTCAAAAAAAAAAAAAAAAAAAAAAAAAAAAAAAGAGCCTGTGGGCACAGAAGGGTAGATCCCAGCGGTGGGAGGTTCGTCAGGGCCCTCAAAGCACCAAGAGACATGGGCAGGGCTCTGACTGCACTGTTGGAGTTAGATTCACGCCTGGCTTTTGGGGAGCAGCAAGAGGTCCTGGCCAGCTCTGAGCCTACATCTCCCCATGGGGGAGAGAGAGGGCTACTTTTGGGGCCTCTCTCGAAATCAGCATTCTGGAGAGGAGAACATCTGTGAGAATCCTCCCTGGATCCCAGTAGACCAAGCCCGGGCAGGGGCTCTGGTGCCCCTCCCCTTCTGTTCACTAGTTCCAGTGCCTGTGGTGCTCCCAGAGATGCTGGCTGGACAGCTTCTGTCCTCCAGGGAGGCCAGGACACCTGCTCTGCCCCCTGCTCTCTATCCTCCAGGCTAGAACCAGCCACCTTCTTGCAGTCAACATCCCCACAAGACACTGAGAGTGATTTTTTTTTATTGTGATAAAATATCCCTAACATAACATTTACCATCTTAACCATTTTTAGGGGCATAATTCAGTGGCATTAAGTCCAATTATGTTGCTGTGCAGCCATCATCACTATCCATTTCCAGAACTTTTTCATCTGCCCAAACTCTGTACCCATGAAACACTAACTGTTTCCTCCTCCCCCTCAGCCCCTGGAAACCAGCATCCTATTTCCCATTTCTGTTGTTGTTGTTGTTGTTTGTTTGTTTGTTTGAGACAGAGTTTCACTCTTGTTGCCCAGGCTGGAGTGCAGTGGCATGATCTTGGCTCACTGCACTCTGCCTCCACCTCTTGGGTTCAAGCGATTCCCCTGCCTCAGCCTTCCAAGTAGCTGGGATTACAGGCATGCGCCACCATGCCCAGCTAATTTTGTATTTTTAGTAGAGATGGGGTTTCACCATGTTGGTCAGGCTGGTCTCGAACTCCTGACCTCAGGTGATCTGCCCGCCTCAGCCTCCCAAACTGCTGGGATTACAGGTGTAAACCACTGCGCCCAGCTGACCCACCCTATTTAAGTATAACCCCACCCTGTCTCAGCACAGCCGTCCCCTTCCGTGCTGACAAACTGTGGGTGTTACTTCTTATTCATTGTCTGTCTTCACCATCTAGAATGTAGGGCTTCTGTCTGTTCTGTTTAATGCTGTACCCTCAACTGTGTACTGTTCTAGGATGTTCTAAGCACATAGTAGGTGCTTAGCAAAGCAAATATGTAAATTCATGAATGTGGCCATTTCAGTCTCCTTTGAGCTCCCACCAGGTTCTCATTTAGGGACAGGCGTGAGCACAGGTGTGGGAAAGGAAGTATTAGTAGAAAACAGCAGCCGCAGATGGAGAGGGGTGGGCAGGAAGGAGGGGCTCTGGACGATGCCAGCCAATGACAAACCGTCACCCAGATCCCAGGTTCCCTGTGACAGTGGGGTCAGGTGGCAAAGAGCTTCCAACACGGCCCCCAGAGCTGGAGCCCAAAGAGCTGGAGCATCAGGGGCCCCAGAAATAAGGGAAGCCAACCAGGAAACTGACCTTTTACACAAAATATCCAGGTTTTGAGAATGCTCAGGAAGAGGTGAGAGCTGTTCTCAAATTCAGATGGGCTGCCAGTGGCAAGAAGGTGATGCTAAGGGGTTGCACTAGGGCTAATGGGTAGGTGTTGCAAGGACTCCTATTTTGGCGGATGTAATAAGAACTGGCCCCCACTCCTCCCTCTACCTAACAAGAGGTGTCCAACAGTGGCTTAAGCTTCCTGGTGAAAGTGAGCCCCTGGTTCCCGTGTGTATGCAGAGCCCAGGATTCACTCACCCATGGCTTGAACCTTTAATGGATACATTCATCAGTTACCTGTCAAGTGCGTTTCCTCTGTGCCAGATTGTGTGGCGCTCAGCACTGTGAAAGTAATGATGACTAAACATTATTCAAATAAATACACATTCAACAACAAAGTGTGAAGGCACAAAACTAGCTTGCCAGAGAGAGAGAAGCCTCACTCAGACAGGGGATCAAAGGCCCCTCTAGAGCCTCCTAGATATTGGAGAGAGCCATGAGTGATGGGCATGCCTCCAGCCTGTGAGACCGGGGGAGCATACCCCAGGCAGAGGGCACTTAGGAAAAATAGCACGGGGTGCTAGCGCTGCCAGGGACCTCAGTACACATGGAAGAAGGCAAGGTCCAGAGATCCGAGTGACTTGCCCAGGGACACAAGGCAAATCGGTGGAATCGTCGAGGGGTGGAGGATCAGCCACAGCCCCCCGCCTCCCACGCCACCTCTTGGAAACCAGATACCCGCCTCGCGGCCAAGACCCACCAGCTCCAAGCGGCGGAGGCCAGAGGTAGCGAGGGGTGAGGTTAGAGGTGGGGGCGAGCGGGGACTGGACACCTGGGGAGTGGGGAAAGGGGAAGGGGGCGGCACCGCTGACGTCATTTCCGGGGTCGGGGTATATAAGCGGGGCGCGAGGGCGCTGCTGCTGCCACCGCTCCTGCCACTGCAGTGCTCGAGCCCCGTGCAGGGGAGCTTGCGGGAGGATCGACCGACAGACGGACGCACGCCGAGGCACTGCGCCCCCAGCCCCGCGCCGGTGCCACCGCAGCCCGACCCCGGCCGCCAGTCCAGCCGCCCCTCGCCCGGTGCCTAGGTGCCCGGCCCCACACCGCCAGCTGCTCGGCGCCCGGGTCCGCCATGCGCTCCGCCGCTGTCCTGGCTCTTCTGCTCTGCGCCGGGCAAGGTGAGCGAGCGCGGGGAGCTCGCGGGAGAGGGTTCCGGGCGCCCCTGCCCACCTTGAGGTCCGGGCACCGCGCGGCGCCCCGCACCCCTCCACACTTCCCTTCGGGCGCGGCGAGTTTTCAGCACCGCGGACAGCGCCTCCGCCTCCCGCCTGACCCTGCAGTGTGGCCTCCGCCTGGGACCCACAAGACACTTGGGCCTGACTCCCAACCCCCCGGGGCAACTCCCCCTTGTGCCCACCCCTTGTCTGGGCTTGGCGCCTCGGTTGCATCAGGGCCAGTGCCGGTTGCGCGGTGGCCGGCCAAGGTCACTGCGGGGAGGTGGGAGCATGGCTGCTCGCAACCCTCCACCCCTCTTCCCCTTTCATCTCACGCTCCCCGCCTTTCTGCCCTTGACTTCTACTTCTCCATATCATCCCTCACAATCCCCTTCCTCCATCTCTTCCCCCGCCCCCCCCACCTCTGGGGTCTCTCTCCCCTTCGTCTGTCTCCCACCCGTCCCACTGTGCAGCTCTTGGCCTTGTTTGATGGCGCTCCCCGCTCCAAAGCACACCCGCTCCAGAGCAAGAGTTTCCAAAGGGGGAGGGGGAGGACCTCTCAGTGCAGCCTCTGGGGACCACCCCACTGTGGGCAGCAACCAGGGAAGGGAAACAAAATCAGCCCTAGCCTCTCTTTTTGGTGGGGGCAGTTTTGAGGGGTGGCATTGGGTGAACGGGCCCCAGTGAGCCCGGTCAGAAAGGACTGGCCTCCACTTGGAGCAGAGGAGTGACCCCAGCACTCTCTTCTTCTTCCCAGTCACTGCGCTCCCTGTGAACAGCCCTATGAATAAAGGGGATACCGAGGTAAGAAGGGGTGCTGGGGATGAGGGGTAGGAGGCTCCAGTGGACACTTCACAGCCAGTTCTTGGGCAGCTGCAGGAGTAAGTTCGGCATAAAGCCAAGAGCCAGCACTGCGGCTGCTGAGCCTGGGGACAGCTTGCAAAAGAAGATATCAAAGATTGCTTGCTTTCCCTGCTGTCCTGCTGTGGGGACTTCCCCAGCTTCCTCTGAGCTGCACATGCAGCGGAAGAGGCCTGCATCTTACCTGCTGGGCCGAGGTGCCTGGCTTCAGGCTGTCTTGAACACTCTGAATCCAGTAGGCTCCCCAGGGGCTGGTGGGGGTGGCTTCTCTGTAGTTGTAGTTGTCCACAGACCTGTAAAAATGGCCTTTGCCTGCCTGGCTCTGGCCTCCCCGCTTTGCTCTTTCTCCCTGAAAGGCTCTGCCAGTAACAACCCACACCCAGCAGGCTCTCCAGCCCTGGCTGTCCCAAAGGAACACAAGCAAAACATCTTGATCATGGCTCCTGCACCCACGGTCCCACCAATAGGGGCTAGTTGTGGAGGTCACCCAGGAAAGGGCCTTAGGAGACACTAGTAGGGGTTTCTCTGGCAGCAAGAGACACACCACGCTGGGTGTGTACTTGGAATTCATTCATGGCTGAGCTGGGGCTGTTTTTTCCAGGCTCTAGTGCTCATCCAAATCTCTGACTTGAGGGTCAGAGAAATTTCTACTCCCCACCTTCCCAGAAACTATTCTCTTCCACTAGACACCACAGTTAAAATCCAAACCATCCAAGAGATTCCAACCTCTGTTTGCTCAATTATATTTCCTATGTTTTAGTTGCAGATAGGACAGAATTTAAACCTCTACCACTCATTCTAGCTGTGTGACCTTGGGAAAATTCCTTAATTTCTCTGAGCTCCGCCTTTTTCTCCTTTTCCTTGAGGGGAGGTGTAAAGAGTAGGAATCATGGATGTGAATTGCCTAGCACATAATAGGTCCTCAGTAAATGGGCACTTTTATTCCTAGAGCTGCCTTCTTGATCTCCCCATCCCTCTCCAGACCCTCTACCCAATTCCTGCCTCCCAGAAAATGCCCTCTCGAACAGGTGGTTATCTGATATTCCCAATGCAAGGTCCGGGGTTGCAGGGAGATACAGGGTACAGGCTGCTGTGCTCTCCTTGCTAGATCCCTTATGGGAGACACCCTGGTCACCATATTATACCCAGCAGCCTGTGGTCAGGGGCACCAGAGCAGCTGGCTAAGACCTGAAGATTCTATACGAGGTTGTTGTGACTACATGCATTATACAGCACTTGCCAGTTTGCCATCTTGGATCCTTGGACCGGTTGCCTTGGCATCCCGTAGACACAGCCTCCCACCCCCTCACTCCCTGCCGGTGTTGCCTGATGCCTGTCTGACACCTCCTGCTCTCTACTCAGCTCTAGGCTGTGGAAGCAGGGCTGGAGTTGTGAACCCCTCCCTGGGCGTGCTGACACTCCATGCTTGAAAGAGTGTTTTTCCATCTGTACCTCATTACCCTGGGAGAGCAGTTGGGAAGGTATTCTCACTCCCGTTTTACAAATGAGGACACTGAGGCTCAGAGAGGTTAAGTCACTTCTCCAAGATCACACAGCTAGGATACCACATTACGGTGGGCACCATCATCAAAGATCACTCATTTATCAGATGCCTAATTATCCACAGCACCTTTGCAGGCACAGGATAAGACTTTCAGAGGCGTGGCTGTGGTTGACCTGGGATATGCTCCCAGGTGTAGTCAATGTGTGCTCACATGCCGCCCAGGGATTCACCCATCCCATGATGAACATGGAGTGAGAATATGAAGCTGTGACTCCTTGCATACGACAACACCATGGGTGTTTGGAGACAGTAACCTACATCCTATTTCCAAACAGGGTAGAGCCAGGGAAGGTCTTTGTCTCCTCTGGGCAGTCCAGAAGGACTTCCTGGAGGACCTGACCTTTGGGCATCTTCACGATCAGAGCACTTTTGTAAGACATCATTTTAGTGCCCTGAGGCAGTTTTCTCATGTTTAGAGAAATAGCACTTGGGGATGAGAAGGTACCAGGTACCATTCCCTACACCCCATTCTCACTATGATCCACCTTGGAGGGGAACCTGCTGGCCATGTGGTTGGAGTGGCTGACACATGGTAAGCACTGTGTTAAGGGTTTTCTATTATCATTGCTATCACTGTCTGGCTAAGAAAGCAGAGCTGTGTCCCTGAGCCAGGGATCATGGACTCCCAAAGACAAAAGCAAATACCCTCTGTCCTCACTAGAAATTCACCCTAGAGCCTCCAGGGACTGAGCCCCATGCTCAAACCAGCCCCAACCTGCCCCTGCACTGTGTTCCCAGGTGATGAAATGCATCGTTGAGGTCATCTCCGACACACTTTCCAAGCCCAGCCCCATGCCTGTCAGCCAGGAATGTTTTGAGACACTCCGAGGAGGTATGAGCTGGAGGCTAGGGGTGAGGGCTGCTGCCTGCTGGGCTGGGAGGCTAGGACATGGGTGTGTGGCTTTTGGTGGAATTAATGATTTAACTCAACAGTCACTGACTGAGTGCCCGTCATGTCCAGGCACTGCACCAGGGTCCAAGGTGTACAGACAGTTGAAGGGGTTGTAGCCCAGGTGCTTACAGACTGGCAGAGGGGATGCATATGAACACAGTTAACTAGAACTCTGGGCAAAATAAAACCAGGGCTGAAACAGCAAGCCCCCAGACTGTGAGCTCCCTATGGACAAAGATTTTGTGTGCTGTATCCCAGTGCCTAGAACAGCCTCTGGCCTCTGCAGACACCCTCTAGATGTGTGATGAATAAAGGAATGTTATGGGTGGACAGGAGAAGGACGAAATCTTTCCAGGCAACCAGTCAAGTTTTTACTAACTGCTGGATAGAGCCAGCAGCATTTCGGTTGGGCTTTAAAAGAAACATTGGAAACCGATGAGTGGAAAAATGAAGACAGGGTTGTCCAGGTGTGGTAGACAGTGTGAACACAGGCATGGAGATGGGAACCTGTTGTATTTAAAGAGACCCCACTCATCCTCAGGGGTTGCCACCCTTTGGCTAAGGTCTGGCTGCTGGGGCAGTGGCTGACTTCTCTGATGTAGTAGGAAACTGACACATACCTTGGAAAGGAGGTAATTTCAAAAGTGTTATCTGAAGACCCAATCTTGCTGCCACCACCCTGGTTTTGAGTTTCCAGAGTAAATTCCTTGTGCTCAGCTGAAAATATTGATGGTAATCTCTTTCTCGGCTGTTCTCTGGAAACCACCCATGATGACTCTTCTTCATTGCAGATGAACGGATCCTTTCCATTCTGAGACATCAGAATTTACTGAAGGAGCTCCAAGACCTCGCTCTCCAAGGTATTTTCCAGCCACTGCACTTGACTCTGGGTAAATTCCAGTAACTGAGAGTCAGAAAATCTGGTGGAAGATTCAGCAAGTTCCTCTCTGGGACTGTCATTTCCTTTTAATTATAAAGCGGAAAAGCAGGATCCGCCGTGCCACCTGGCTCAATCTGTTATTGATATTGTTAAAGAAATCAAGGCCCAGAGAGGTTGAGTGACTTGTCCAAGGTCACACAGTGAATAGAGACATGCCAGGTGCAGCTTCCCTAAAACCCACGGCCTCTGCAGTTCAGTCATTTTAGGAAATACCTTTATGAAGTAGTGAGCCACTCGTCACTGATGATATTCAAGCCAAGCCTGGACAGGATACTGGAGTGGAGGGTTAAGCTGCCATCTTCCCACAGTTAGCCTCTATGCCCAGCCCCCCAGCTCCTTCCAGGCTTGATGCAAAGCACGGCCCTAGCCTTGCAAGTCAGGAAACCTGAGTTTGGCCCTGCACCTGCCCCGGCTGACTTCCTGTGGGAAGCGGCCGTTTCCACCAGGGCAGGACCACTGGTGGTGGTGTGTCTCTCCATGAGAACAGGGCATTACAGCATGAATCCAGCATCTGCTTCCCAACGAAGCGAGAGTGTTTTTCAGGGCTGGGCTTGTGTCTGGGGTGGGGTGGGGGTACGAAGGCTGCTCTGGCTTCAGGATGGGCCCCACTCTGAGGCCTTTGGGACAGACCAGGCCATGTGTGAGAACAGAGAGGGCTTTGGGGAGGAGGCACGTAAACACAGCCACGTCAGTAGGATTCCTGTGGCCCTTTCCAAGCTAACACACTGTTCTTCCTCCCACTCATGAGCCAGCCTGGGCAGCAAGCACCCACCTCCTACTGTTGTTGGAGGGGGCAGGGAGTGCTGGGCACAGCTGGGACTATTATTACCTGGATAGTTATGTCATCATCAGTGACCTTGGACTAGTGTTTTGTTTTGTTTTTAACTAAGCATTAAATATTTTATTACAATTGATAACTTTAAAATTAAATATTGAATGACTAACTGATTACATTTAAATAATTAAATAGACTGTCAACAGAGACTATTATAGGAGAATGTGTCCTGAAACATCTCTATTCACATGCACGTGTGTATCCCGTATAAGCAGTATCCAATATATGTATATATGACTATTTTCCATTAACAGATTCCTGGATGTATTTCTGTCCATCCGTCTATCCGTCCACTCCCTCTTGGGCTCCCATAACATCTTCTGTGTGCCTCTGTCTTAGCATTTACCACACAGCAACCCTATTTTCTAGACAAGCACCCAACTCTTGGAGAGCCCAAGTTGCCCATGGAGCTAGGAAATAGCCAGAAGGGGACTGGAACCCACGTTGCCTGAGACCAGGGCTGGGCATGCTCCCTGGCCCACAGCTGCCCAGGAAAGCCCATTGTTGGGGAAGAAATGAGCTGGGCTAACTGAGGGGCCAACATCAGGAATAAGGCACAGGTGTGGGGACAGTCAGAGGAGGCAGCGGCGGCGGGGGGAGAGGGGTCTCTGGGTCATGGCTGCAGGCGCCAACCCTGGGCTCAGATGTAGGCACAGGGCTTGGCCTTCTCCCCGGGCCTGGACTCAGCGTCCAAGGTTAGCAGAGCTTGCCTGAATCAAGAGCTGTCACCATTACTGCCTGCTGCAGGGTTCCTGGAGCTACCAGCCAGGTCCTGAGGGGTTCCCCACCCCCAACTCCTGCCCAGCCAGGTCCTGAGGGGTTCCCCACCCCCAACTCCTGCCCAGCCAGGTCCTGAGGGGTTCCCCACCCCCAACTCCTGCCCCTGGGATCCTTGCTCCATTTGAGCCTTTCTTGCTGTGTGGCCACAGCACGCTTGCTCTGGCCTCCCAGGGAGAAGCTGAGTCTGGCGAGGCAGGGTGGCTGCCTGAGGGCCCAGCTGAGAGAGGTGAGGGACGCCAACCCTTCACCGCTCCCCAAGCTCACGCCCCATCAGTGTCTCATTGGGCAGGCCCTGAACATGATGTGCCCAGCTTACAGATGGGGAAATGGAGGTCTTCACTCTTATAGACAAATATGCCACAGCTGCACCCAATGGGACTTTTCCCTCCTTTTCTCATACCAGGCGCCAAGGAGAGGGCACATCAGCAGAAGAAACACAGCGGTTTTGAAGATGAACTCTCAGAGGTTCTTGAGAACCAGAGCAGCCAGGCCGAGCTGAAAGGTCTGTCCCAGCCGGTCTGGCCGGAGGTGGGGAAGGGAGGGTGGCAGTGGGAACAGTGGCTATGATGGACCCAGGGTTCCAGTGAGTCGGGAGCCCCACCCATAATCCCTTATTTCCCTCTCTCTACAAATGGGGAAACTGCTGCTCAGAGAGACTAGGTCCCTTGCCCAAGGTGAGTGGCATGACCAGGGGTTTCGATCTGGTCCTGCCTCACACCAAAGCCCTCGCTCGGTCCCGTCTGCCCAGAAGAGGGGCTGGCACTCTAGGGCAGGAGATCTCTGGCATGGCAGGTGGACAGCTTCAACTCTGGGTCTACCCAGTGGCCACTGTAGCAGAGCCCCCACCCCCAGTGCCTGTCCTCCTGGGAAGTGGTGGGGCCTCAGAATAGCCAGGATGCAGGAGGACCACAGACAGAGTAGGTGTGAAACGTGAAATGAACCCAGATCATCTTTCTTGAAACCAAAGAGCTTCTAGGAGTCTAAGAGGTCATGCCTTAGGTCAGTGCGACACTCTGAGCCATCCTCCCTTCCCGGGGAGAGCCACAAACTGGCCCCGTGGCGCTTCTGCTCTCCATGTAGAAGATGGGCCGGTAAGGCCGGTGTCCAGGAGCTGGATCCTGGTGTCTCCCATCTGGGGCTGAAAGGGAAAGCCCGCAAGTGAAGCCCAGGTGCCCCCACTTTGGTTGAAGCTTTAATGAGGCAGGCAGCCATGTGTCAGTGCAAAGAGATCCCGAGCTTGTCATTTGGAGGCTTGGGTTCCAGGCTCAGCTCTGCTGCCCGCAAACTGTGAGATGGACAGGTCATCTTACCTTTCTGCAGATCATTTTGGGTTTCTGTGAAATAGGCATAGGAGCACCTTTCACCAGAGTCCTGGTGAAGCTCAGATGGTGGAATGTACTTGGGAGCACTTTGTTCAGTGGTTATCATTCTAATGACGGGAGGAATTTTCACTTGTTCAAAGGCTGTCTTTAAGGCAGCCACAATAAAATACCTTTTAATGAAACCCTAAAATATTGCAGAATTGAGCCCTTTCACAGGATGCTGAAGACAGAGAAGCCCCACATGGAGGGGAGAATGAAGTTGCAGTCATGGTGCCTCTTACACAGAGAGGTTAAGCAACTTGCCCAAGATCACACAGCTGACATTAATTTTCAGTTCAGGCTTTATCTCCTGGATTAATCTTAAGGTCTGGTTTTTTGTTTTTGTTCTTTGAATAATAACCTGTTTTAAAAGTCAGGATTAAAAAGAAAGAAACAAATCCAGCTGTGCTCAGATCAAGCCTGGACATGGACAGAGGGGTAACCCTAATCGTTGTCCTGGGCTGGGCTCGCTGGAAGCCAAGAAACATAATGAGTAACATCTGAAATTAGCCTGTGGGGAGGCCCCACACGTGGCCCAGTCCTCAGGGCCTGACTTGGCTGTGCTGTGTCTGCAGAGGCGGTGGAAGAGCCATCATCCAAGGATGTTATGGAGAAAAGAGAGGATTCCAAGGAGGCAGAGAAAAGTGGTGAAGCCACAGACGGAGCCAGGCCCCAGGCCCTCCCGGAGCCCATGCAGGAGTCCAAGGCTGAGGGGAACAATCAGGCCCCTGGGGAGGAAGAGGAGGAGGAGGAGGAGGCCACCAACACCCACCCTCCAGCCAGCCTCCCCAGCCAGAAATACCCAGGCCCACAGGCCGAGGGGGACAGTGAGGGCCTCTCTCAGGGTCTGGTGGACAGAGAGAAGGGCCTGAGTGCAGAGCCAGGGTGGCAGGCAAAGAGAGAAGAGGAGGAGGAGGAGGAGGAGGAGGCTGAGGCTGGAGAGGAGGCTGTCCCCGAGGAAGAAGGCCCCACTGTAGTGCTGAACCCCCACCCGAGCCTTGGCTACAAGGAGATCCGGAAAGGCGAGAGTACGTATGATGGCGAAGACCTCAACGAACGTGTCTGGGAGAGGGGGATGGGTGGGAGGAGAGCCTTCTCCATAACCTCATTCCACCTTCATAACAACCCTGAAAGGTAGGTATTAGCTCCATTTCCCAGGTGGACAAATGAGGCTCAGAGAGGTTAAGTAATTTGCCCAAGGTCACACAGCTAATTTGTAGCAAAAGCTGAGGTTCTACCCCAGATTTATCTGACTCCAAAACCATGCATTTCCCACTATTCCACATAGCCTCCCCCCACCAACCCCAGAAGCTAGGGGTGGGTGATGGGTGGGCTGGCTTTGGGAACAGAGACCATGGCAGGAGCGCACAGGCTGATCTGGGAACAGTGTCAGCTTCAACTACGGTTTAGGAGAGGCCCTGGCTCCCGCTGCGGGCCTGTCAGGGTCTTTCCTCACTCTCCAGCTGCCGGGCTTCTGGGGTGAGGATGAGGGGAAGAGGCAGGCTCCAGCTAACCCACCCCTCTGAGCCGAGAGGGTCTTGCAAAGCCTGGCATCAAGAAGGTTTTTCCCGCTAAGCGTCATCACTGTGGAGAGGCTGGGCTGTGGCCGCAGCAGAGGCCCCCAGGGAGTGGCAGAGACTGGGAAAATGGTGGTCCCCCACCCATTCTCCTGCTCTTGCCCACCACCTGCTCCAGGTCGGTCGGAGGCTCTGGCTGTGGATGGAGCTGGGAAGCCTGGGGCTGAGGAGGCTCAGGACCCCGAAGGGAAGGGAGAACAGGAGCACTCCCAGCAGAAAGAGGAGGAGGAGGAGATGGCAGTGGTCCCGCAAGGCCTCTTCCGGGGTGGGAAGAGCGGAGAGCTGGAGCAGGAGGAGGAGCGGCTCTCCAAGGAGTGGGAGGACTCCAAACGCTGGAGCAAGATGGACCAGCTGGCCAAGGAGCTGACGGCTGAGAAGCGGCTGGAGGGGCAGGAGGAGGAGGAGGACAACCGGGACAGTTCCATGAAGCTCTCCTTCCGGGCCCGGGCCTACGGCTTCAGGGGCCCTGGGCCGCAGCTGCGACGAGGCTGGAGGCCATCCTCCCGGGAGGACAGCCTTGAGGCGGGCCTGCCCCTCCAGGTCCGAGGCTACCCCGAGGAGAAGAAAGAGGAGGAGGGCAGCGCAAACCGCAGACCAGAGGTTGGTATGGGGCGGGAGCCAGCTCTGTGCCAGGCCACGGAGCAGCAGGGGGCAGCCGCACCCAGACACACTGCCCCTGCCCCACTGAGGGGACAGGGCCCCCCCGCCGAAGTCTGGGGATGGAGAGATGCTCAGACCGGGGGCTCTCAGGGTGGGAGAACACCCCAGCTCACAGGGGGCACCCAGCAAAGCTGGCTGGGAGATGGGAGGAGCTCAGGTCAGCCTGTGGCAGCGGGGGAGGCGCTGAGTGGGGACGTTGTCCAGAAGGCAGTAGGGTGCCCTGGAAAAACCATGCGGTGGGTCTGACCGTGTCCCCTCCTGGCCCCCAGGCAGCCCAGGCACAGCCTCCTCCCAGGCTCAGGCCCTGCCTCTGGCCCATGAGGGTAACGGGGCAGGGCAGGGGCAGGGCCAAGGGATCTCTTGCCTGTGGGGAGTGGGTGGGAGCCACACCGGATGTGAGCTGGAAGACCTGGGCTCTGCCTCCTCTTGGCTGCGTGGACTTGGGAGGGTCACTCCCCTCCCCGAGCCTCATCAGTTCCATTTATGAAGTAGGGGTAAGGAGTCTCCTCTGCCCACGTCATTACCATGATTGGAACACACAAAGGCTTTGAAAACCAGGGCCCCTGGGGAAGACAAATGGGGCGTGGGGACACAGCCCACAGGAGCAGGGGGGAGTTGGGGTCCCTGGCAGCTAGGCGGCTGGGATACCTGGTTCAAGCCTAGTGTCCAGGTAGGAACCCAGGCTCTGTGGGAAGGCTGACACCTGTCCGCAGCCCTGACCCCAAGGCTCTTCTCTGCCCACCTAGAAGAGGGTGTGGCCCCTTCACTGGGCCCCCGACCCCCTCTCTGGGCCTGGCAGTCTGAGAGGAAGAAGGCTCCATGTTGGCAGCTGTAGCGGGAGAGGGCATCTGCCCACGTGCCTGGGAGCCCAGGGCGAGGGGCTGAGGACAAAGCTGGAGAGAATGGGGGCCCAGAGGTGCCACCAGCTTCCTTTCTCCACAAGCAGAGGGAGCTCTGGACCGCAGGGCAGAGAAACTGGACCCCTGAGGCATATGGAGAGGATGGGGTGGGGGCCTCCTCAACACAGCCCAAGGGTCTTCTTAGAAACCCGAGCCTCGCAGAGCACCTGCCCCAGGGCCTCCTCCAAGACTAAGGGGCTGTAGAGTCTATTTCCACGGCCTGCAATGTCGGGGTCCCTGGGCCAGGATGCCCTCGGCAGCCTCAAATCTGGCAGTGACCCCGGGAAAATGACCCCTCCCAGGTCAAAGGAGGCAGCCTTCCCTGCGCTCCTGCTCTAAGTCTTGAGGTTGTGCTCTTGTGGGTGTCCAAGTTCTGAGGCCTGAAAGCTTCTGCAGACGGGCATAGAACAGGGCTCAGAGGAGGGGTCCCTGCTTCCCTAAACTTGGGTAGCCAGAGTTCGGGATCCTCTCACAATCAGGACCAGGGATCAAAGCCCAGCCCTAGGCAGGCTGATGTGGGGCAGCTCCCCCAGCATGTAGCCCTGTCTCAGGCCCCACATTCCCCTCAGGTGGGAAGGCTGCAGAAGACAGACCCGGAAGTCCCAGGCTGGCCTCACCCTGGGTCCTGGCAACCATGGGCTAGGCCGAGGGAAGGGGGCTCTTCAGGGCACTGTAAGCTTTGTTTTCCATGTGCCCTAAAAGAACAGACTCCCACCTGTGCGGAACCATTTGAGAGGAAGTGGGGCCTGGATAAGAGGCCACCAAGAGCAGTGTGGGGACAGGGCCCCCGGCATCAGCCACCTTCTTGTGCATAATGATCCCGAGAGCAGTACAGTAAGCTCATTATCACTGTCTCCATGATGGATGAGGGTACAGAGAGACAAAGCCACCTGTCCGAGGCCACACAGCTAACCCAGCGCCTTTCTGGCTTACTGTGCCTTCCATGCCACTGGCCAGGCTGGCCCGAGTGAACCCCAATGTCTCTCCTAGGACCAGGAGCTGGAGAGCCTGTCGGCCATTGAAGCAGAGCTGGAGAAAGTGGCCCACCAGCTGCAGGCACTACGGCGGGGCTGAGACACCGGCTGGCAGGGCTGGCCCCAGGGCACCCTGTGGCCCTGGCTCTGCTGTCCCCTTGGCAGGTCCTGGCCAGATGGCCCGGATGCTGCTTCCGGTAGGGAGGCAGCCTCCAGCCTGCCCAAGCCCAGGCCACCCTATCGCCCCCTACGCGCCTTGTCTCCTACTCCTGACTCCTACCTGCCCTGGAACATCCTTTGCAGGGCAGCCCCACAACTTTAAACATTGACGATTCCTTCTCTGAACACAGGCAGCTTTCTAGAAGTTTCCCTTCCTCCATCCTATCCACTGGGCACAACTGCAATAACTTCTGACCTTTTGGTGAAAGCTGAGAACTCCTGACTGTAACATATTCTGTATGAACTTTATCTAAAGAAAAATAAATCTGTTCTGGGCTCTTTCCTCTGAATTTTTTCGCCTCTCAACTTAAGAGTGGAGTGAGATGCACTGGATTTGGGCGAAGGGACAAAGGGAGGTTCAGTCCTCCTGGGGACCTCCTTTCTGGGCCACTTCCTGGCTGTGGGATCTTGAGCAAGTGACTTTGTTAGCTCTGAGCCTCAGTTTCCTCATCTGTAAAACGGGAATGCTGACCTGCCTCAAAGAGTGTGTGCAGGGATTAAAGCACACTTGCTGAGGGCCTCCAGGTTCCTTCCTCTCCCCGTCCCCAGCCACACCTGAGCTGGGCCATGCAGAGGCAGCGCCAGGTGGGGACACGGGCTCTGTTTCCTGAGATCAGGTCGCCCCTCCCTGATGGTCCCCGCCATCCAGTCACCTGTGGTGCCGGGTGGAGGCCCTGACAGCCCCAGTCTAGTGCCTGTCGCAGGACACAGGCATCAGACTTGAGCCTCTGAGCTGCAGGGACCCCTTGGCATAACCACTTATTAGGCCCTGCTATGACTTCTGGCCTAGGAAGAAGGCATAGGAATGTGGGGCGTCTGAAGATCTCGTGTATGTAACGCTTCACTAGAGCACGGGCTGCTCTTAGTCCCAGTTTTGTGAATGAGGAAACTGAGGCAGAGAAGGTGAAATGACTCACCCAAGTCACAGGCGGGGATGATGCTCAGAACACTGAAGCGTGGGGACTGTGAGGATTACACAGTCAGGACCCATGTGTACTGGCTGAATATCAGGGCCCATCATTCAGTCACTCGTCAAACATTTGTGCATGGCTGCTCTGGGCCTGGTAGGCCTGAGCATGGCTGAGACAAGCCCTGGCTTTAAGAAGCTCACTGTCCAGCGGGGACAGCTGCACCCTTCAACAGCCAAAGCAACCCATGGGGACAAAAGTACGCTCAGCAGGAGGAGCACACGCCCACGCTGGAGGGCGCTCCTTGCAGGCCAGGAGGAGGTTGGGTTCGAGCCAGGTTCTGCTGGACTGGCTGGTTAGCCTTGGCCAGTCACTTCACCTGTCCAGGTGGCAGTTCTGGGGCTAACGTCCTTGGCCTTTGCAGCTCAAACACGAGCAAGCCAGGGAGGGTGATGATCCCAGGCAGTGGTGGAGAGGGTGCAGGGAGGGGCCTCGGCCTTCGCAGGCTGCCCACGTGGTGTCTTCCAGGTAGGAATGGGAAAGACATGGGCATTGTGGGTGGGTGAGGCTCAGAGGCATCGCTGCCACCCTCCAGGGTCCCAGGCAGAGCCAAGTCCAGAGGCCAGTTGGGATTTGGGAACCAAGTCCCTGAGGCTCTGCCTGGTGAGTCTGAGCAGGCAAGGTTCCATGGTGGGAACTCAGATTTGGACCTAAGACTGGAGTTGAACTCCCCAGCCCAGCCATTAATGAGCAGGAGTCTTTGGGCAGGCGCTCCTGGCCCTCTCAGTGCCTCAGTTTCCTCATCTATAAAATGGAGACAATACTTACTATCTCCTTACCAGATTATGGTGATGATCAGGAGCCCACACAGAAAACCACTGCAATGGTGTTGAGTCGTTTGAGGGGTCTCGGCAAGTCTGGGTTTCTCTGATGAGGATGGGCTGCTCATGGCGGCTAATGCGCACCCCCTGCCCCCTGCAAAGCACAGAAGGACACCCTCCGAACGGCTGGCGCTATTGTTTATTTCTTCATGTTTCCAAAAGTTAGGTTTATACTCCACCCCTACAGTTACAGAAATAAACACAACATTAACTGTACTCCACTAGACCGTTAGAAATCAAAACAAGACTAGTTAGCAAATACAGAGATCATAGCGACACCTTGTCCCTGAAACCACCCATCCCAAAGCCACCCGCAGTGTCCTAACCTCATGGAGTGAACATGCGACCAGGCGAATGAGCCAATGGACAGAAGCCATGGTGTCTGTATCTCATACATGGTCATGTATATTATGCATATGTATGTACACAAATTAAGTACGAACCAGCTTGGGATTCTGGTGAAGTTGCTTGTGAACAGCTTGAAGCAAACAGCATTTGTCACAAAGCCCAGGTGTCGGCAGGAACAGCAACATCCTGGTGAAATCCCTGTGAGTGGCTTTTCAGAGTGAGCTTCTGAGAGGTGATTCCACACAGCCCTGGAGGAAGGGGGTCGGCCAGGCTGCAGGAGGGGACAGTCCCTCCACACCACCAGGTCACAGATGACTCTTGAAGGGAAAATGTAATCATTTCTGAAAAGGGGGGGTCTGGGTGCTCCTGCGGGTGAGAATCAGAAGAAGACCCCAACCAGCAGGAGGCCATGGAGTCATGCTCACCAGCTCTCCCCTGAGCAGTGCGGGAGGCTCACTCACTCCAAACCACACTGACAATGGCTGTGCAGAGAGAAGGTACACAGCACAGACCCTTTCTCACAAGGGGAGGACCCATGGGAGAAGCCTCGCCTGTATCACCTGAGTCAGGCTTATGCCTGGGCGGGGCAGATGACTGTGGCATCGGGGTGTGGCCAGGCTGGCCTGAGGCAGCAGAGGCTGGGCCTTTGTCAAGGACAGCTGCACTTCTCTGCCTCCCGGTCACCAGGCTGGAGGGGTCGTGCTCCTTTAGGGCAGCCAGCACCCAGCTCAAGGTCTCTGAATCCAATGGCCCATGAGCCACAGCTCGGGAAGGAGAAGGAGCTGCCGGGGATCCCACCGGGTGAATGATCAGAGTTTGTTTGTTTGTTTGTTTGTTTTTTGAGGAGTCTTGCTCTGTTGCCAGGCTGGAGTGCAGTGGTGCGATCTTGGCTCACTGCAACCTACGCCTCCCGAGTTCAAGCAATTCTCCTGCCTCAGCCTCCCAAGTAGCTGGGACTACAGGCGCCCACCACCATGTCCAGCTAATTTTTGTATTTTTAGTAGAGATGGGGTTTCACCATGTTGGCCAGGATGGTGTCGATCTCTTGACCTTGTGATCCACCTGCCTCAGCCTCCCTAAGTGCTGGGATGACAGGCGTGAGCCGCCATGCCCGGCCAGAGTTTCTAGGGAATAGAAGAGAGGGCAGATACAGACCCCAGGGACATTAGTGAAGCCATTCAGCAGTTGTGGCCAGTGGCCAATGTGAGTGCCCAAGAGCCAAGAACTGGTCTTCCAGGCTAGAAGGACAAACGACAGGCTGGCTCCCTTGGTCTTGGGGTGGCTGTCTGGCAGGCAACAGCTGCTTTGCTCAGTTGGCTCAAACATGTGACAGCTTCCTACTTCAGTCGGTCTTCCAGCCTTCTATAAAGCACACTTGGCAGTCCCCTGGGTACAGAGAGGAATGTTTTTCCCAGGTTGCTTTCTCCTTTATTGACAGGCATGAGACACAGGCAGGCCCAGGCACAGGAAGCCCCATGGAACCTGCCAGGTTGCAGCTGGGTCCAATCCCGCCGGCCATGCTGGGTGACTGCAGGCCCAGCCCACCCACCACGTGTGGACCCAGACACCTCCATGACACCAAGGGCAAAGCACCAGTTCCAGGGTGGCCTCCCCTTGGCTCTTGGGGTGGGGACACCCAGCAGCTGGCACTCAGTTGGGGGGTTATGTTTGCAGAATCACATCACCATATAATCAAAGCACTGTCAGGCAGAACTTGACCCACGGCCTCAGCCCCAGGGTGCTCAATGCAGACTGTGCAGGTGACCCTCTGAAACTACCCAAGGACTCAGCCAAAGTGTGGTCTGGCCCCTTGCTCCTGGAGCCCTTCAGCACATCCAGGGACCACCATCAAGACAGGCACTGCAGGGCGCAGAGCCAACGTGCTGACCAACTCAGAAGCAGAAGCTTAGGAACCAGAGCCCCAAGCCACCCCGATGCTGGCGGGGCCAACTCCAGGCGCCGTGCCTGCACAGCACCACACAACAACCTTTGCTAAGTGGGTCCCTTCCTTGGACCCAGACACTCTCAGTGACTCTGCTCAGGAGGCAGCGCCACCATGCTCTGGAGAAGAGGAGGCCGCCAGAGCCCGGGTGGTTTTAGTGGGTCTTTCCCTGAGGCAGAAACTCCAAGGCCAGGGACAATGTGACCGAAGGGGAGACAACTCTATGGACACTGTCCAGGGATCAAAGATGGTCAGCGTGCACCCTTAGGGTACGTTTAGCGAGCTGGGCTCCATCTCTGCCGCTCCCAGGTGCGGGTCCCGCGTCGCTGTCCAGGCCCCTCATTGCTGACACTCCCCTGGCTTCACTGGGCAGAGTCCACCGGCCCCCCAGCCCTGGGTGTGGCTGGCCCCTCCCTACCTCCCATGTAGCTCCCAGGCCTTTACGAAGCAAATCTCCATCCTCCATCTCCACTCTTGGAAAATGCAGCTGCCCTGCACACCCACAGCCCCGCCCCCGCCCCACCACGGAGGCCTATGGACGCCACCACGACACCACATGGCAGTTACTCGGTATCTGGGCCCTGGACGCGCAAGACCCCGGAGGCCACAAACGGTACAGGAACACAGCCAGGAGTCACGCTGCACACCCCCACCCGTACCTGAGGCAGACTGGGATTGAAATTTTATTTTTAAAAGGTAAAGCTGTTTTATTAAACGTCTTTTAAGGACTGGGAGTATGACATAACAAACTTGAGCAACATGTGTAAACACGTGTGAAATGCGGTTTGATTTCAGTAGTTTATTTTGGAGACAAAGCAGTGCAAGAGGCCAGCCACGCTTTCCTGTTCCCCAGGGCTCAGGGTCAGAACTAGGAAAGGTGACGTACAGACATTAATCGGGGTTCAAAACTCAAGTCGTGTAAACGTGGTTAGTTGTTGGGTCCTCAGTTTCCAAAAAAGCCGGGCAGTTCTGATGGCCTCTGCCCCTCGCCCAAGCCCTGTGCCTCCCTCCTCAAAGTGGGCATCCTGCAGCCCAGCTGAGCCAGGCCGAAGGACCTCCATGCACTGGCTCGGGGGCCTCTCTCGGGACACTCAGCACTTTCTCTAGCGTCCTCCATCTCACTGGGCAGAGGACAGCCCGGAAGCCTTTTTCACTTTTTCAAAGTAAACTGCTATCTTAAGACACAAAAACATACTTGTGGGGGCTGATGCCTCTCACCCAGCACCCCACATCTTCCAGGACTGCAGAGGCTTCTCCCCAACCCTTTTCTCTGCAGAGGGGGCTGCCTGGATCAGGGGTCAGACGGCAGAGCCAGTGCTTTGCTGCCAAGGTGATGGGGTGAGTCTGAGGTGTGCAGAAGCGATGGGGGGCGGGTGGCTCCCTGGCACCTGCTGGCTCAGTGCTTGGGGCTTGCAATGAGAGGTGGACCAGGCCTGCTGGGTGAGGAGGGACCCAGCAGGTGTGAAAAGGAGTGAACCCACTGGGAAGAGGGCCCCGATCTCCATGGTGTCATGCCGAGGCTCCCGCGCCTATCCTCACCTAGGTGACTTTATGGAAAGGCAGGCTGCATCCCAGGGGTTAGGGCACAAAGCCAGCCCTGTGGTGCTCTCTGATCTCAAATGTCCACTAGAGACAAGGGGGTGGAGGCCCAAAGACCTGGAATGATTTGCCCAAATCACAGCACAAATCCTCAGCACAGGCGCCATCGGCTCGGGCCTCCAGCCAGGCAGCCTCCTTCCCGGGCTCCAGGGAGCAGCAGTGCTGGCTTAGGGGAAGGAGACCGCTGTGCAGGGCTAAATGGGACGTGTGTTGGGGGGCCCAGAGGACGCCCAGCTTCCTTTCCTTCCCTTTAGTGAGGGAGCACAGCCCAGACCCCAGCGCGGAACTCCCCTGAGGGGTCTGTGGCCTCCTCTGGCTGTGGGGAGGGAGGGGTTAGCTGCACACCAGGCAGGGTGGGGGCTAACAAAGCCTTGGTGGAGACCAGTAGGAGGAAAAACAAGGAAGGGGCAGGTCAGGGAGTGGGGAGTCAGGCAGAAGGGAAGCCACTCTCACATGCACCGATCAGCCTCCCACAGCCCGACATGGGCAGGCTTCCCCCAAGGGTCCCGGTCCACAGTGGCCATGGAGACCAACAGACAGGGATGTGCACAGACACTGGCATGGCAGCCATACGCACACCCCTCACCTCCCATCCAGACCTAGTGTTGCAAACACAAGCGTGTGTAAACTCAGTTAGGAGGTCTGCACAGTAGAGAGCAGGCGGACGGCCCCACTCCCCAACGGTGGACCACCTGGTACTCTCTTCCATCCCCCACTACCCCTCATTTAGATCATGACATCAGAGAATCAGGTTAAAAATTAAAAAACAGAAGAATCAGATCACTGGGGATTCTTAGTAGTAGCATCGCCGTTGGGAGCTGCTGGCCCAGCGGGTGTGCTCTGCGCCCTGCGCTGCCCCTCTGGGTCCCGGCTCCGTGGCTACTGGGAGGAGGCCTTGGTGGCCAGGGAGGCCACACAATGCTGCTGGAAGCTGGGCGACACGCCGGCGTTGCAGCCGAGTCTCTGGTGCGGCAGCTTGGCGGTGCCGCCCGCGTCGGCCTCAGCCTTCCAGGGCGCGTCCTGGCCCATCATGCTGCCGCAGCAGCCGGGGCTGGCGCTGCATGTCCGCTCGCCCACCAGGCCGCCCGCCGGCTCGGCCAGAAGCTTGCTGTGCCTCAGCAGGGCCACGTCCCCTGTGGCTGCCATGGCTGTGCTCTGGCCCTGCAGGACAGTGGCGATGTGGTTCAGGAGGTCTGTGAAGAACTCGCTCACGCCCTCGTAGCCTGGGGGTGGGAGAGAGACAGCACAAGGGGCGTGAGCCAGGGGCACGCATCATGCAGGGAGGAGGAGGAGGAGGCAGAACCGATGGGCTCCTGGGATGAGGCAGGGTGTGCTGTCAGCGTCCCATTTACAGAGAAAACGTGAGGCTCAGCAGATAAGGGGGGCTGAGGGGAGTCAAAAAGCTTGGACGCCCAACCAGGTGCGTGCTCCTCGACCTTCAGCTGTTGCCAGGGTGTGAGAAGCTGAAGAACCTGAGCTGAGGATGAAACTTGCTTGTCCCTGTTCCTCTCAGGCACAGCTCCACTGTCTCACCCACCCATCCACTTGCATGGTAAAAGCCAGTACATGTGCAGGGGATGTTGGCGTGGCTGGAGGTAGCAGCACCAAAGCCAGCTCCACACACTTGGAGTAATAAATACTCCTGAGGCCCAGCTGAGTCTGGCCTCAGGCTGAGTCCCGGAGACCGCTTCCACCCTGAGCCTCAGCTTCCCTGTCTGCAAACTGAGAAGAGAAGGCTGCCGCCCAGGTGGAGGCTGCTGTGGCACTACTGAGAGAGGCTGGGATGTGAGTGGTGTCTGCTTCACAAAGCAGCTGCCGCCCCAACTGAGTCTGCTTCCTTCTCACCACAAAATACCTGCAGGGAGGCCCCCTGTGTCCCATTCTCTGAGGATCACAGCCAAGGAACGGAAATGCTGGGCATCACTAGCAACATCCAGGCCTGAGACAAGCTCCAGGGCGCAGCATCACATGCTCCCCTTAACAGAGGGGAACAGAACAGAAACCATGGTACCTGCCTGGGGCAAGTGCTTCCTAACACAGTTGCGAACATCAGCAGAGCCCTCGGGAGCCACCAAGCAGGTTTCGGATCTCAGGGGAGGATTCTGCTGGCTCCCAGCAAACTGCTCCAAAAGAGACTCACACAGGGCAAGCGCCCTGCCTGCCTGAGCCAACTTGGAGGGGCGGGAGTTTTCAAAAACCCTGGGCTGTCCTCTGGGACAACATTTACAACCATCAGCCCCACCAGGGTGGGAATGAAGGTTCAGACGGGGGCACCCTGTGCCACCTCTTACAGTGCCCAGGGGCCTGGAAGATGAGACTGCTGAATCTGCCCATGCCCTTACTTATTCAGCAAACAACTGCTGTGGTTTGAGGAAGCCCAAGTCTGAGAGGGGATGCAGGTGCCCGCGGTGGAAATAAAGATGGCTATTCTGGCCGGCAAGCGGCGCCTCCCGAGCTGGCACTGTGCGAGCGTCCCGCAACATCCTCTCGCCTAATCTTCATAATGCTGTCCCCAGTTTACAGATGAGGAGGCATGACCGTTAACCACCACGGGGAGGGCAGTGATGACGTCCATGGCGTTCACAGCACTCGGGAAGTAGCAGCCACTGGGCTGTGAGCGCCACGGTCCTCAGCCCACCGCACCCCTGCAGCCCGTTTCACAGGTGAGGACCCTGAGGCTCAAGGTGGCTCCTAAGAGGCAGAGTGGGATCTGAAGGACGCCCTTGGTCTTGTGTGTGTCTTGAATACCACATGGTGCCAGGTCCCCCACCATAGGACCCGGGGTGTCCGTCGGCCCTGGGCTAGGCCTGGAGGGCAGGGTAGGTGTCCCGGGCACGGGCATGGCTGTTGGGTGCCTAGGGAGAAATGCAGTGGAGGAGCTCCACCATCAGGTCAGCGCCAGGGAACAGGGAGCCATTCTCCAGCAACCTCCTCCAGCATCCCCAGACAACGCCCAGTGGCCCAGGGCAGGGAGGCCGCTTTCTGTGGTGGTGCAGAGACGGCTGCCTCCACGGAGGCCTGAGGATAAACAGGAGCTCGGGGAGCGGACTGAGGCATGAACCTGCAGGGCAGGGTGCCAGCTCCATACCAGCACTGTGCAAAAGCCATCTCCTCTGTCTGCAGGGTGGGAAACTGGTTCCCACTGCAGTGAACACTGAGACTTAAACGTTAGGTGGCTTGTGCCATCACAGACTGTAAAGGCAGAGGCAAGATTCGAACCCATGGCTGGAGCTGAGAGGTGGAAAGGCTGGGGCTGACAGTCTGGGCCCCATCCAGCTCCACCACGTGACTTTGGACAAGCCACTCAACCCCCAGCCTCACATTCTTATCAGCAACACAGAGATTCCAGCGGCCCTTTGCACAACGCCTCGTGAGGACGAAGTGAGGCGTCGGGGCAGGCCTGGCTCACGGTGTCATCAGCGCTTGCAGCTGTTGCGGTTATTACTCCAGAGCCAGCCCCTCTCTGGAGGGGCCCTCTCCCAGGCCTCTCCCACCCACGTGCTGCTGGACACCCATGGCCCAAGGTGCCTCCTGTGGGGTGCAGGAGAACAGGCCTGCTGCTCTGCTTGGCCCCAAAAGGGTGCTCTATGGTAAGGCGGACACACTGAGCTATCTCCCGGGGAACCAGCTCTGCCCTGCCAGAGCCCTGGGCCTCTCCTCAGTACCAGGCTCCCTCACCAGTCTCCGCCAGGCTCAGCCATAGTCCCACCCCATCTGGGTGGCCCTTCTCTTGGCTTCTCTGGAAGAACCCTCCCTGTCCACACTGGCTCACAGTGCCCCACACTGACTCACAAGGCCATCCCTTATCTGCACCCATAGATCGCGACCATCTACACATTTTGTGTTGGGAGGCACTGGCCTTGCTCAGGTGCAAAGCTTCCCACCCTCTCCTGTCTCCTCCCTCCTTCCAGAACTTCTCTTCTAACAGGCCTCCCTGTGCCCCCCTGGCCCTCCAGCCACTGACGTTGTCCCCTTTTCATTCTGCCACTCAAAACATGCTCCGTGGTTTAGATCCCACACTTCCTTATCCTGAACGTCCCTTGCATTATCCTGAATGTCCCTTGCGCCCTGGTTCCCTCATACCTGCCAGCAAAACCCCATGAAATCCCAGCTCCAGCTAAACCCATGGTTTCCTCCCCACTGCACCCAGAGGCAATGGAGAAAAACACGATCGTCGCACGGGTCTGCCCTTTCAGTTCACAAGCACAGATCTCACGGTGGCTGCTCCCCGACTCCCAGGGAGAGCTCCAACGTCCTCAGTTCACCACACGCAGCTCCCCTGACTCTGTCCTCCAGCCTTCCTGCCCCGCAGCTGCACCTGCTGTAGCCACAGGGCTCCACGGTGCCTCTCCTGGGACCTGCCCCTGTGCTCCAGTGTCACCACCTCACAGAGGAGCCCGCTGACCGCCCGCTCTGTCCTCCGCCTCCTCCAGACAGGGGTGAGCTCTCCCCAGGCAGGGCATGGCAGTGGAGCTCAAGCTGCATCAGCATCTGGACCAGCTGGGACACACAGCAGCCCTGGGCGACAGCAGCCCTGGGTAAACACCAGCTGAATGACAGGAGCCAGCACACTCCTCTGAGCCTTGGCTTCCTTGCTGTGGCCGGTGCTGCTGACTGCGCCTGCGCATGCTCTCAGACGAGCGGAGGTGACACACACAGAAAGTGCCCAGCCAGTGTGTGGGGCCAAGGTCCTGCCTCACCTCCACGATAAACAACCCCGAGTCCCCACCTGCCAGGCACAGTCTCTGAAGGCAGGAGGCATTTCCTGAACGTTTTTGCACCTCAGCAGCTAGCAAGGCTGGCTTCACCTCCACAGCAGATGCTTTACAAGGGTCAGGATGGAGAAAGGAACGGGGGACCCCCATCTGGGGAATGGCAGGCACCAAGGCATCAAGCGCGGCTCTGTCTCTGAGCTGCTGCGGGAGGTAAACAAGCCACTGAGCCTTGGTGTCCCCAGGGCGAGGCACGCAGCCTGGTGACCGCGAGCTGTGATGTCACACCATCGTTCCTCATGCCCTGTGCTGGGGCTCTGCTCCTGCGGTCCCCATAGGGCCCCTCACTGAGAGCTGAGGGGCACATGGCAGAGCCTGGCTCAATGCCAGTGGGTTCCTAGGGCCCAGCTGGCAGCAGGGAACAGACTCCATAGCCCAGGGCTCCTCCCCAGGCCTCTGCCCGGCGCTGCAGTTCAGGGTGGTGGAGGCAACGTGAGCCTGGGAGTCTCTGGCCTGCCACCAATGTGCTGTGGGGCCTGAACAGCTTCCTCCTCTCTAGGGCCTCAGTTTCCCAACATGTAAACTGCAGGGGGCTGTAATCCCTTCAAGGTCCTTCCTGCTCCTTAAATCGAGGAGGGCCTGGGGGAGGGGCTGATCCACCAATGACGCAGGTGGAGAGAGGAGGTGAGGGACATGCGTGCTGTGGCCACTGTGCCTGGCGCTCCCCAGGTGGACGTGCAGCTCTCCCTCCCTCCTCGCACACCCCGTAAGCCCATCGCGCAGGTGAGGCTGAGGCTTCTCGGGGCTGCACCTCCCCGGACCTCGTGGTGAGGGAGAAAGCTGGCTTTCTGGCCTCAGTCACCCCGCCTCACCTGCCTGGTCACCTGAGGACAGTCTCTGGAGGCCGGTCAGTGGAGGTGGCCTGGCCGCCACTCACCTGGGAAGGCATTGATGTCAATGACGGCGTGCTGCCCTGTCTGGTTGTTGATGATGATGTCGATGCCGAAGAGTGACACGCCCAGTGCCTGCCGCAGGGCCCGGGAGAGCTCCCGGATGACCTCGTCGCTCGGCCGCTCGAACACGCCCTCGATCTTGTCCAGCTGCCAACATACACAAGGAAGTCAGGCCATGGGCCGAGGAGCTGCGAAGCCACACCACACAGACAGACCCCCCACACCAGCTGCCACGAGGCCCTGGCATGCTTCAGGCCAGGAAGCCAGACAGACCTACTGTGGTGAGCACGGGGCGGCCACTGGCCAGGTCCTGCCCTCTGAGGGCCGCCAGGCACGAGGTGTGTGAGGCTCATTACCTCCTGTGGGCTCATCACAGCCTGGAAGGCCAGTGCCAGCACTGCACATTACACACAGGGAAACCGGAGCTCAGAGAGGGTTGGGGCTGGTCTAAAGTCACACAGCTCAAAAGCACAGGGCAGAATTTGGACCCATATTTTTTAGCCTCTAAAACCAAAGCCTTTTAACAGGGAGGAAGGAGATGGAGAGTGTGTCAGGGACCCGGGAAGACATGGTGCAGAGCACCGAAGCCGGAACTTGGAGGCAGGAGGATGTGGGCCCCTGGGAGGGGTGGGAGAAGGAGAGCGGCCCCAGGGAGGACACAGGGGAGGCAAAGGTGCTGAGGCCAGCAGCTGCGGGACATGGCTAGGAGCAGCTGGGGCGCAGAGCCGGGCACAAGTGAGGAGTTCTGATCAGACCCCCACTTGCCTGCCATCACAGAGACCCCCAAGGAGGTGAGGGTGAGGGCCCTGTGGCCCAGCAGGCCAGTCTTCCTTCCCAAAAAATGCTGTTTCCAAATGAACTCACACCCTAAACAATGCGGGCTCCCCAGAGAGGCTGCTCTGCTGCTCCTGCCTGCCTCCTGGGGTCCAAGCTCAGCTTTCCTCAAGGTTTCCATGTGCTGGTCAGGCCACCCTGCTCTGTTCTCCCTCCCAGCCCGGCACTCCCCTCTGCCACTCAAGTCCTGTGCCTGTCGCAGCTGGCCTGGGACAGGCACACACTGTCATGGGCTCAGCCTGCCCCCAGCCAAGGCCTCCAAGGAAGTGGGGCACTGCACTGGGAAGGATTCTGGAGTCAGAGAGACGTGGGTTCCAAACCTGACAGTGAACTCCTAGCTCTGTGGACTTCGGAAACAGTACTTGGCCTCTCTGTCTCAGGTTTGCTCTTCTGTAAAAGGAAGCAACAGGCCTCCATCTCAGACTTATGTTGATAAGGTGTGGACAGCATGTGCCCGGCTGGGAGGAGATTCATCTGAATTCTAGGGCAGGAACTGCATCCCGTCTCCTCTAAATCAGCCAAGGGAGGGCTCACACTAGGTGCTCAATAAATAGTGAAGTTTTGGGGGTTGTGGGCTTAGGGGCCAAAGGGGAAGGGAGTGGCTGATCCATGAAAGACAAAAGTGAAGCTGGGTTCAAAAGCTGGAGATGGAATAACCATCTGACCTGGCAGTTCTGCTCCGGGGTACACACCCCAGAGCTGAGAACGTGTACTCAAACGGATGCTGTCCACCCACGCTCACCGTGGTGTTATTCATACCCCAGCGTGCATCCACAGATGAACAGCTACAAAAACTGGTCTATCCATACGACGGAATATTGTACAGCCATAAAAAGGAATGAACTTCTGACATATGCCACAAAGCGGAGGAACCCTGAATACATCATGCTGAGTGCAGGAACCCAGACACAAAAGCTCATATATTGTGTGATTCCATTTCTACGGAATATCTAGGACAGGTAACGCCACAGAGACAGCAACGAGCTCAGCGGCTGCCAATAACATGAGGTGGGGGAAATGGGGAGTGAGTGCCGGTGGGCCCAGGGTTTTCTTCTCAGTGATGAAAATGTTTTGGAACCAGATAGAGGTGGTGATTGGACAACACTGTGAAGGTACTAATTGCCACTGAATTATTCGCTTTAAAATGGTTAATCTTATGTATGTGAATTTACCTCAATTTTATTTTATTTAGAGACAATGTTTCACTCTGTCACCCAGGCTGGAGTGTAGTGGTGCAATCACGGCTCACTGCAGCCTTGAACTCCTGGGCCTCAGCCTCTGGGGTAGCTGGGACTACAGGCGTGTGCCACCATGCCTGGCTAATTTTATTTGTTTTTTGTAGGGACAGGGTCTCACTATCTTTCCCAGGCTGGTCTCAAACTCCTGGCCTCAAGTAATCCTCCCTCCTTGGCCTCCCAAAATGCTGGGATTACAGGTGTGAGCCGCTGTGCCAGGTGCACCTGAATTAAAAAAAAAAAAGTGAAAGCAGATCGACAGGGCTGGGGACAGAGCCCTGGTCACCAAGAAAAATGGCCCTTACCCAAGCACAGGAGGCTGAAGTAACCACTGGGAACTTCCAGGGAGGGAAGCGCTGAGCAGGGACCCACGCCCGGGCGCCGCCCACGCTCCGAGGGACCCATGCCCGGGCACCACCCACGCTCCAAGTCCGGGCGCCGCCCACGCTCCGAGGGACCCACACCCGGATATCACCCACGCTCTGAGGGACCCACGCCTGGATATCACCCACGCTCTGAGGCCTACACCAGCGCATCTCCCACCCCGGCTTTGCAGGACACACAGGGCCCCCCTGCTCACAGCCTCAAGGCCTTGGTGTCGTATCTGGAAGAAATACTTTCTAGGGGGCAGGAGTGGCCTGGCTGTAAGAGACACTCATCCCTTAGCACTTTTCTTTCTTTTTTTTTTTTTCTTTTGAGACAGGGCCTTGCTCTGTTGCCCAGGCTACAGTGCAATGGCGAGATCACAACTCACCGCAGCCTCGACCTTCCGGGCTCAAATGAACCTACCACCTCAGCCTCCTGAGTAGCCGCAACTACAGGCAAGCAACACTACGCCCTGCTAATTTTTGTATTTTGTTTTGGTAGGGATTAAAGATCTCACTACGTTTCCCAGGCTGGTCTCAAACTCCTGGGCTCAAGCGATCTGCCCGCCTTGGCCTCCCAAAGTGTTGGGATTAAAGGTATGAGCCACCGCGCCCAGCCACTTAGCTTTTCTGAGCCTCCTGGGTCACTCTTGCCAGTGGGGGCCAGAGGCTAAGCCTAGTGGGGCAGCTCAGCCACTCATCCTGCAGCCCAAGGCCCTCACTGAGTCAGAGAGACCCTGGTGGATACCTTGGAGCTGCCCACTCTCCACTGTGTACCCTAAGCCATAACAGAACCCTTCTGGGCCTTGTTTTCTTGCCCCAGTAAATGGGGTAATAAAAACATCTCGCTGTGAGATTGTGGTGCCGACGACGGGAGGAGCTGCTGCCTCAGGCTGACAGCACAGGCCCAGCAGCAAGGGAGCTTGGCTGCTGCACTGCCACACGCCCCATGGCACGCCATTTACAAAAGTGCTCTCGGCCTGGTTGCAGAATCTCAGAAATCCTTCCGAAGTTGTCTGGTTATCCAAAACCAAATAGCCATCCTAGGACAAGATGCCTGGGGCCCTCAAAGCAAGTGATCTGATGACGTTCTGGAAAGCAAGGAGGTGACAGAGGAACTGGGAAGGCGTTCATGGGTCCCCAGTGGGCCTCGGCACCCGGCTGCCGAGACCGTGCCCATACTGCACACCTGGCAACTGCGGTGGGTGCTTCTCACCCAGGAACTCCCTGGACTCCGGAATCCTTCTGGGGCAGGAAGAAGAAACCAAGGCTCAGAGAGGCGACGCGACTCGCCTTAGCTTGGGCCGGACCCCAGGCAGTCCCGTCAGAGTCTGTGCTCTTAACTAATACCCTAGACTGAATTTCGAAAAGCAAAAAATGTATGGGGCCCTCCAAGTTCGGTGGGGCTAGGCCCATCCGCAGGGGCATCCCACTGGGAAGGGAGGGGGTGCTTTAAGGCCAGAGGAGGGCTTCCTGCACCAGACTCCCAGGGAGGCCAAGGCAGGACTGGAGGAGCCCCAGGTGGGCAGGGGCAGGTGGATGAGCAGCAAGCGTGTTTCCGCACCTGGGAACAGAGCTGGCTCTGTCAGGCCAGCCTGCGGGCGTCCAGGAGGGGCTGATGTCCCAGTGGAAAAGGTGGTGCTGACCGCATTTCTCTTTTCTATTTTTGGAAATCGTCAGTCCTGGCAGATTCCTGACTAGCAGCCATGTGCTGAGGGAAGGAGGAGGTGACTGCAGACCTCAGAGGTGAAGGGAAGGGCCCTGCAGTGTCTCTAGGCTGACCCCTTCCCGTTTTACAGATGAGGAGATTAAGGCTGAGGTCAACAAGTGATAATCCAAGACAGTGACTTCTGGATGGGTCCTTCTGCCATCACGGCTGCTGGCCTTGCCCCTGAGAGGACACTCAGTCTGCAAATGCCAAATCCCCTCCATTGCATGGGCTGCCGAGGCCCCCAGAGCAAAGCCATGCACGGAAGAAGCCCCAGGATTCTGAAGCTTAGAAGAAAGCCGTCTCTTGCACAGAACATCTCATAATATTCTCAGCCAGGCACTGAGGCTCTGTTGAAATCTGTTCCCAAAGCCTGATATGTTCCCAGGGGACATGTGTCAACATCCTGAGGGATGGCGATGTTCCCTCCAGGTCCTGCCCACGCCTGTGCTCTGTCTAATCCTCAGCACACTGCTGGCTCCTCAGAGGACCCTGACACAAAAGACAGACAGACAGACAGGCCATCTGGGTTCTGGGGCAGCCCCCCGAGGGACACGAGCACTGCCACTGGAGTGGAGGCTGGTTCGTTGGAGAGGCCAGCCCAGGACAGGGAGGAAGAGACCAGCAAAGCCCCCCAGAAGAGCAGCACACATGCATCCTCAGAACAGCAGGCTCCCTGGCAGAGGGCTCTTGAGTTTAGGGAAGTAGCCGCTGGCTCTCTGGACTTCGGGCAAACAGCAGAGGGTAGCCTTTCCTAAATTCTTTGGGGTCAGGTGCTCAGGAATCACTGGTGAGGTCAGAAGTCCTAAATTCCTGGAAGATCCAACTTTGGAGTCAGACAGATCTGGGGTCAAACCCCAGCCTTGCACCGTGTGAACAGCCTTGTGAACGTGCAAAGATCACTGAGCCTCTCTGATGCCATGAGACCTGATTGCGACCCGCACTGCAGGGCACCTGGGCTGACACTGGCCACAGCAACACTCACTGAACGGCCAGAACGCCCGTTACCCATAGTGCTGGGGGCAGGGTAACACTCCTGCCAGCCTCAGGACCACTGCAGGACAAAGGACTGAGATGGTGCTGCCTCCACAGCCTTTTTGAAAATCAGGAACAAGGCAGATTAGAGAGCAGTTCTTCCAATTCCTCATGCTGGGAGAAGGGTCAGCACACCTTCTGTGTGGGCAGCTTGCAGTGAGTGGTCTGTCCCTGCAAGCCCAGTGTGCCCCTCACCTCTCCCTGTGCTGGGCCGGGCTGCAATGGCTGCTAGCATGAAAACTCGAAGCAAGCAGAGGAACAGGGGGCTCTGGAACCTCCTGGGGCCTGTGGCATGGAGGCAAACGTCCTTCCCACCCTACCCTGCTGGAGAGCTTGGCCAAGGACCCCATGGCCACAGCAGCCCACACCTAGGCCCACGGGAGGGCAGTTTCAGGCCAGGCCATCCCAGCAGAGGGACCCACCTCCGTCAGGACCGATGACGACTCCGGCTTTGACACGTTGTGGCTGTTGAAGAAGATGGACTCACGGTCTGAAAAAGCGACAGGAAGGAGCCGGCGTTAGAACCTCAATGCAGGGACCACACTGCCGCCACCTGACACCAGGGGGCAGCATCACCCCAGGCACACAACACGTGGCCCCCGGCTCTGCAGAGCCCTGGGCTCCAGCAAGCTGGGCACCAGCCCTGGGCACGGATGTGTGCCCCATCAGGGCTCCGGTTCACCTTCTCCTCCCACATAAAAGTAACCGATGTAATGAGCTGACCTCTGCTACCATCTCACAGCATCACATCTGGTTTTCCCTGAGGCCCTGTTCCCAAAGTGTGCTGTCACTATACAGGGAAGTAGGGGAAAAGGGCTCGGTGGGACAGCTAAACACCTGAATATCACGGCCAGAGAGGGCCCACATCAAAGCAGCCTCTTGGTGTTATTTAGGCCAGTGCTCCCAGCCCACGGGACTCTCTTTTGGGGAACATGCTAGAGACATAGGGACAGGCTGGCACCGGCACGTGAGCACTTAAAATACAAAGGGTTCTGGTGGTTCTTAGCGACTTAGGGAAAAAAATAGGAAATCAGAGAATGTAGGCTTCCACAGGATCCGTCCAAGAAAGCACACAGCACAATTTCTCTTTGGCAACGGAAGCTGGCACAGAGAGTCTGAAATACCCTCACCCCACACGTCTGGCTCCCGCCTGCCTCCCACAACACCCGGCCCGTACAGGCCCACTGGGGACCCGCAGAGGCAGACCAGTCCAAAGAATACTGAAAGTGCAAGTAGATCCCACAGGAGAAATGTCTTTGGGGAGTAAGCCAAAGTCACTTGGGGAAAATGTCAGGTCGGTTGGTCAGAAACACGCTTGTAGGCACTGGGAAGCATTGGCACGCAAATGCAAGAATTGCAGAACCATGAGCCTCAGGCCGAGTTCTGGAAAAGGCTGTCTGTCACCATCCCACGACTTCCCCCAAGGCTGGCACGGGACCGTCCTGGGCCGCCAGCCCCAGCAGCCCCTCCTTGAGTCCTTGCAGGGTGAGGCATTGTGGCTCCCACCCCCAGGATGCAATGCACACCCCTGGCACCCAGGCGCCTATGTGCGAGGACAGGAGGGCACTGGCTGAGGGCCGCTGCGTGCTGGGGGCCATGCCAATGGGGCACCTGATCTGGCTGCCAACGACCCATCAGCTCCAGGACTTCACAGCGCCGCAACAATTATGCATGAGGGAGTGATTCGGGCGGAAGCCAAGCAGGCAGGCGCTGAGATGTACCCGGCGTCCCTCCCGCTAGCGGGGCACAGAGGCCCCTGGCTGCCCTGGTGTGCCCGACAGTCCTCCTGCTGCTCTGACCAGAGCCAGTCCAGACGGGGGCCATGAAATATGGTCCTGGGGAGGAGCCTGGGGAAAATAAACACCCCGCAGGACATGTGTCATGTGGCCCCCAGGATCTCTACTCCCAAGGCACCGACAGCCAAGAAGAGGGAGTCTGTGGGGATGGCATAAGCCCTGTGGGCTTGCGGCTGGAACAGCTCGAGCAGCTGGGAGGGGAACGCTGCCCACCTTCTCATCCTGTAGCCCAGCCTGGCTCAGCCCCCTGAGCTCAGGGCACCTTCCCACCTATTTCCCTGTAGATCCTGAATAGCAGTTGCCGAATGGCGGAGAAGGCCCAGGGGGAGGAAGGGCCACCAAGCGCAGGTAGACACAGCAAAGATCAGGGAGGTTGGGAAGTCTGCAGGAGCCGCAAGGAGAACACGTGGGTGCTGAGTGGGTGCCAGGAAGGGCCAGAGCTGGGTACTCAGAGGGGCCGGCCAGTGTCTGCTCACCTGGACAGATCATGCAACACAACAGTTTCTCCTGGCAGGAAGAGCTGGAGTCCAGGACATTTCAAAAGGGGCTCTTTTCTCCTCCTGGCTAATTCTGTTTTTCTTTTTATTTTTTTGAGATGGAGTCTCACTCTGTTGCCCAGGCTGGAGTGCTGTGGCCCGATCTCGGCTCACTGCAACCTCCGCCTCCTATGTTCAAGTGATTCTCCTGCCTCAGCCTCCTGAGTAGGTGGGATTACAGGCACCTGCCACCACGCCTGGCTAATTTTTTGTATTTTCAGTAGAGACGGGGTTTTGCCATGTTGGTCAGGCTGGTCTTGAACTCCTGACCTCAGGTGATCTGCCCGCCTCAGCCTCCCAAAGTGCTGGGGATATAGGCATGAGCCACCGCACCTGGCCCTTCTGGCTAATTCTGACCTGGGAGCTCTGGCCAGAAGACCCTTTTGGCAGGGCAGTGAGAGATGGTCTGGGCTCAGTTCCTCTCTATGTGCGGTCTGAACAGGGGTCGGAGGGAGTAGGAGCAGCCTCCTGTGGCTGCCAGTCACCCAAGAGATGATGGAAAGCTGAGGCAAGTGAGAAGGCATCAGGGAAAGAAACCTGGTGGCCAGCTCCAAGAGAGTCGGTTCCTCTAACACACCAGACCAGGGCGTTGCTCCCAGCATGTATCAGCAAGCCCTCACTCACGACAGCACCCTGGATTTTGGGTGCCCCATGCAGTCTGTTCCTGGACTAGCCCAATAGCACCAGTGGAGAACTACCACCAACGTTCTACAGGGAGGGAGGGCAATGAAAGGAAGAATGTGTGTGTTTTCTTCTCAACTTATGGATTTAAAAAATAGGTTTAAAAGAAGAATAAATGATAAGATTAGCCCCCAAACATCCCAGCAACTCAGCCGTACAGCCACGAGCTGGGCCACACTGCTTTTAGCCTTATTTCCTTCATCTCCTCTCTCTCTCTTGGGAGGCGAAGGGGATGGGGAGAATGTGTCCTAATGCTACAGATGGTGACCCAAGTCATCTTCCAGTTGCCATGAGTATCATCTCTGCAGAGGGAAATCCTGAGCTGCCCTTTCCAAGTGGCTCCCCTCACCCAGTGGTATCCCAGGACATATTCTCTTCCCCTCAGAACCCCTTATCTCAGGCCACAGTTGACCCTTTTCTTATTTCTCTCCTTGTGTGCAGTTTCTCCCACCAGAATACAAGCTCATGAGGGCAGGAAGCTGGGTGCCTGCCTAGTCCCTGACTGGATCCCCAGCAGCTCACGCAGGGCTGGGCACATGGTAGGTTTGATAAATGCTGTATCACTGACTATTAAGAGGCTCTGGAGAGGAGCTCAGCAGACTATAGGCTGTAAGCCCGGCCACCTGCACTTGTAAATAAAGTTTCATTTGAACACAGCCGTGCCACTCATTTACATATCTACAGCTGCTTTTGCACTACAACGGCAGCATTAAATAATTGGGATGGAGCTGGAAATGTTTATAATTTGGCCTTTTGCAAAAAAAAGTTTGCTGCCTCCCGCTCTACATGGTGAGAGGTACCACTCATGCATGCCTAAGAGAAACAAGGCTCAAGCTGGAGAGAATAATGGAGGGAACCTGCATAAAGCTGGGAGCCTGCGCTGCGTCCTCAGGGTAAAGACGAGCAAGAAATAAACCCACTCTATAGAAAGGGAGAGCAAAGGAACCCGCTAATCTCTACCCTGGCACAGGGTGGAGGGAGGGAAACAGTCTCTCTGTGAATGCGAACCACAGGCAGAGAACACAAAATGTTCCTGGTGGATGGCACAAGCCACAACCTGACTTCAGCTCCAGCCAAAGCCTCTGCATGGATGCCACTGGCTATAAGGCACACTTGATTTGAGATGTCAACACGTAAAAAACAAAAGTGCAGCTGACAGGCAAAGGAGACTGGCAGTTGTCGAGTGAAGACTCATGTCCCTGTCTCTATCCCAGGTCCAGAAAAATCCCACTCAAGGAACCCCCATCCCTGCGTGGCCACGGGAAGTTGGGGGACATGTCATTGGGCAAAGGAAATTGGAAAGCTGGGGTGAGGGCCGGAAAGAGGCCAGAGTCCCAAACCCCCTTTCCAACTGGTCCAGCTTAAAAGGCTGCTGTTGCATTACACTTCTTATCCAGAAAGAGAACATACACGTAGAAACCAGAGGACCCACGTTAGCTCCCTGGCACAGTGCCCTAGAGATGGGGACACAGAATCAGCTTTGGGGATGGAGAGACACACTAACAGTTACTTAGTTCACGTGAACAGAATAAACATTTCTCCTTTTTAGCTCTGTGTGTTTCTCTACTATTTGGGCTTAGTCTGCTTTTTTTTTTTTTTTTAAGAGGCAAGGTCTTACTGTCACCCAGGCTGGAATGCAGTGGCATGACCACAGCTCACTGCAACCTTAAACTCCTGGGCCCAAGCGATCCTCCTGCCTCAGCCTCCTTAGTAGCTGGGACTGCAGGTGCACACCACCATGCCCAGGTAATTTTTTAATTTTTTTTTTTTTTTGGTAGGGATGGAGTTTCACTATGTTGCCCAGGCTGGTCTCAAATTCCTGGCCTCAAGCAATCTTCCCACCTTGGTCTCTTCAAAGAACTGGGACTACAGGCATGAGCCACCACGTCTGGTCTCCTGGTATGCATTTTATGGCAAACTGGCAACCTAGAAATAGCCACACAAGAAGACACACAGGCAAGGAGTCCTCGTCCTCACAGATACAGGATAGGAGCCCACACTCTGCTGTTAATGGTTCCCAGCGTCGAGACGGAAACTGGCCCAGCATTTTGCAACCAGAAGGAAAAAGGAGAAAACAGAAAAACCCAACCACAGTGGATAAGAAAGGAGATCTGACAGTAAATTTCTTTTAGAGATGGAGTGACCTGGGTAAAAACAGAAAGGAGTTGATATAAAATATAACTCCTCTTAATTTAATATATTTTCCATAGACTTAAAGCATTATTATTTTCTTAAATCAGGGAATAAACAGCATTTTAAAAAATGTCAGCCTCTTCCAGCCCATAACTTGGAGGAATATCTCTTGGTGGTATATAGCCACATATAAAAATATGCTTCCAGCATTTGGCTCCCACCCAGTGGGCAGGGGCTGGGACCATGATGTCCCAAACCCTGAAAATACAGCCTTGAGTCTGGGAGCCACACGCCCAGCTAGGAAGGCCACCTGCCCTCGGAGGAAAATGAACACCTGCACGTTTCCAAAGTATCCACGCTCTGCATGTGTCCATGGAAAGAGAAGAGGCATCTAGGGGAAGAAGGGCTGAGAGGGCAACCGCAGCACTGCAGCCCCTCCATGCCGGGCGGCACACCAGCCAGGAGATGTGGATGGCCACAGGCAGTCCCCGGAGGAGGGATGCCAAGAGGACACATCTGTTTGCTCAGCTGGAGGTAAAACAGCCGGCGTCTGAACGCTTCTGATGATGTGGGTTCCCCTTGCTGAAAGAAATGTGCAGCTGATTTGAACAAGCCACAGCGGGGCAGTGAGTGTTCTCCAAAGGGTCCTCCTGGAAAGCTACTTATCCCAAGACACTGCCACTGTTCCAAAGGTTTCCAGAACGTGCCTTAGAGATGCCTTCAGAAGCCACTAGAACATCCTTTCGAGCAGCTCCACTGCCAGCAAATCTTTAACTCAGTGTCCGTTTTTAAAATGGCTGAGGCTGGAGAGGGCGGTGAGCAGCTGGCGGAAGGAAGGCCCCTCAGCGCAGTGGGGTCCACAGGCTGCTCCCTGGGAGGCTGCTTCTCAGGCCCAGCGACAACAGCATCATGCAGAGAACGCCCTATGTGACACCCACGGGACTCCTAGACCACCGTCCACTGACTCAAAACACGCTCACTGGCACGGTAGGAGTCCTGCACCTAAGAAGACCTGTAACCCGGCAGCTGCTGCTTCTCACAGTCTGATTTACCCTGGCAGCTATGCAGGTAGCAGCAGGCAACTCTGTCTCAGGCTCCCCAGGGGAAAATGAGACCCAAGGTAAAGATGGCTCAGCGGGAGACAGCAGGCAGCACCTGCCCTGGCTTCCCTGGAAGGCCAATCCACGCCATGCTGGCCACACCTGTCCCAGCGTGTTCCTCCATGAATATCATTATTGTGTGGGTCCCCCAGAAGCATGCTGGGGACAGAACACTTCTGGATGCATCCTGGAGTCTACGGTGGTTCAGGTGGGTGGGGCCCCCTACAATGACCCAGGGAATAGGGACATTTTACTAGTTCCCCAAGACCTCTTTATCCACCGTACACAACTGTTTCCACCTTTAGAGCACCTCTCCATCCCACCAAGAACACAGGGTGGTTGGGGCAGTGCCGAAGGACAGACAGCTGCTGCCACATCCCAGCTGGGCCCCTGAGTCTTGCTCAGCCCAAGATGGTGAGAAGAGCAGTTACCTGATGTGCCTGCGGAGAAGTTCTTGAGTGAGGGCCTCTGGACCACGGTGTAGGACTCGCCAACCACGAACACCTTGTACAGGACGGCGTTGTGGTTGATGAAATTCTGGACCACGCAGGGTGGCTGGATGGCGTTCAGGCCCTCCTGGTTGAACACGATAGCCATCTGGGAAGACAAGGGGTCAAAAGCTCTGTCAGAATCCACCACCTTCTCAGCCTCCAACACACAGGTGTGTCACCTGTCCAGAGCACCTCCACCAAGGCCCATCCCTGGTCCTGTGGCATGAGGACTCCCCTAGAGGAGCCTTGAGCCAGGGTGAGTGGAGTGGGACTTGTGAAGAACACCTGGGGATGCATCCCTTCTGCCACGGGGTTGGAGATCCTCCCTTCACCGGGCCTGCCATGTGAGATCGAGCTGGCTGTGCACTGCACAACTTCTGAGAGCGTGACACCACTTGTCGCACTGTGGTCCAGGGAAGGGGGCCGCTGAGGTTGTGTGCTGCTCAACCCTCTGACATCCTAAAGGATCCTCCACAAAGACCCGGGAGGAGGAAGGAAGCAGATGACTCGGGCGCAGGAGTCAGGAGGCCTTGGGTCAAAGCCTGTCTGATGACAACGGCTGCCTCTTGTCAAGCAGTTGTGACAAGCCGGGCCCTGTTCTGAGCACGTACACCAGTTACCTAGTGTCTCCCTCACAATGCACATCTGAGGTGAGCATACAACCTTTCACAGATGAGGACGATGAGGCGCTGAGAGGTTCAGTGACTGCTGGACAGTGAGTGAGCCCGGGATGGAACTGGGTCTGCACAGCACCCAGCCGCGCCCCTACACACGGAGCCATGTGATACTCCGCAAACAACAGGCCTTTGTGCTCCTGGTCCCCGACTCCTCTGGGGAAAAAGGTCCCTGACAGGAGGATCTGGTAGGGGCTGGGGTAGGGAGTGCAGGGGGGCAGCTGCCAAAACCCTCTCAGCCCCGGCCAGCACGGGCTCTGCACAGGGTCTGCTCTAAGGACAGAGGGGTGGGCCCTAGGCCTAGCCGATCCAGCTGCTGGTGCCAGGGTCATGGCTAATCCCTCAGCCCGCAGGGCCCCAGGAAGGAGCCACCAGACGGCTGGGGCTGCTGAGCAGGGATAATGGGCCCCGGAGAGCTGGCTGCCTCCCCAGCTGCCACCCCTTGTGTCAGCTGTCACGGAGCGCCGGCCCTACGTGCCTGGAGCTCAGCTGGGCAGGACAGACGTGGAAATCCAGGCCACATGGGAAAAACAAAAAGTGTGTGTCTGTGCTGGGGGCGTTGGGGGGCAGTGAACATCTCCTCAGCCTTCTGACAAGAATAAAGGACAGGAAAAACACGAGCAGCTCTGGAGTCAGGCAGGGGCTGGAATGCCTGCTGAGCACTTGCTGTGTGAGCCGAGGCTGGGCCCCCACCCTGCTTAAGCGCCACTGTCTTCCTCTGCAAAATCATGGGTGGCTTCAGGGATGCTTTGAGCTTTTGGCTAAGTTATAGCTTAAAAAAAAAAAAAGATTCCACTGTGGAGCAAATGAGTACCCTCACACTGGCTCAAAAACAAAACAAAAACCCAAATAAAAGAGTTCTGAGAACATAAAATGAAGACAGAGTGGTTTAGCAGAAATGGTCCTGGTTTTGGTTGAGTCTCGGGCTGGGAGATTCAGAGGCCGGGAGTGCGCGGGCTGGGATGCAGACGAGGACTCCCGATCAGAAGCACCTGCTGCCCTATCTAAAGCCAGCCATGCACAGTGCTATTTTCTGCCCCTGCTGTACTTGGCTTCCCCGGGTACCCCTGGAATCTGTGAGAAGCTTGTCCCCCAACCTCTGCCGATCTGGTGGACAGTGTCCACCCCAGAGGGCACGTCCCTGCAATGCTAACATGCCCCGTCTGCACAGAGAGTCCGCTGGGGTCTCTGAGTACATGGGACGTGGTGGCACACCTTGCCGGCAGTGGACCCAGACAGCCGGCTGGGGAGTAGAGGGAGGGGCACCTGTACAAACATCCTGGAGCCAGGCGGCTAGAATGAGGAGTGATTTATAGCTTCCCCTGAGCGTGCTGACCCCATACTTGAGGGCTGAGAGTCCCGAGGCCCATCAGGGGCATCCTGAGAGGGGTGCACCTGGATCCAGAACCCCCATCCCCTTCAGCAAGTACCGGGCAAGTACCAGGGCAGCTGGTTCCGGCAGCTCATCCAACAGTCCACCCAGGCAACCCTGGCAGTGACCCCTCATCCTTCACAGAAGCCGCTAACGTCTCCAGTCACAAATGTGATACTCTGGGTGGCTGGGTAATTTGCCAAAGTCGCACAAATGGCAACACACGGCACCAGAATCAGTCCCAGGTCTCTGGGATTCCACAGCCCCGGCCCTCAGGCCTTGAGTGACTCGCAGAAGTGGCTCCCTCCTCCCGGGCTGCCAGGTTCTGAGTTAGGCGGATCTACTCACGTTAATAACTACGCTCGTGCTTCCATCTGGGAACACCCAAGCAACTCACACACAGAGGAACCACTGGGTGGTTAAAGGGGCTGGTGGAAGGCGGGCAGGCAGATACTGGGGCTGAGGGGGGCCTGGGGACCAACGCTGCTGCTCTCGAGCCTTCCTGCTCCCTCCCTGGCCTGGTACATCCTGGAGGGTGCTGCCAGCACCAGGCACAGAGCCCAGGTAGGCTGCGGCAGGAGGGCCAACACCCACAGGAAGACTACGTGAGGGCTCCTGATTTCAGACAACTGACAACGGGACGGCGGGCTGTCTCCACACTCCTTCCCATCACAGCATGTGCTGCGCTACGCTGACACTGTCTGCTGATACTTCCCCGGAAGTGCAGGCCAGGGATAAAGAGCAGTACATAACCCAGGAAAGGCCCATGCTGCTGCATCTTCCCCTTTTAGTCGTGAGCTCTGGGGAGCATTTCTGTTGGTGGGGCTTTCCAAGGACAAGCCTTCCCCAGAGAGCCCACTCCGGTCAGATGCCTGTTGCCCAGCATACCCCAACATGTGCCCACTGGGGAGACCCCAGGCAGTGCTGTGTCCAGGGCAAAGACAAGGCCCCAGGTGTGGCTCCTGAGGGTGGTACGGGCCCTGGCCCCAGCGAAGCCCCTGCATGACCATCCACTCCTCTAGCCCCTGGAGTCCTCACAGGCTCCTTGGCTCTCTCTAGGGACAGGACTCACATCCTATGCATCTGTCTCCTGGTCTCCATGGTCCTCAAGGTGGCCGGGAACATCATAGAGTGAATAAAAGAATGAATGGGCGGGTGGGTGACTCATGATTCAAAGCATTCCACAGGGTTGATTCTAAGCAGCCCTCTTTTCCTCCCTGGCCCGTCTCAATTCAGCAGCATGGCAGACCCCTGTGGCAGTGACAGAGCCTTGTCAGAGCTAACAGCCCTCATGTGGGCCCAGCCCGGTGCCTGCCACAAAACAGGCCCTCGAAGAGATGACACTGATGGCCCAAAGGATAGCCAGCCCTGCAGGGCGGGCCGGACTGAGGCATGACTCGCACAAGCTCCCCTATGGACTGAACGTGTGCCCCAGAATTCCTACGCTGAAGCCCATGCCCCACTGTGGTGGTATCTGGAGGTGGGGCCTTTGGGAGGTCTTGAGGGCAGGGCCCTCAAGATGGGATTAGTGCCCCTATCAGAAGAAATCAGAGAGCTTGCTCTTGCTTTCTGCCCCTCCCCATTCACACACACAAGAGGCCGTGTGAGGACACAGTGAGAAGGTGGCCATTTGCAAGGTAGGAAGAGAGCCCTCACCAGAAACTGACCCTGCTGGCACCTTGACCTGGGACTTTTAGCCTCCGGGGCTGTGAGAAAATAAATGTGGCGAAGCCACCCAGTGCCTGGGGTTTGTTATGGCTGCCACAGCTACGACAGGCTCCACAGAGGACAGGTGGGTCCCCAGCACATCCTCCTGCCTTAGGGACAGGACAGGCATTGAGGTGAGGTTGCAGACAGTGCATGAAGCCACAGCACTCCCGCTCGATTCCTCTGGAGTCCAGGGAAGGGAAGGAGGCTATCTACCAAGGAGCCAGGACTAACAGCAGGGCAGGAGCAGTGGCAGTGAGGAATCCGGCAGGGTAGCAGTGAGACACGATGAGCTGAAAGGATGGGGGTCAGGGACAACAGTCAGATCTTCTTCCACTCACCTCGTGAGAGTTGGTGCCATGAGCCACTCTGGTTTTGCAAACTATGGGTTGGGGAGAGAAAAGCAGAGAGAAATTAGTGAGGCCGTTCACCCACAAGGCAGGTACTTGGCACGTCTAGAAAGGAACTCTAGCTGAGACACAGACTCTGGACACCTGGTATCTGCACTGAGGGTGACGTGTGGGTAGACACCCCCAGGCCAGGCAGGAGAGCACGTTGACCTGTGTCCCCTACCAGGACCCGTTTCTATGGTGTGGGTGGAGGTGGGACCCAGGGCCATGTGCTCATCCATCCTCGGGTGAGCTTAAATCCAGAGGGCACTATAAACCCAGCCCCTCCCCTATGCTGGCCTGCGGTCTACAGCGCCTGCCCTCAGGTGGAGCTGGGATGGTACGCACTGAATGGGAAAGTCAAGCCGTTCTTCTCCAGCAGCCGCATGGTGTCATCCCCGCACAGGCTCGTGAGCTCCATGAAGGGTGGCGAGCAGATCCTGTCGTCTAGGGCAGAAGGGAGGCCTGGTCAGCACAGCTCCTGGGCAGCCGCCCCAGGTGCACGTCCTGTGACAGCCCGCCCCACCCCAGGGGCCTTCAGTGCCCCCACGCTCCTGGATCTGACCGTCCCCAACCTCTGCAGTCCCATGTGCTCGTGTGTGTGAACAATAACCACAGCCCTGCCGTTACATTGTCTAATAACATTTCTGTAATTACAAAACTCGTGTATGATCACTGTGTAAAATCCGAAGAGTACAGAAAAGTAAAAAATGTACATATTGACAAGACATTACAACTACTACCCCACCACTGTGGACTTTTACCCACGCGTACATTTACACGCAGAGAGCTGTACAAATTTTGTAACCTGAATCCTAACTTCATAAGCCATGACCATTTTTTCTGGTTCAATAAAGACTTTCCCACCATGTGATACACTGGCTTAATAATAATCGCAGTGACAATATAGCTCTTAGCATGCGTCTGGCGCTGTACCGAGGGCTTTGCCGGCATCACCTCCACAGTTTGCAAAATAATCCCATGAGGAGGAAACTGGGGTCAGAGAGATTAAAGAACTAGCTGGTGGTGACACAACTGTTTCCACATGGACACTGCCTGACCCCTCACCTGCAGACTACTTAACATAATTGAGGGCATTGTGTGGAGCTCCAGAGGTGGCCTCCCCACCACGCTCACTGCATCTCTGCTGCATGCTCCAGCCCAGGCCGCGCCTGGTCCCCCTGCCAATTCCTCCTCGCCCTTCACAGCTTGGCATTCCTGGGCCCCTCTCCAGGCCCACCCAGTGGATTCTAAGAGTGAGTCCAACTTCCTAAAACCCTCAAAAGCTGACCTGTTCTGTTCATCCTGACTCGTGCCTGGCACCGAGCAGGGGTAAACTGATTTTTTGTGGGATAACAAAATGTATTTGGAATCTCTCTGCTGATGATGAAATTACTGGTTTGTTATTATTGTTTCTTGTCATTGTCCCCCTTCCCTGATAAGACCACAAAGGTGGGACCACCCTGTACTTCAGGGCACAGGGGCCAGGAAAGGCTGAGTGTGAGCGGGGCGGGGGCGGTCTGCCACCCACAGGCTTGGAAACCAAACCAAAAGTAAACAGAGCAAAGCAGACTGTCTCGAGCTGCTAGCTACTTGGCTGGCTAGGAGGTCAGGACATTAAATCAAGGTAGATCCAGCCTCATTTATGTCATAAAAACAAATGCCAAGAATTACACAGGGCATATAAAATTGCTTTTATCTCCCTCCTCATCCTCATTCCCCCGTTCCCCGACTCCTACCCTCACAGTCTAAACTCCAAACAGAAAGATTTGGGGGGTTGCAGTTTCTCTGGGGCACTGGGAGGGTGGTCTGGAGCCAGTGTTTCCTGAGCCCCTGGCAGACAGTGTTGCAGGCCCTCTGCACAGAGGCCTGTTCAATCCCAAGCGGTCCCTGACAGTGTCCAGAAACAGGCCCCAAGGTCATACAGTGGTCAACGGCAGAGCCAGGACAAGGAGCCAGGCTCACCTGGCAGCACAGGAGAGGGGAAGTCAGGAAAGTCAGGGTGGGGAGGGAGGGGAGCTGGTGCTCAGCTGAAAGCCATTTTCCAAACAAGGCCCCAGGCAGGGCGGGAATGCTGTGAGGGCTGGCAGGCCCTCCATGGCTGTCAAGGGAGGAAGCAGTCTGAGCAAAAGCCTCCTCGCTGCAAACACACCGCCCCTGCAACCCAGTCCCAAAGGATATGGTGCTCAGGCCTGAATTTAAACTGGAGGGTTCTGCCATAGGCAGGCTTCGGACGGGCGCTCACCAGCCTGGGCTCCACCCTTGGCCCCTCCTCCCACAGGAAGATTTGGAGGCTGCTGGGGTCAAACAGGCCACCTCCTGGAAGAGCTTCCAGACTCCCTGTGGCCCCCCGGAGTTTTTAGAGCAGGTGAATCAGCTTGGCTTTCAGATTTCAATGCCCTCCTCAACTGTCCCTCCCCACCCTGGCCCATCCAAGCTTTTACATAATGTCACTAGTGGCCAGTAGCCAATGTCTCAAAACACTGCATGTGTTCCATGCCAGAAACTGTTCAACGTAGTTACACAGTAACTCATTTACCCTCATAAGAACCCCACAAGGAAGCACTCCTGTCCCCTGAGAATTTTACAGATGAGGAAACTAGGGCACAGAGGTGGCATTTCCCTGCATAGAGTTCCATGGTGAGCCAGTGGTACAGCCAGGAGGTCATACCCAGACCATCTGACTCCCAGGCCCCTGCTGTTGACTACAGCCTCCCTCGCAGAAAAAGTGCCCATGGAGCTCCCTGGCTCAGGGGGTTCCTGACAGCATGCTACTCTGCTCTGTGGCAAACCTCATAACAATAGCAGTGTCAACACACAGAATCAACCAAGGCAATACACCATATCAATAGAGGACAAAAACCACATGATCATCTCAATGGATGCAGAAAAAGCATTTGAAAAAATCTAAAACCCTTTCATGGCAAGAACACTCCACAAACTAGGAAAATAAGGGAGCTTCTTCAACCTTCTAGAAAAACCCAGACTCCCCAGTGAAAGACTAGACACTTCCCCTAAGACCAGGAACAAGATAAGGAGGTCTGCTCTTGCCACTTCTATTTAACACTGTACTGGAGGTTCTAGCCACGGCCATTAGGCAAGAAAAATGAAACAGCATACAGAGTGGAAGGGAAGAAGTGAAACCATCTCTACTTGCAGATAATAGGATCTTATACATAGAAAATCCCAAGGAATGCACATATTTAAAAAACCTCCAAAACTATTAGAGCTAATAAATGAGTTTAGCAAGGTTGCAGGATACAAGATCAATATATGATAAGCAACTGTACTTTTTTAATTTTTAAAAATTATATTTATGGGTCTGGCATGGTGGCTCACGCCTGTAATCCCAGCACTTTGGGAGGCCAAAGCAGGCGGATCACCTGAGGTTGGGAGTTCAAGACCAGCCTGATCAACATGGAGAAAACCCGTCTCTACTAAAAATACAAAATTAGCCAGGCGTGGTGGTGCACGCCTGTAATCCCAGCTACTCAGGAGGCCGAGGCAGGAGAATCGCTTGAATGCAGGAGGTGGAGGTTGACGTGAGCCAAGATCGCGCCATTGCATTCCAGCCTGGGCAACAAGAGCGAAACTCCATATCAAAAAAAGAGAAAATTATGTATGTGTATTTTAGACAGGGTCTCACTCAGTTGCCTAAGCTAGAGTGCAGTGGCACGATCACAGCTCACTGTAGCCTCAAACTCCCAGGCTCAAGGGATCTTCCCCGCTCAGCCTTCTGAGTAACTGCACCACCATACCCAACTAATTGGTAGAGATGGGGGTCTCACTATGTTGCCCAGACTTGTCTCAAACTCCTTGGCTCAAGTGATTGTCCCGCCTCAGCCTCCCAAAGTGCTGGGATTACAGGTGTGAGCTACCATGCCTGGCCTCAACTGTATTTCTATACCCCAGCAATGAACAATCCAAACATGAAATTAAGAAAACAATTCCATTTATAAAAGCATCAAAAAGAAATAAATTTAAAAAATAAGTGTAAGACTTAAACACTGAAAACTGCAAAATACCATTGAAAGAAATTAAAGAAGACTTCAATAAATGGAAAGACACACAAGGCTCATTAATAGGAGATTTAATATTGTTAAGTGGGCAATACTCCCAAATTGATCTATAGACTCAATATGATAGCCATCAAAACTACAGCTTTTTCTTTGCAGGAAATGACAAGCTGGTCCTAAAATTCCTATGAAAATGCAAGAGACTCAGGACCACTAAAATATCTGGAAAAAGAAAAACAAAGTTGGAGGACTCACACTTCCTCAATACGAAACTTACTACAAAGCTACAGTAATTGAGGCAATGTGGTACCAGCCTAAGGACAGACATACAGATCAATGGAATAGAACAGAGAATCTGGAAATAAACTTGTGCATCTATGCTCAACTGATTTTCTACAAGGGTGCCAAGACAATTCAAGGGGCGGAAAGAATATTCGTTTCAACAAATGGTGCTTGGACAACTGGATATTCACATGCAAAAGAATGAAGATGGAACCCTACTTCACATCGTATACAAAATTAATTCAAAACTGATCATGATCTCATTATAACAGCTAGAACTACAAAACTTTAAAAGAAAACATAGATGTGAACCTTCATGACCGTGCATTAGGCAATGGCTTCTTAGACAGGACACTAAAAGCAAAAGCAACCCAAGGAAAAATAGAATTGGGCATCATCAAAATTTAAAATGTTTTGCTTCAAAGAGCACTATAAAGAAAACATAAAGACAACCCACAGAATGGGGGAAATATTTGCAAATCATGAGAAGCGTCTAGTATCCGAAATATATAAAACACTATCAACAACTGAACAATTAAAAAGATATCTCTATTTAAAAATGGGCAAAGGATTTGAATAGAAAGTTCTCAAAACAAGACATATAAATGGCCAATAAGCACCTTATTAGCCATCGGGGAAATGCAAATCAAAACCACAATGAGACACCACTTTACACCTACCAGGATGACTATAATAAAAGAGACCAAAAATAACAAGTGTTGCTGAGGGTATGGAAAAAATTCCAACCCTCATACATTGCTGGTGGGAATAGAGAAATGGTACAGAAGCTTGGGAAACAGTCTGGCAGTTTTTCAAACAGTTAAACAGAGTGACCATATGATCCAGCAATTCCACTTCTTATACCCAAGAGAATGGAAACATATGTCCGCATAAAATCCTAAAAATGGTTCACAGCAGCATTACTCATCATAGTCCAAATGGGGCAACAATCCAGAAGTCCATCAACTGCAGAAGGAATAAACAAAATGTGACCTACCCATACAATGGAATATTATTCAGCCATGAAAAGGAACAAAGTATTGAGACATGCTACAACATGGAAGAACCATAAAAACACTGGGCTAAGTGGAAGAAGCCAGACACAGAAGACCACATACTGTAAGATTCCATTTATCTGAAATGTCCAGAACACGCACATCCATGGAGACAAAAAAAGAGATTAATGGTTGACAGGAGCTGGGGAAGGAAGGAACTGGGAGGGACTGCAAATGGGTACATTCCTTTGGGGGTGATGAAAATGTTCTAGAATTAGTAGTGATGACCGCACAATTTTGTGAATATAATCAAAACTACAGAACTAGATGTACACTTAAAAAAGGTAAATTTGGCTGGGCATGGTGGCTCACAACTGTAATCCCAGCACTTTGGGAGGCCGAGGTGGGCCGATCACCTGAAGTCAGGAGTTTGAGACCAGCCTGGCCAACATGGTGAAACCCTGTCTCTACTAAAAATACAAGAATTAGCTGGGTGTGGTGGCACATGTCTGTAATCCCAGCGACTCGGGGAGGCTGAGGAAGGAGAATCCTTTGAACCCGGGAGGCGGAGGTTGCAGTGAGCCAAGATCGCGTCACTGCACTCCAGCCTGGTAACAGAGCGAGACTCTGTCTCAAAAAAAAAATAGAAAGGTAAATGTATGATACATAAATTGTATCAATACATTAAGGGGAAAAAAAACCTAGTAGCAGTAGCTGTCATCCAGAGTGCTTGCCCTCTGCAGGACACTGGGCTAAGTAAATGCTTCACAACCACGGTCTCCTCCAGTCCTCCCTACACACGCATTGAGTCTTGTTCCTCATCCCCACTGGGTCTGAGGTGAAGTCAGAGAAGGAACAAGGGGAGCCCATCTTCCTCCAGAGATGTCTGGAGTCCAGACGAAATGCAAGAACAAGACATTTTCAAAGAATGGGCCACATCCAGCATCAGGCCAGACACCCCCACCCTTCTGAAATCCCAGGCTCTGTTAAGACAGCAGCCTAGGTGGGAGCAGGAATTGGGTGGCCAGGAAAGGTCTGCACGGTCATTCTTGTTCATTCGTCCCAGGCTGGAGCTTGCTGACCACACTCTGAGCGGCAGACACACCGGCTGCCTGGACCACTCCTGCTCTGGCGTGGGGTGGGGACTCAACTGAGACTCGCCCAGCCACACTGCTAGGATGAGCTCGTATTCCAAGCTTGGGCACCAGCCTTTGCTGAAGGCAGTCTTGAGCCCACAGAGCACATGCTGGGAAGGACCCCATCTCTCAGTGGACACAGACTGTTTTGCATCCCGAGCTGCCCCCGCTCGGGTTGCTGGGCATGACAGGCTGCTATGTCTGCACCGCTTGAGTCAGTTTCTGGTAGCCAAAAGCATCCCGACACACCCATGAAGTGAGAGTAAATAAGAAACGTAGAGTACTACTGTTCCAATAACCATTCACCAACAGAAAAACATGTTGAGCCTCTACTAGATGCCAGGAGCTAACAATATAGTAATAAATAAAACAGAGGCATCCCTGTCCTCGAGGAGCTTACATTCTAGTGGAAGGGACCCAGACAATAATCCAGAGAGATAAATGAAATGTATAGCTGGCCGGAGCTGGCAGGGAAACATTAACCACAAAATGGGGGTGCCGGCAGAGGTGGGGTATGCGATTTGAACAACATGGTGAGGGGCACCTTCCAAAGACTGGGGGGGTGGGGAGGCGCCAACGAGGCACAGGGAACAGCCGGTGCAAAGGCCCAACCTGCTGCTCTTAGGATGTATGAACTGGACCCAACCTGAGAACGCTCCAGCTGAGTGGGAGGCTGGGAAGGAACCAGGCCCAGCTGTCTTCACTGGCAGGTGGCGCCCAGGTGCACCCCCACCATCTCAGTACCAGCAGACAAGCCCCTTCTGCCTGCCTGAGGGACAGCGACAGCAGGGGTTCCTCCCTCTCGATCACGAGAAGCTCGCAGTGGTGGCGCCAGCAGCTCTTCTCCCAGAATAGAGACAGAATGAAGACTTGGGAAGTCAGAGCGGGGAGCCCGGGAGGCTATTTCTGGTTCCCTGAAAAAGGCGACTGTTGCTTATTTCTCTGCCATCCTTATTTTTGGATGGGAGGTGGAATGAGGCTTTCTTTGGTTGGATGGTGGGTTGTGTTCTTTTGAGAGCGAATATCAGCCCCTGGGAAACGGAAATGCTCCCGTCTTCCCTCTCTGCCTTTCCAAATCAGACACCATGAAGCGGGAGGGCACGTGGAGATGGGCAAGTCCCAGCCACAGGCTTCCACAAGTCCAGAAAGGGGAAGGAACTAGTTCAAGGCCACACGAGTTACCAGCAGAGCCAGAAAAAGGCTGGCCTCCCGCGTCACACCTCATTACCCATCCACTCCACCAGGTGACCTTTCCCTCATCCGACCGGTAGCAGCTACAGAACTTACAAGAAAACAAAAGTTCAGTGACAAACAGGTGGACCCGAGAGGACAACAGGGGTGGAGGGAGGAGGAAATGAGCACCTGAAGGGGCAGTTTTGAAGCCAGCCAGCCCGACGCTGGACCTGGGGCAAACTTCCACTAGCTGAAACCTTGGGCACACGACTTAACTCTGCTGAGCCTTGCTTTCCTCTCTATAAAATGGGAGTGTTGCTTCCCTAGAGAGCTGCTGGGAGGCCTGGCACACGACAGGCACCCAGCGGGGGATGCCCTCAGGGGAGGAGGCAGGTGTCAAACAGTGGTTACTGGTCCACATCCCAGGGCGCCCCTGCACGTGGGAGACCCCAGCTATGTGTGCCTCCGACACCGGCTCTTAGAGCTGCGCTCAGTCCTGCTTCCTGGGCCACTCCCGGTTCCTAGGGGCCCATATTATATGGCAGGAAACTGGGGCAAGAGGGGCCCCATTGTGTTGCTGATAGAGCAGGGCACTGGGGACAGGATCAGCAGGATCTAAGTTCTCGCAGCATCATTTTTTTTTTTTTTTGAGACGGAGTCTCGCTCTGTCGCCCAGGCTGGAGTGCAGTGGCGCGATCTCTGCTCACTGCAAGCTCTGCCTTCCAGGTTCACAACATTCTGCCTCAGCCTCCCAAGTAGCTGGGACTACAGGTACCCACCACCATGTCTGGCTAATTTTTTCATATTTTTTTAGTAGAGATGGGGTTTCACCGTGTTAGCCAGGATGGTCTCGATCTCCTGACCCCGTGATCCGCCCGCCTCGGCCTCCCAAAGTGCTGGGATTACAGGCATGAGCCACCGGGCCAGCCTTACAGCATCTTTTGAAAGTGGGGGTTGGAGTGAAACCCACCCCCGGACTTCTCAGGCCCCAGGGCAGCTATCTCAGCCCCACACGCCCTTTCTTTCCCCTCCCAGCACCAACCCATGGCCTGGAAGACTCCTGCTTATCCTCCAACATGGGTCAGGCACCCTCTTCCTGCTCACCTGGGAGCAGCCCCCTTGCTGTGCCACCCAAGGGCCCCACGCTGCTCATCTTGGCCAACTAATGAAGCATCCACCTCCCCCACCCGACTGGGCACTCTGCAGGATCCACAGAGGACCTGGGCTGTCTGGGTTTTAATCCTGGCTCCATCTTATATCAGCCGTATGACCCTGGCCAAGAAATTTTGCTTTGTTTTGTCTCAGTTACCTCACTATGCCTCAGTTTCCTTGCTGTAAAATGAGGACTAGAACAGCATCTGGTTCAGAGGGCTACTACCCCTCCCCCACTCATCGTCGTGGTCCCACTGCCCTCACTCAGAGGTGGCCAGCATCCAGCAGATGCTGAGGATGGGCCTCATGTTTAAACCCTGGCACTAGCAGGTGTGCATGAAAAACTCGCCGTACTATTGTCGTCATCACCTGGACCGTCATACGCAAGGTCTGCTGGGGAGGGTCCAAGAAGTAGGTCAAATGTCAGTAACACGCCAAGGAACAGGGGCACCCAGCACTGATGCCACAATGCCCAGGGCCAGGGAAGCCAGGGACACTGCAGGGAGGAAGCTGTCATGGCAGGGAAAGCCCAGGAAGCAAAAGGAGGGCCAGCCCAGTTGCCATGACTGGGACCGCCAATGCTCTGATCTGATATCTGTAAACTAGGCCAGTGATGCCGCCCACCTCCCGGGGTGGTTGCAGGGACGCGGTGAGGCCACGCCCATGAGGGGCATTCGGAATGACTGAGAATCGTATTGTCCAGCCCTGTTTCCATGGATGCCCACCCTCCTCGGGGTGCCTGGTACCCACCAGCACAGCACCCCCAGCCTGCTCTGGCCTGCCCTCCTGGGACACTGATGGAACAAGGGCTGTGGCCCAGCACCGCGACCTCTTCCCAGCTCCTGGAATCGATGTTCCTGAAGTCTGTTAATCCAGGAAGCCCCTTGTTGGTCCCCTCACTCCATAATCATCATCTCCACACACAAGATCCTCTGCCCACAAACCACCGTCCTACAGCTCTCACCTGTACTGAGACAGCTCCCAGCAAGGCGTCCATGCCCCGCGAGTGAAGCCCACAGCCTTTCCAGGCCTCCGCAGCCTGACTCTGTACCTTCCTGTGATGGGCTGAGCGCTGTTTCCAAGTTGATATTGAAGCCCCAATCCCCATGCCTGAGAACGGGACTGCACTGGGAGATAGGGTCTTTAAAGAGGTAAAATGAAGTCAGTAGAGTGGGTCCTAATCCAATAGGACTGGTGTCCTTATAAGGAGATTAGGACGCAGACACACACAGGGGAAGACCATGTGCAGACGTGGGGAGATGAGGGCCATCCGCAGGCCAAGGAGGGAGGCCTCAGAAGAAGCTAACTCTGCCAACACTAAGATCTGAGACTTCTGCCTCCAGAACTGGGAGGCAGTGCATTGCTGTTGTTTAAATGCAGCACTGTCATGCAGCCCACGCAAATGAATATACTTCCCAACTCTTTTGTTTGTTTGTTTATTTGTTTTTCTGAGACAGAGTCTCACTCTGTCACCCAGGTTGGAGTGCAGAGGCATCGTGATCTCAGCTCACTGCAACCTCCCCCTCCCGGTTCAAGCAATTCTCCTGCCTCAGCCTCCCAAGTAGCTGGGATTACAGGAACACGCCACCATGCCTGGCTAATTTTTTTGTCTTTAGTAGAGACGGGGTTTTGCCATGTTGGCCAGGCTGGTCTTGAACTCCGGACCTCAAGTGATCTGCCCGCCTCGGCCTCCAAAAGTGTTGGGATTACAGGCATGAGCCACCGCGCCCAACTCTTCTCTGACCGCACAACCCAAGATCGTTCCCAGCCAAACCCTTGTGCCAGGTGGATATACTGTCCCCACTATATCTCTGGGATGGTCCCCGTTCCATGCCTCACTTGGCAACACCTGCTCTTCCAAGCATCACAGAATCCCAGCTGTTCTGCAGAGCCCCCAAGAACACGCTGTCCCATGCTGCTGCCTCGAGTGGCATTCACCCTGCAACTCCTACCCACAGTCACGTCTTTCTAGTACTTTTTCTGGCACTGCTACCGAGTTTTGTTGTTTACCTCTTGTACGCTATTAAATTTTCATATATGGGTTCTGATTCAGTAACTAGGCAGTATGTTCCTTGGGGACAGGAGAAGGCAGGCCTCAGTAAGAACCATCTCTCTGGCACATGTGCACGTGTGAAGATAAGTTGATGGATGGGATAAGTGAGCCGTAAGCACTGGAAACAAAAGGAGGAGGGAAGCCCAGTGTTGGCACAGCCTGCAAAGGAAGGAGGAGGGGCCTGCAATCTCCCGCCTGGCCACCCTGTGGCGCTGTGGGTCTGGAACAGCCTTGAAGATGGCTGTGGCAGGACTGGAAAGAGCCTGGCCGGCCCATCTGTAAGTTCAAGTGCTCTGGACTCATTCAGGCCCTGGACTCATCCAAAGTCACCTTCCCTCTGTGGTTATGCAGTTAAGGGGCGGGAGTCACATGCTCTTGAATTCTAGACAGGGAAGATGTTCTGTGCATCCGGGTGAACCAAGTTCCAGCCTGACAGCAGCTCTGGAAACAACCCAAATGGCTTTTTGGCCAGCGATGACGATGGCAGCCACCCAGTAACACCCACAGTCAACTCACAGGCACGTGGGTGGGAGGGCCGCACAGGCCTGAGCCAGGAGGGGGATGCCAGGAAGGGCCCGGGTGAGAGGCCCCGGGATGCAAGCGACAGAGAGACAGAGGTGGTCCCAATCTGAAGGGACTTAGAGCCAGAAGAGAGGGGCTGGATGCACCCTCACCACCACAGCACAAGGTCCTGTCCACGTGGCCTGGCTGGAGGGCTCCAGGCATTCCATCCTAGAAAGCCATGTGCCTTGCCCGCAGGCAGGGCCCCTCCATGCCCCTCTGGGGTGCCTGACTGCCTAGGCCCCCACCCTGCCCTCCTGCAGATTGGCAGAGCACCAGATCCCTCTGGCTATGCTGAGGAGCTGCCCTTGCCCTGTGCCTCCAGGGTACATCCCTAACACCTCCGAACTGTCCCTCTCGCTTAGGATGAGTGACTCATCTCTCCCTGAAGTTGGGGGCCCCTGGAGGGTGGGGCCCCTGCAGGGGCTGGCACTGAGCAGGGCTGGATTTGTAGGGGATTTGGGCGCTTCCGAAAGGATGGAAACAATTGGATGGCAGTGACATCATCGTGTGTTAAAGGTCTATGAACAGTCCTGGATGAGATAAAACTGGAATGACATGTTGTGTTTTGTTTGTGAAGACATTAAAAGTTCCAGATCCTGAAGCTGGCATGCCCTGGGGATGCAGGACAAACAGCCTGGCTCCTGGAAGCCACCTGAAAATCTATGACAGCCCTGCCTGGCTCCTAGGAGCAGTGGACCCTCAGCCTCGCAGCCCCTTGTAGCTAATGCAGCAACCTCAAGGGCCTTGGGCAGGCCAGGCATGTGCAGCGATGCATACATGTAGGACACAGAGCTACGAGCCCAGGTTCCAATCCAAGGTGCACAGTCTCAGGAGCTCCCCAGGAGCTAGCATCTCTCATGGGCATCGGGCGTAAGGACACAGTGGCCCTCTCAGGTGCCCTCGTGGGACAAGGGAGGAGAGAAGGCACTTCCCGTGCTGCTTAGGCACTGAGGAACTCAGAGCTGAAGGCACTCAAGGCCAATGGCAAAAGGCCCATGGGGCCTGGGTCACTGAAAGGCAGCCTGGAGTGAGTCTTCCCCAGCAGGACTGGGTGCTGCCCAGCCGTCCGGTTCACTGAGGAAAGGAAGGGTCACATGAGGACTGTGGTCACAGGAGGAGCGGGGGTGTGAGAGAAGGCCAGGCCCTTGCCACATGGACTAAGCAGTGACTTCACAGCTTCAGGGCACAGGGGCTAGGGCAGGACTGTGTCTCCTCCCTTGGACCCACCATGAGGAGAGGGTAGGGAAGTGGCATCTCCTGAGTGTTGGCATGCCTCATGCTGTTGCGAGGGGGCAAGGGAGAACTCGGGAGGTGTGACCTGTAAAGCCCAGCCTAAGGCTGAGCCGCTGCTCCATGCTCCCCAACGGCTCCCATGGCCTTCGGAATCAGGTCCAGACTCCTTGCCAGCCTTGAAGTCCTCCATGGCCAAGGGCCTGCCTATGCCTCCCTCCTCCCAAGCTCTGGGCAAAATGAGCCTTGCTCGGTTTCTCAATCAAGCTCCGCCACAGGGTGCAGGCTCAGTGCCCCAGGCAGTGCCCCTGACCCAGTACCCAGTTCCTCCGACATTAAGGCTTCTTGGGTGCCCCTGCCCCAGTACGCAGTTCCTTCCTCCCTGATGGAGGCAGATGAGGCAGGAGGCTCGGTGGGAGCAGGGACTATGCCTGCCTTGCTCATCTCTGTGTGCCTGGGACCTGCCCTAGAGCCTAGAACACAGCAGGCCTGCCATGGTGGGACGCTTAATTCTTGTCAGCTTGACTGGGCCACAGGGTTCCCACATATTTGGTTAACATTGTTCTCCGTGTACCTGAATGAGATTAGCATTTGAATTGGTAAACTGAGTCAAGCAGACTACTTTCCCCAATGTGGGTGGAGCCTGTCCAATCAGTCAAAGGCCTGAATAGAACAAAAGGAAGGGTAAGAAAGAATTCACTCACTTGGCCTCCCTGTTCAAGCTGGGACATCAGTCTCCTGCAGTAGAACCATAAATTATAGCATCAGCTCTCCTGGTCCTCAGGCCTTTGGACTTGGACTATGATATGGTTTGGCTGTGTCCCCACCCAAATCTCATCATCCCCATGTCATGGGAGGGAGCCGGTGGGAGGTAATTGAATCATGGAGGCGGTTACTTCCATGCTGTCTCATGATAGTCAGTTCCCACAAGATCTGATGGCTTTATAAGGGGCTCCCCCCATGCTCCCCTGCTTCATTCTGCACTTCTCCTTGCTGCTGCCATGTGAAGAAGGGCATGTTTGCTTCCCCTTCCACCATGATTGTAAGTTTCCTAAGGCCTCCCTGGCCCTGCAAACTGTGAGTCAATTAAACCTCTTTCCTTTATAAATGACACAGTCTTGGGTATGTCCTTATAGCAGTGTGAGAATGACCTAATACAGACTATAACTTACACCACCAGCTCTCCTAGGTCTCAAGTCTCCAGTTAGCAGATAGCAGATTGTGGGACTTCTCAGTCTCTATTTCTTACATGCTTCTTTCCATTATGAAGTAGACCCTAAATGCTGTTCCCTTGAATGTGAACTGGCCCTAGAGCCTCACAGATAAATAGAATATGGACTCTGGAAGCAAGGCCAGAGAGGCTGTCTTTCTCGGGACACACCCCTGGGTCCCTGAGCTGCCAAGTCAGTAGTCTGGCTACTCTGTCACCATCATGCTAAACTGCCATGCAAGACTGCATGGGAGAACCACCCAGCTGAGCCCAGCCAAGCTGCAGATTCATGAGCACAAGAAACACCATTATCATTTTGGATTTCCATCTAACAGACAACCAAAATGAAGGCTCATAGAGATGACATGTGTTGGGCACTTAACACAGCATATGCAGGGCTTAATGTCAACAATAACCAGACAAGCAATGCAGTGTGCTCTGCGCCATCAACAAGCACTTGCAGGCATCAACTTGTGTCATCTTTATAGCAATGCCATAGCACGGATCACTATCACCACTCCATTTTGCATGTGAGAAGCAGAGGCCCTGAGTTGGTTGCACGTTCAAGATCAAAGCCAGCATGTGGCGGGAAAGAATACCCTTGACTGCTGGGCAAACCACTGCATAATAGCCTTTGTCACTGGTCTCCAGTCTCATCATTCCCACTTAAGAACACTGAGTCTGGAAAGAGTTAAGGAAGGCTCCTTTCCCACTTCAGGGACCAGGAAACAGAGGCACTGGGCCAGCTGTGCTTCCCAAACACTGTAGCCAGTCCCAGAAGCTGCCTGGCTGAATGCTCCATACTGTGTGAACTTGAGACGGTTACTTCACCTTTTGGTGCCTTCATTTCCTGATCTGTAAAATGGCAATAAGAGCAGTCCTGCTCATAGGATTGCTGTAAGGATCAAACAGGTTAACACACAAAGCACTTAAAACAGAAACCAGCATGCAGAAGACACCAAGTGTCAGATCCCAACATCCTGTCCATCATTATCGTCATCATCATCACTGGTATTACTATTTGAAGGTCTGCCATTTAAAACCATCCAAGATCACCTTACAGAGCCTATCACTGCTCTGCAGTCTGACATGGCCCTGGGGGAGGCAGGGGAGAAAGAAGAGTAGAGAATACTGGAGGAGTGACATGTTTGCTTCCTCCTGCCCAAAGATGGAACTCTTGACCCTTAGGCATTAAGGAAGGTGCAGCCTTCTCGTCCATCTACCTACCATGACAGAACTCGAACTCAGATCAGCAGCAAACTTCTAAGCCAGCCGACGTGGTTTGGCTCTCTGTCTGCACCCAAATCTCATGTTGAATTGTAATTCCCAGCATCGGGGGAGGACCTGGTGAAAGGTGACTAGATCATGGGGGTGGATTTCCCCCTCGCTGTTCTCATGACATGAGTGAGTTCTCTCGAGATCTGGTTGCTTAAAAGGGTGTAGCACTTCATCCTTCTTTCTCTCTGTCTTGTCACCATGTGAAGGTGTGCCTGCTTCCCTTTCACCTTCCACCATCATTGTAAGTTTCCTGAGGCCTCACCAGCCATGCCTTCTGTATAGCCTGTGGAACCGGGAGTCAACTAAAACTCTTTTCTTCATAAATTACCCAGTCACAGGTAGTTCTTTATAGCAATGTTAAGAACAAACTAATACAGAAAAATGGTACCAGAGAAGTGGGGCACTGCTATAAGGATATCTGAAAATGTGGAAGCAACTTTGGAACTAGATAACGGGCAGAGTTTGGAACAGTTTGGAGGGCTCAGAAGAAGATAGGAAGGTGAGGGAAAGTTTGGAACTTCCCAGAGACTTGTGGAATGGTTGTGACCAAAATGCTGATAGTGCTATGAACAGTGAAGTCCAGGCTGAGTAGGTCTCAGATGGAGATGAGGAACTTACTGGAAACTGGAGTAAATGACATTCTTCTTATGCTTTAGCAAAGAGACTGGCATATTGTGTCCCTGCTCTAGAGATCTGTGGAACTTTGAACTTGAGAGAGATGGTTTAGGGTATCTGGTGGAAGAAATTTCTAAGTAACAAAGCATTCAAGACGTGGACTGGCTGCTTCTAAAAGCCTATGCTCATCTGCAAAAACAAAGAAATGACCAGAAACTAGAACTTATATTTAAAAGGGAAGCAGAGCATAAAAGTGAAAAATTTGCAGGCTGACCACGTGGTAGAAAAGAAAAACCCATTTTCTGAGGAGGAACTCAAAGCTGCAGAAATTTGCATAAGAAGCCCTGAAGGCTAATAGCCAAGACAATAGGGGAAAATGCCTCCAGGGCATTTCAGAGACCTTCACAGCAGTCCCTCCCATCACAGGCCAGGAGGTCTAGAAGGGAAAAATTGTTTTGTGGGCTGGGCTCAGGGCCCTGCTGCTCCATGCAGCCTCAGGACATGGCATCCTGCATCCCAGCTGCTCCAGCTCCAGCAGTGGCTAAAAGGGGCCAAGGTACAGCTTCAGAGGGTGCAATCCCCAAGCCTTGGTGGCTTCCACATGGTGTTGGGCCTGCAGGTGTGCTGAAGGCAAGATTTTAGCCTCTGCCTAGATTTCAGAGGATGTATGGAAACACCTGGATGTCCAGACAGAAGTCTGCTGCAAGGGTGGAGCCCTCATGGAAAACCTCTGCTAGGGCAGTGCAGAGAGTAAATGTGATGTTAGAGACCCCACAGGAGCACTGCCTAGGGGAGCTGTGAGAAGAGAGCCACCATCCTCCAGATCCCAGAATGACAGATCCACCGAGAGCTTATACTGTGTCCCTGGAAAAGCTGTAGGTACTCAGTGTCAGCCCACGAAAGCAGCTGTGAGGGCTGTACCCTGCAGAGCCACAGGGGTGGAGCTGCCCAAGTCTTGTGAGCCCATCCTTTGCATCAGTGTGGCCTGGATGTGAGACATGGAGTCAAAGGACATTATTTTGGAGCTTTAAGATTTAATGACTGCCCTGCTGGGTTTTGGACTTGCATGGGGACTGCAGTCCCTGTAGTTCTTGTTTGGGCTAATTTCTCCCTCTTGGAATTGGGTCTGTTTAACCAATGACTGTACCCTCATTGTATCTTGGAAGTAACTAACTTGTTTTTGATTTTACAGGCTTATAGGCAGAAGGGACTTGCCTTGTCTCAGATGAGACTTTGGACTGGGACTTTTGAGTTAATGCTGGAATGAGTTAAGACTTTGGGGGGCTGTTGGGAAGGCATGATTGTGTTTTGAAATGTGAGAAGGACATGAGGTTTGGGAGGGGCCAGGGTGGAATGATATGGTTTGGCTCTGTGTCCCCACCCAAATCTCATGTCAAATTGTAATTCCCAATTTGGGGGAGGGACCTGGTGGGAGGTGATTGGATCATGGAAGCAGATTTCCCTCTAGCTGTTCATGTGATAGTAAGTTCTCATGAAATCTAGCATGTCGCACTTCCCCTTTTGCTCTGTTTCTCTCTCCTGCTGCCACGTAAAGACATGCCTACTTCCCCTTTGCCTTCCGCCATGATTGTAAGTTTCCTGAGGCCTCCCTGGCCATATTTTTTGTACAGCCTGCAAAACCGTGAGTCAATTAAACCTCTTCATAATTTCTTCATAAATTACCCACTCTCAGGTAGGTTTTTTTTAATCCCTTTTTTTTTTTTGGAGACAGAGTCTCACTCTGTCACTCAGGCTGGTATGCAGTGTGTGATCTCAGCTCACTGCAGCCTCAGCCTCCTAAGTAGCTGTGATTACAGGCGCACATCACCACGCCTGGCTAATTTTTGTATTTTTAGTAGAGACGGGGTTTTCCCATGTTGGCCAGGCTGGTCTGGAACTCCTGACGTCAAACGATCCACCCGCCTCAGCCTCTCAAAGTGCTGGGTTTACAGGTGTGAGCCACCATGACAGGCCTCAAGTAGTTATTTATAGCAGTGTGATAACAGACTATACACCAGCCCCAGAGGAGCACTGAGGCCTGGATCATCTTTGGGCAGAACACACAGCTTCGATGCAGGATCCTCGTGTTTAAAATACAAGGCTGGATCTGGGGCTGTCAGTTGCCAGAACAAGTCCAGAGAAAACACAAAGAGAACACCACCCAGCCCTGACAATGTTCTTGGCTGAGCCAGAGCCCCTGAGGCAGCCGAGTGAACTCCATGACAGAAACTTCTCTGAAGGCTTGAGAGGAGGGGAGAAAGGTGGAGGGCTCTGGCCCATGACAAGGCCAACAAGTCCACTCCAAGCCAGGTGGAGGGGGCCTGTACCACCCCATGCCCCAAAACAAGAAAGGCTCTCACCAAGAGGGACCATCTCTATTCCTGGTGATAACTTGGCCTTTCTTACCTGCCTGGCCTTTGTCTGTGCTGTATCTGCCACTGGAATGCCCTCCCTTCTCATCTCTGCCTGTTGAAATGGAATCTTTATCACTGAAGCCCTGGGATTTGGCCCAGGCTGGGGACTTATTACTATTGGGGGCCTACAAAGGGTCCCTCTCTCATAGTTTGTTTGTTTATTTGTTTGTTTTGAGATGGAGTCTCACTCTGTTGCCCAGGCTAGAGTGCAGTGGTGCGATCTTGGTTCACTATAACCTCCGCCTCCCAGGTTCAAGCAATTCTCCTGCTTCAGCCTCCCAAGTTCAAGCAATTCTCCTGCCTCAGCCTCCGAAGTAGCTGGGACTACAGGCACGTGCCACCATGCCCAGCTAATTTTTGTATTTTTAGTAGAAACAAGGTTTCACTATATTGGTCAGGCTGGTCTTGAGCTCTTGACCTCAGGTGATCCACCCACCTTGGCCTCCCAAAATGCTGGGATTACAGGCATGAGCCACCGCACCCGGCCTCTCTTGTAGTTTTTCTTGGCCGCCGTGGAGACACCTGGCCCACCCTTGGAGCCCCCCAGCACTGTCCTGCCCTGTGGAGCTGGCACACAGATTGTGGTTATGGCTTGTCCTGTGTTTCCTTCTCCTTAACTCATCCCAGATAATAATGCCTGCCCTGATGCCTGCCAATGTTCCCCCTCAATTTCTGGCCTCCATCCTATTTCTTCCTGACCAGAGTCACCACCCTCATCACACCCTCAGCATCTTTTCCAGAAGCCACAGCAGCCTCCCAATGGCCTCCCTCTCTCCCCGCATAGGCTAAGCAGAAACTGGCCCTGGAGGCCCTCTGGGCCTCGGCATGGGGCTCTCTCCCGCAGCACCAATAGCCCCCATTTCTCCTGAACATCCTGCTCCCTCTCCCTGGAATGGCTCCCACCTTCCTCTAATTGAGCCCAGTATTTCAGAGCCGCTCCAAATACCACCTCCGCGAGAGCCCCACAGACAACCAGGACCACCCCTTCCTGTGGCCCCGAGCCCATGACCCCACCTGCCCCAGGCCTATCTCCCATGGGAGTGGGATTTCTGCTCAGAGCCTCCCCCAGTGCATCTCCTTCTTATGTATCTGATTCTTGAAAACATTCTTCCCTCCTTTGCATACTTATTGAGCAGGTACTATGTTCCAGGCCCTGACCTGTCATGGTCCCCAAAGACACACTCGCCCCTGTCCTCAAGGCTGTCACGGTCAGGTGGGGAAGACAGCGGCCAGCAGACAATGACGAAACAGTGGAATGAATGTGCGATGAGGGCAGCAAAGGGTCTGTGAGTAGGGAGGAAGGCACTGAGGCCCACGCAGGGAAGGGAGTGTGCAGCACAGAGGGCTTCTGGGAGGAAGTGGCCTGAGCCAAACCCCAAAGTTGGAGTTAGTCCTGGGGACCAAGAGTATTCCAGATAGGCAGAACACCATGGACAAAGGCCAAGGGTCAAGAGGGGTGCCCCTGGGGTTCGGCTTGGCTGCAGTGTGGAGTGCAGGGGCAGTATGACAGGAGACGCCACCCAGGAGAGGGAATGGGCAGGGGCGACATGCCCCAAGACACCCAGCACAGGTGACAGGGCCTGGAGAGATGCAATGATAGCAATTAAATTCCATTGAACTTATAAGTATGCAAGGGAAAACCATTGTATTACTCAGTGTGGCAGGCAGAATCTAAGTCAACCCCAAGATCCCTGTGGCCGGGCAACACCCTGCATGATCGCCAGAACTGCATGCATGATGGATGGGTTCTCCTCTGTGACTCGGTTCTGTTGCATTGCTGCCCTCAAAACAGGGAGATGGTCTGGGTAACTCTTAGGGCATCACACACAGAGCTTCTTCTCTGAAGAGGAAGCTGGAGATTCAAAGCACAAGGAGACTGGCCAGCTGTGGCCGCCTTGCAAGTAGAGGGGCACCGTGAGAAGAAACACAGGACCTGTAGGAGCTGCTGGCCAGCAAGGGTGGGGACCTCAGTCCTACAGCCACCAGGAACTGGATTCTGTCAATGAGAGTTAGCTTGGAGGTGGATGTTTCCTCAGGGCCTCCAGAAGATCACCTGCCCCTGCGGACACCTTGATTTCAGCCCGTGACACCCTGGGCCAAGAGCCCAACCACACCATGCGGGCTTCTGACCCACCCACCCATGAGATAATAAATGGGTACTGTCAGAAGCCACTCAATCTGCTGTCATCTGTCATGCAGCAATAGGAAATTAACACATCCAGCTACTATGAGCTTTCAAGGGGGAAACGCAATTGTGATATTTGGAGTCACTGGGGGAAAGCAGGGGGCATTTCGCCAGTGGCCACAGCCCCCTACCCTGCTCCTTGAAGGCATCTAAGAGACCCTATGGCCTTACCACAGGTGCAACCTCCCTGCTAGCAGCTAGATCCTCACTTAGCTACCTGGTGACAGGCAAGCTGTGGAGAGAAAACACTGGAGGACGAGAAGAGAAGACAACAAATGCCACAGGTGCAAAGTTACAGTCCAATACAGCAAGCCACGGGCAGGGGAAGAGCAGGTTTCCTCCCACCTGACTTAGCTAGTGACTCATTTCATCTTATGTGACCAGAGAGCTGTTTGCAACCACAATGTCCAAAGCCCAGGAGAAGAGGAGCCAGACACTGGCTCAGACAGAGACAGGCATTTCTGCGCCCGATGTCTGAGTCTGGCGGCAGTAGCTGGAAACGTGGGTAGACTCTGTGGCAGCTGCTCCCACTGATTTACAGCCCCTTCTGGACCCAGGCAGACGCTCACTGTCCCTGCTCAGCTCCAGCTCCCGCTCCCAAAACATGGCAGCCTTTTTTACTTTCAAGACATTTTTAAAATGTTTGGAGGGCTCTTTCTGGTAGTACCTATTCTAAAAGCAAAACATCTTAGCTTGGACCCAGAGCAAAGATGACGCTTACATTCATGAACCCGTCCACAATTTTTAACAATGGGACAATTTTCTTCATACAAAAAGGGATCTAATTAATCAACAAGCCCAACAACTCAACTAAAAAATAGGCAAACAACAGGCAAAGATTCATTCATAGAAGACAAGCAAATGGAGCCAGTGAATCCATGATGGGATACTCAATTGTGCCAATAACGACAAACACACATCAATCGAGGTGGGTACGGCTTCCCCAGGCAGACTGGCACCATCAGGAGTGAAATTTGCTCAAACTTTTTGAAGGGCAATCCAGTGAGATCTGCCAAAGTGAGGAATGTTTATAATCTTTGGCTGAGAAATCCCACTTCTAGGGATTAATTATGCAGAAATATGCAGGGAGCTGTTTACTGCAGCCCAGTTTGTTTAAAAAAAAAAAATCCAAACAAGACTGGAATGACCTTATGGGCCCAACATAAATTAGGATTCATTCATTCATGTATGGAAATATTATGCTGCCAGCAAAAGGGGCAGACCTGATCCCCCTCATCTTCATGGGCTAACATGGAAAGAAGCGAAGCAAGACACATGTTCAGTGGGGACAAAGAGCTGTATCAGGACACGTGTAAAATGACCCTGTTTCTAAATGTACACATTGCACTAGAGCCTACTGTAATGAAAAAATAATACTAAAAGTGCACATGTATCTCTACATGTATGAATAGGAAGGGTCTAGAAAGATAAGTTCCAAACTATGAACAGTGGCTGCCTCAGGGAAGTGAGGCTGGAGTTAAACAGATTCGAGAAGCACCAGCAATGAGGGCCCCACACACTAATACAGGGAACTCAAGAACAGACCTGTGCAGGGCCGGAAGTGAGGGCGGCCAGAAGGCACCCAGTCAGGGAATTCCTGAGTGTGTTGAGTGCAACAGTCTCTCAAGAGAAGCCTCAAAGAGAGGAGGGGACTCTATAGTTAACTGGATGGAAAAGGCTAAATTCTGCAGAACTTCACTGATTCTATGGCATGTTTTTCATATTTTCCATCTCTGAAATTGAGATGTGTCTCATAATTGATATTTCACAACTTACTTAGGATTTTTTTCTTTTTTATAGAATATGAAGTATCAGTGCATCTTACAATCGGTAATGAAATTCAACACTGCCCCCAGACTAAAGATTCATATTAACACATTACTAAGGCTCTGAGAAGTCCTGCAGCAAAGAAACATGTAATCCTGATTCTCCAACATATCTGACACTTTTCTCTTTTCCTTATTTTGCCTTTCCCTTTGTTCACACGTGAGATTATGCTGACACTCCACAAGGTGCCACCTGGTGCCCTGTGGATGTCTGCAAAGCTGCAAGGGGATCCTGTCACTTCTAGGGCAACTGGGGTGGTTGGGACACAGTTCTTATAATTCTGTATGATGACTGTTCGGTAAATACCACAGTAACAATGGCAACACCCATCCACGGATGCTACAAGAGAAGGGCAAACATATGAGAGACAGTCTGCAAAGAATCCTCTTAGAAGGTTCTTGCCAACTACAAAGGAAAAAATAGAAATTTAGAGTGGAAAAGCCTGGTGGACTTTAACCAAATAACTGCTGCTGAGCAGACAGAAGACATCGTTGTCCTCATGCACCTCCTGATATGACGCACTAGGGAGGGACTGGCACTGCTGGGTGGTGTTCCTGCTGAAAATGTATGACCTTGACCCAGTCACGAAAACACCAGATAAACCTGAATTGAGAGACACTCCACAAAATAAACAGTCAAGGTTCCAAAGTGTCAAGGTCAAAACCTGAGGCTCCATCCCAGATGGCAGGAGACCACAGAGAGCGACAACCAGATTGGATCCTGGACTAAAAAATGGGTATTAGTGGGACAACTGGGGAAATTCGAATTCATTTAGGTCTTTCAATTATTGAATAGTTATCAATGTGAACTTCCTGGTTTAGATAATTATGGTCAGATAGGATGTTAACACTGGAGGAAGCTGTGCAAAGGGTATATGGGAACTCTGTGTACTATCTTTGCAACTCTGTCAAAATTTCTTAAAAATAAAAATTACACTAAACAAACCTGTGCAATGTGAACTTTATTATAATAAATCTACAATACATCATCTAGTAGCCAATAAAGAGATTTTTAAAAGCCCGCTTGTGTTACATGATTGGTCACCCTGAAGACACTCTTGTTTGGGGAAATAAACCCAGGTACACATTTGCAAACACGGGGCTGGGCGTTTGGGCAGAATGGACAGAGGGGAGCAAATGCCTGGCAGGGTCTGGTCTCATGGGGGTCACTGCAAGCCTACCATCAGGGCGCCAGGGGCTGCTGCCTTTAGCACTAAATGCAAGTTGAGAAACACAGGACTCACAGGGTCACAGCACACAGGGTGTGGTCTGAAACTCACAATGCACTGTCTGCCAGGAGAGCTCCCATCTATTGAGGAATCCTTACAACAACCTATGAGGAAGGTGCCACCAACATTACCTCCCTCCCCATTTTACAGATAGGAAAGCTGGGGCTCAATGCAGTTAAATAACCTGCCTAAATGCACACAGCTGGGTGTTTAGGAGAGGATCTGAACCCAGGCAGTCTGACTTTAGATTCACTATGGCGCTGCTTCTGAAAAGACCCCTGCAGAGATGTGGGTCCCATGGAGACAGCACTGGACTGAGAGTCGGAAAGGTGCTGAGTGGTCCTGGGTCAGCCATGCAACCACTCTGGGCCTCTATTCTCATTGTTGAGGATGTGGAGAAGAGCAGTTTTTGTAGGGCTTCCAGAACTCAAGATCTCTTTCAGCTGGAAAAACACTAAGTGAGCTATAAATTCACACTAAAGTGTAAATGGCTGCTGTTGGATACCTTCTGACCAATCTGACCAACAAGGAGGTTTTGAGTACCCATGTACCCTGCTTATATCCCAGGGGAGCCAGGAGACTCAGTGTGAGTAGGGGGAAGAAAGCCTGGGAGTGGAGTCTGGAGGGAGTTAGTCAACACAGCCAGGGGAAAGGAATTTTGGGTGAGAGCCAGAGTCCCAAAGACAAACAGTCTGTTCACCAACTGGCCTAGGATCAGCAGCAGTGCCCTAGAAAAGTGATCGGAGCCAGCTGATGTCATTGGGAGAGTACCTCCTAGAGGAGGGGTGCCTGTGGGTTGAGAGGGGACAGAGGTTTTCAGAAAGCTCTGCAGGAAGGCCTGGGGCAGGCCCACCTGGACCAAGTGGGGTATCTCGTCCAGAAGCCACTGAGCTGGAGGGCGCTGGAGGGGTTGGTGGGCTGTGGGTGGAGGGGCCTTCTTGTTTTGCTGGGGAGCGGGTCCCTGCCATGGTCTTAAAGGCTCAGCAAGGTTAAGCTCTGAGTGAACAGACAGGAACATTCTTCCCTAGATGAAGGTGCATCTCTCCTGCAGGGTGCCAGCCAGTCGCCATGAGAGCTCAGTCCACTCCTTTGAGTCTCTCCTGGGAGCCTCCAGACCAGTGCCCTGGGCAGGAGGGACAGAGGGCAGCAAATGCCTGGCAGGGTCTGTTCTCATGGGGGTCACTGCAAGCCTACCATCAGGATGCCAGGGGCTGCTGCCCTGTCCACAGTGCCCACAGCTGTGGAAATGAGGAGCTTGGCAGAGAATCCAGCATCTGTTTCATCTCTGCCAGTGCCCTTAGGAGGCCTGGACCTGACAACCTCTCCAGGAAAAGCTGATCCAGGCTCCCGGGCCACTGTCCTCCAGGCACATACCCCAGTCCTGGTGGGACAAAGGGGTGAGGCTGCTGGAGGGAGAGTGGGGAAGCTCTCACTACTCTCCAGGGACCCCTGCTGCAGCTAGGCCAGGGAAGAGGAGATGGCACAGAAAGGGCTGCGAGTAGGCCTGTGGGCCTGATGTGGAGCTGGCTTTGGCTGTGGGGGTGCAGGAAAGGGGACGGGGCAGTGTGAATGTGGGGGCGTGCTCCCTGAGGCCCTGTCCTGCCCTGAACATCCCTGGCCTCTGCTGCCTCAACTGAGAGCCCGGCCAGCAGGACTGATGCTTCCGAGATTCCCAGGTCCTGGGGGCTGACAGGGTCTTGTCTTAGAATGTGAATGTCTGGATGGCTGCACAGGTGGCCCCTGGCTCCAGAGGACAGGAGCAGAACCCACAGAAGGGTCAGCCAAGGGCAGGGAGATGGGAGGGATTCTGAGAATCAGCTGTAAAATAGATGTTTGTTGTAAGGGAACAGGGTGAGCTTTGGCATCAACATGGAGCTCAGCTTGAAGATGCACCAGCTCTGAAACCTCAACTAAGTTACCATAACCTCTCTAAGGTTCCACACCCCCCATCTGTAAAGGGGGAACGCTACAGCTGAGGGAAGGAGCAGCTTCAAGGACAGGAGGAGCCACCCTTGCAGGCCAGACCTGGTTCCACATGCTCTGGGGCACCATTTCTTCCTCACCCCATGACTCCCGGACTGGGGGAGGGCACTGGCTTCCACACGGCAGACGCCAGGACGGCAGCTCACGCAGACTCAGACCAGGGCTAGCCTTGGTCCCAGCTGCCGCCTCATGCCGGCAACGCACCTACCCGGCCTGGTCTGCAGCTGGCGCTTAGCCGCCCCAGGGCAGGGGAGCCACAAGCACAATCCTGCTCTGCGGAGCCTCCCCTGCACTGAAAGGGCGGGTCTCAGCCTGGGTGGCAGACAACAGCCGATGTGAAAACAAAAACAGTGGTGCTCCCACACATCCCTGAAGTCCAAGAAAGGGAACCACAAACCAAGCACCTCCCCTGAGAGACCCTACCTCCCTGGCACCCTGTCCTCCCTCATTCCAGACCCTTCGATGGGGCACGCTGTCCCCTCACCTCAGCCCTGTGGTCTGGGCAGGCTGACACTGGGGGAGGCATGGGCAGGTGCACACCAAGGGGTCGCTCTGCCCGATCTGGGGTGGGGCCACCAGCTGAGACGCCCACTCAGCACGTCCGAGGCACTGGCGACCCACTTCCCAGATGAGTGAACAACTCAGGGGAGAGTGACTGGCCCAGCCCCCCGAGGGGCTAAGATTGGAAGCCTTATCAGCGACAAGGTCCTTCTTTCCTGCCATGATGTGTGGCTGCCCTCAAGTATCATTTCCTGGACCCCAGAGGGCACCCCCAGGGATGATGGCCATGCCACCAGCACCAGGTGAGCCTAGGCAGGACTCACCTGCAGGCGCAGAGCCCCATCCCTACCTATCTTTGCCTCGGTCCCTCTCCATCAGCCACAGGGGAACTGGGGGTGTGGAAGGGGTACACACAGGGGTGAGGGACAGGGCTTGGGAACCACTGGCTAAGAGCAGACCCACACTGTGTGGATTCTGATCCCAAATCTGCCCCACTAGCTCTGTGACCTCAAGTAACTTAAGATCAAAGCCCCTCAGTATCCTCACCTCTAAATCGGAGATGAAATCAGAACCTTCCTCATAGGGTCATTAAGTGGATTAAATTAGGTACTGTCTGTAAAGTATTTAACCCAGTGCCTGGCACACTAAGCACCTGCCTAAGCGCTGACAGACGCACAGCTCAGAGAGGCCACACAATTGGCGGAGGGTTGGAGGGGTGGCGGTGGCAATGGGCAGGGTCTGAGGCCTTGACTCCAAGTCCCCACCCCTCTGCAGCTCCCCGAGGGTTGAGAGCCAGTTCCTGCCTCTGGGAGCAGCTCCCCACCAATCACAAACACCCACCCCCAAGGCAAAAGCTTTTTGGGGAATTATTTCTCCAGGCTCTAAGGAATGTTACTTTCTCTTTGCTTTGTATCCAGACTACTCAATTTCAACCCAGGTTTCAAATGGCCTCTAAGATGAGCCCTAATTAAATTCCCGTAAAACCACAGGCAGAAGCATTCAATCTGCGGTATGCACCCCCCATCCCCAGGGAGGCCTGGGATCCCAAACAGGCCATCTGTCACCCCCAGAGCAGACACATGGGAACTTCTAAGAGAAGAAGAACAGGAGAGCCACCCATCACCCCAAAGCAGTCAGGGCTTTCAAGGATCTCTCCAGCCTGTTGCCCAATGGTCTGAGACCTGCTGTCCCTGAAGACAGGGACACAAACCCACGCCATGCAATTACGGCCCAGGTGCCTTCTCATACATGGTGCCTTCTCAGCCAGTTTGGGAGCCAGCTAGAGCCGTGCCCAGAATCGCTCACCCTAGGGTAGCACAGCCATGCCTTGGCTTTGGGGCTTCCATCTCTGGACCCTGGCCCTGGGTGGCAGAGTGGGCTGCTGATGGGAGAAAGAGCCTGCAAATTCAATGTTTGTTACTGCGGCCTCCTCCCTCCCTCCCCGAGGCCTGCACCAGGGAATGCTTAATTTCTAGGAAGAATTAAGTGCTTGGTTTGAATTGAATCCAGGCTCAACGCTGCCTGTGCCTCTGCCTAGGGGGTGCGGGTGTGGGGAGGGACATGGGTATGGGTATAGGCATGGCTGCCTCCCAGAAGCAGTCATCTATGAGGGAAAGGTAGGGCCCTGGCATGCTGGGGTGGGTCATTCTGCAAGCCTCCAGGATGCTGGTTGCTACAAAGAGGGGACTGCTGCTGAGGTCACAGGCCGAGGCCAAACCCCCAGCCAGAGGAGAAATTCCAAGGTTGTTCTGCCATGGGAAAGTTGGGTCCTCAGGCAGGGACCCATGTCTTGGAAGACTGCTAATGCTCCCCTAAAACTCGTTCTAGCCCTTCTTCCATGGTGATAAAACCCGAATTGTAGCTGGGCATGTGGCTGCTCAGAACAAGGACTCAATTTCCTGACTCCCTTGCAGCTTAGGATGTGACTAATTCTGGCCAAAGTCCCTTCTCCCAGCACAAAAACATGTCACTGGATTGCTTTCAGAACCCCTCCTTAAAAGAGAACTAGGCCTTCTTCTCATTTGCTTCCTTTTTCTTGATCTTCCTCTCCATCCTAATGTCTAGATCTTGGATGTGAGGGCTGGAAATACAGCCATCACCCAGGACCAGATGGGCAGACCACAGAAGAATAAGGAGCTAGAAGGAGCCAGGGTCCCAGCCCCTGTGCCCGTGCTGGATGGCCTTCCTCTGGGCTTTTACATCAGAGAGAAAGGAAGTTCTGTCGCATTTAAGCCACCATGATTTTAGGTCTGCTGTTAAAGCAACTTGAATGCTAATTGATACGAAGTGGGTGGGTTTGAAGCTGCCAGAGCCGAGGCAGAGAAATGACCCTGCTTCCCCTCCAGGCTCTGAATGAGACAAGAATGAGCTCTGGGAATGTGGAACTGAGAAGGCAGTGACCTCACACAGGCTGCCCGGAGACAGCGATGCTGGGAGCTCCCAGCAGCAGGCCTCATCTGTCTCCTGGATGCAGAGCTGGGGTGGGAGAGGCCCTCCACGGCTGATGCTCTGCAGGGAGACAGACGGCCCACCTGAGCACAGACCCTTATCCAAGGGCTCTGCCTGCTATTCCTGGGAGAGCCTCCCCTTGTGCCATGTCCCAACTGCCCACCCCCACCGCAAAGCAGGGGCTCTGGTCGTCTCCCTCCCACTGCTCATCAATGAGGATCCTAGCAGTCCCGAAGCACCCACCCGTCCCCCACCAGCTCTGTTTTCCCTGCAGCTGTCCAGAGTCTCTGAAAACAGAGCAGTCTTACTGCCGGGGCAGGGGGGGTGACAACCGGGGCAGGGGGGGTGACAACCGGAGGAAGTCTCACCAAGCTCCTTCTCCCAGCACAAAAGCGTGTCACTGGATTGCTGTGATTATCTGAGGGAACTTCAAGGGTAATTATGGCCATTTACAGTACGCCTGAAAGGGCTGAGTGCCTCCAGGAACAGCAGGCAGTTGAGGAGGGGGGCCCAGGGTGTGCTTCCCAGGAAGGCTCTCTGCCTCTGCAGCTGGTGGGGGCATGCAGCAGGGACCCACCCAGCGATGCTGGTGAATGGACAGCCACTGGGGGTCAGGAAAGGGCTCCAGGAAGTCCCAGCCTCTGACCGCCCTCCTGGAAGAATACAAGCCCAGGCTCGGCGTGCACGATAAGGAAAACCCAGCGTGCAACATTTATGGCCCACCCACCCTACACTTCCTGCTGATCTAGAACCAAGCATGCGTTAGGGTTTGGTCAACAGCTCTCCCTGGACCTGTTGAGGACGGGGCCCTCTCCTGGAACACCCACAGCTCTCCCCTTATGGGTAGCTCCTAAACTTTCTAATCTCCCAGTGAACTAGGACACACCCTGCTTAAAATTCCTGACCTGATTCCTAACTGCCTCCAGGAGAGGCCCAATTCCAAGCCAGGCGAGCGGGCAACAGAGGTACCTCCTGGGCCTTCCTCTCACCATGTGACTTCCTACGGTCCACCTCATCACCGGGTTCCTGCTCCTTGAACACACCGTGCACACACCCACCCTGAGCCCAGGCTCACCCTTGATCCCCAGCCCTGGGCTTCTACTCCTAAAAATCTAAGATGGATGTGAAGACTCAATTAGGATGCTGGGGTCCTGCCATCGTGGTGGGAACAGCTGGAGCAGCTGCTGTTCCCGGGTGACCCAGTGGGCCGGTCCCATGCTAAGTGCTCTGCAGACATCATCCCAGGTATCCTGACCCCTGACCCCGTGGCTGAACCAGGTATCACCCATATCTTCCAGAACACCAGCAGAACTCAAATGACTGATTTGTCCGAGACCACGTGGCTAACAAGAGCCCAGACAGGAACCCACATGCCAGAGCCTGTGCTTTTGGCTCCAAAAGGCCCTTCAGCGGCACCTCCTCGAATCCCACCCAAACCCATCACTCTTCGAATGGACTTGTCCGGGACATGAGATGTGGCTGCTGGTCTGCCACCTTCTTCTGCTAGCTGGGCCTTCTCATGTTCTAATACAGCCTCCTGCTCTTCACACAGGCAGTGTCCAACAAGCACACCTTCTGGAAAGAGGCTGATTCCCTTTCCCAAATTTTACCAAACCTTCACCCATGGCAGACTGAGATGAAGGTGACCCCAGGAGGGAACATACAGCTCTTTCTTCCCATCTGGGATTCTGGATGGATCCAGGAAGACAGTGCAAAGGGAGATGAAGTGCACAGCAGAGGCCAATCACTCCAGGCCTAGCAAATAAAGGCTGCTGGCATGTGCTAAGAAAGCCTGCCTACATGGGGCACCAGCATGACACCCCCATTCTCTGCACCCAGCGGTGTGTCAGGCATTCAGGGAAAGAGGCCTCGGGAGCCCTTCCAGGACAGCCAAATCCAGCAGCCAGCTCTTCTGCAGGGCACATTCCTCAGAGAGGGAACCGAGGACTCACCTACTCTCCAGGCCAGGGTCCTCAGTGGTACCCATTTCAGGTTCTTCTAGATCCAGGGCCCTCTGGCCATGGACATGAAAGTCAAGCTCAGGAATAGGGGCCGGGGAGCCTGAGTCAGACAGACCTGGCTGGATGCTGGCCCAGCCACCTGAATGCTGCGTGACGTGGCATGTCTGCTAACCTCTCAGAGCCTCTGGGATTCATCTGTAAAATGGGAAGGCTTATCATGCCCACTTCTAAGAGTACCAAAAGGGAGAATACAAGGAGAAGGCCTAACCCAAAGGCAGGAACACAACACATAGCCAATAAATGGTGGTCTCAGACTCCCATGCAGATGGTCTGCCTCTGGAGCTGTGAGCCAAATGGTACCCACTGGTCCCACCGGTCACCATCACAGGAAATTATGCCCAAGGCCAAGTCACCATCCAGGTCAGGGTTCAAGGCAGCCAGGTTAGGCCTCAATCATGGTCTGTAGGGCAGGGAGCAGGGGCTGCCTCCTTGACCCCAGGATAAATCCTCACAAAGCCGGAGGGCCCAGGCCAAGCACTTTTCCTTAAAATTAAACAAGAGCTCTCAGCAGGGCACACTTGGACTAAGCAGTGAACTAGGAGGTTACTGTTAACATGAATCTCTCCACAAAGTCTTTCTCACATAAACACCTTGAGAATGTGGCCTTGAGTTCTCTGGCTCTGCCTGCCCAAGGGGTGGGGAGGCGTCAGGGTGAGCCCTCAGGGACAGGAGCCTGCAGCTGGCAGGGGAGGCGCCGCAGTGAAGAGGGAGGCCCCTGCCCTCCAGAACAGAGTGGACCCATGAGGTCCAGCAGCCACATTACATCTCCACGTGTTTGATTAAAGGCCTTCAGTTTCTGTTTGTGTCCTCCGCGCAGTTACGTAACTCCACTTGCTTGCCTGCCACTGAGCTGTCTACACACACTCCTGCTCTCCAGCCACTGTGTTACCGGGACACTTCAATGTCACCCATGGGTTCAACACAGCAAAACAAAACCCTCAGAGCCCCCTTCCGCAAGAGCACCCTGAGGCTTTTGTTTCCTCACTGCTGGTCACAGGAGAATGAAAGGACCTCCCCAGAATGACTGCACCATGGAATTCAAATGCTTCCTGCCCCAAAGTGCTTAAAAAGACAAGACCCCTCTGTCTCCACACCTCAGGCCGTGGCCACTTTGTGACCACAAAGGTGGCTGCCTGCCACGGATGTGGTGCCACACGTGTCCCTACCTTCCATGTAGGCCTCAATCTTCCGGATGAGCTCATAGGACTTGGAGCGGTCAAGCAGGGTTCTGATGGCAGGGAGCGGGTCCAGGACGATGGTCTCAGGGTGGGCATCGATGTACTCCTGAAAGGGAAGCATGCTGCTCTGGTTAGAGCAGGGGTAGGGCCAGGTAGCAACTCACCCCTCGCGCCCTCTGCACGTCCATCCGTTCCTGTCCTATCCTCCAGCCCTAGCTTTGGTGGAGGGTGGTGCATTCCAGCACTGGGACATTTCGAGCAGTCACCTGGAGATCTGAGAGAGAGGCTTGACTAGGCCAAACTCAGAAATAGAGCACCACACAGAAGACAGAGAGGAAACTGCAACCAGGCTCAGGGCAGGCCGCCTGACTCCAGATAAAACCTCACCCGGAAGCAGATCCACTCCAGGCACTGGCTCCTCTGGGAGTGGCGGCCCCATGCCCCGCACTGATAAGGACTCTGAGGCAGGGGCGGGAGAGTGGGATGAGGCCAGGAGTCATCAGAGGGTCTGCGGGAAGGTGTGGTGGAGAGAAACACGCCACAGGGTGGGCACCAGCCACCCAACACTCCTCAAGTACTCCACTTCTGTACCTACTAGCTTTGGGGTAGGCACGAAGGAAATGCAAGAGAAACCGTGACAAAAACCAGTCTCTAAGGAACTTACTATCTTCTTAGGGGAATAACCCTAACTTACATGGGGGGAAGACACTGCTGTCCAGAACAGAACTCAATAAAATAATGGGCAGAACCCCACGCCACCCAGGTGGGCCAGACCAACCCGAGCTGACATAGCGAAGGAGCCCACCCTTGCTCCCAACCTCCATGATTCTAAGGACAAAACTGGAATGCTGGTGTGATGTGGGGGTCTCAGGGAAAAAGCTGGCCTGAAGAAGGCCTCAACCAGCTGCTGCGGGTTGAATTGTGTCCTCTCAAGTCTTAACCCTTCAGCATTTGTGAACGTGGCCTTATTTATAAGGAAACAGGGTCTTTGTGGATGGAACAGAGTTAGGACTCCATATGGGTGGACCACACCATATGGGTGGGCCTGAATCCCCTGGCTGGATTTCTTAGGAGAGAAATCTGAACACAGACGCAGGGAGGAGGCCGTGTGGAGACAGACAACTGCAGTGACACACCTACAAGCCAAGGAGGGTGGAAGGTGCCCACCACCACCACCACTGGGAGCCGGGAGAGGGGCAGGGAAGCTTCGCCCTCAGGGCCTCCGGAGGGAGCCACTGCTGACGCCCTGACTGGAGCTGTTGGCCCCCTGGGCTGGGAGATTCCTGCAGCGTTAAAAGCCTCCCTGTTTGTGATACTTGGTTGTGAGAGCCGGGGGCAGCAGACATGCCAGCGTGATTCCTCCGCCCAGCCAGCCCCCCTGCCCTCTGCTCACCCACTCCACAGCCCGTCAGTGAGGCCTGCACAGGCTGGGGAAACACACCCCAGTGCTGCCTTCCTAGTGAGCCTTATGGACAGAGAGAAAGAGCCATTTGGAATTATTTTTCTTAAGTGAACTTATTTTGGTCCTAGTGACCACTTGTTAAGCCAAAAGCCACTTTTAACACAAAAACCAGAGACTCATATTCCCACTTCTGCTCTGAAATCAGCCTCTCCTTGGATTTCGCGGCAGAGTATCTGGCCCTGGGCTCCTTTCTGTCTGAATGTTTAAAGACTTCCTCTGGCCTCAGTGGTGGCCGGCGTAACCTAGGGGAGGCCTCGCATTCCAGTCCTCACGCCTGTGACTCTCCTCACCCCTTAGCCATCCTCTCCCTGCACATAAGTGCGAGGACCTAGATGCGGGGCAGAACCCTCCAGCCGTCAGCAAGCCATTTGGCCACCAACCCACTGCCTGTAGACAGTGAACCAGGCACTGATGCGGGAGAGCCCAAGTCTGCCGCCCACATGGAGCCTGGGGACTAACCGAGGAGTCTCCTTAAGGAAGGTTTTATCTAGAGCTGCCCTGGGGCCAAGCAGCCACACCCAGTGCCTCTCTCCTGACAGTCTCAGCCTCACCCAAGCACCTACACCTGATCCCTCGTCTCATTTGGGAGCTCTCCATGGGCAACTACCCCTCTTGGCACCATTCCGTCATCAGAGCTTGTTCTTTTAAATGCAGTCCATGCTTCCAAGAGAGCAGGTCATGCATGAGGCCCTCCCCGCCGAGACTCACACATATGTATGAAATCATATTCACAGCCCAACATTAATAGCTGGGTGCAGTGGCACAAGCCCCTAGTCCCAGCTCCTTGGGAGGCTGAGGTGGGAGGATCACTCAGGCCCAGGAGATTGAGGCTGCAGCAATGCACAATGGTGCCACTGCACTCCAGCCTTGGCAATAGAGTAAGACCCTGTCTCCAAAAAAAATAAAGAAAAATAAATGTCAACATTAAAAGGTCATCCACTCAGCTAGAAACCATCACTCTGAGCAAACTATTGCGAGGACAGAAAACCAAACACTGCATGTTCTCACTCATAGGTGGGAATTGAACAATGAGAACACTTGGACACAGGGTGGGGAATATCACACACCGGGGCCTGTCGCGGGGTGGGGGGAGGGGGAGGGATAGCACTGGGAGATATACCTAATGTAAATGACGAGTTAACGGATGCAGCACACCAACATGGCACATGTATACATAGGTAACAAACCTGCACGTTGTGCACATGTACCCTAGAACTTAAATTTAAAAAAAAAAAAAGGTCATCCACTCAAGAGACTTCACATCACTGACAGTGCTCAGGGCATTATGTGGGGTGCAGCAGATACTCAGATGATCAAAAGCCTTCTCCGCTTCACCCCGCCAGATCTATAGTCCTGGCTAGCAAGTTCATGTCCTCGGTTATGAGCTAAAGGCACTTGGCTGTCCTCACTCCCTTCCCCTAAACACACCAGGAAGCAGCCTGGTGTAGTGGGAAGGCTATGTGACCTAGAGTCAAGAAACCCAGGCGCCCGATGTCGTCACCTCTCAGAGTCACCTTTGGGCAAGTCACTTGGCTTCTCAGAGTCTCAGTCTCCTCATCTGTGACATGAAGAATACTCCAGATGCCCTTAGGGTCTCTGTAAAGATGGCCTCTGGTTCCAAGGGTGTAAACAGACTGAGAAAATGGAGAGTGTATTTGTAAAGGTAAACTTGAAGGCTGCACAGGGGAGCCATTCTAGAACGGGATGGACCACCAGCTAGAGGCATTCCAGGTAACGGGAGGGCCACCCACGCATTCGCTGCCTTCCTTCCAAAAGGGGGCCAACAGCCGAGCACGTGGATGGGATGACCCAATTCTCCCTCAGCAACCGAGGCCACTTAGAACACAGATGTGCTCCTTCCTCCCCTCGAAGTCCCAAGAAAAGTCTCCGCTCAGCTCTGAATAAATGAGGGCGATTCTGATTCCATGTTTATGCGTTAGGACAGTGACCTTTAAAGAGAGAACTCAGATTCATTAAGACATGAAGTTAAGCCAAACTCATGAGGGAAAGCGGCTACATGAAACCAAAGGGGAAAACATCTGACAAGCAGGCGTCAACTAGCTTTTGACTGGGGATGAAAGCATCAGCATTAACAGAAGAATTCTTCCTAAACACGATCTCTTCTGGGATGGGAACAGAGAGGGCAAAGAATTTTTCCAGTCACCTCACTATCCACAAGCGGACTTTGTGCCAAGCTTTCCAGCTTACCTATTATACTGAGGGCCTCGTGTATTTTTCACAAGTCTCTTAGAATTACCAATCTGCTGGGTGGGTGAGCTTCCGTACCATTTTATCACCACTCAGAGGAAGAAGGGCAGCGCCGTCTCCATGGCAAATTGTAAGCACATGTTCCCTCGCAGGGCCTGCCAGCTAAAGGACACCAAGAGTGGGATCCTGGAGCTAACAAGGGCAGCCTGGCTCTAGGCAGAAACATTCAGCCCCTGCCAGGATGAGGGCTGGAACACACCTGGGGCAGAGCGTCACGGTGCCCACCTACAGCGCAAGCTCTCTCAGGGTTTTCAGAGGCCCCAAGCCCATGGAATGATGCCAACAGAGACAACTGGCCCTTTGCTAAGCTGCCACTGAGAATCTGAGCAGAATGAGATGAACGTCAGAGATACTCTTTCCTCCTCGATCCTCACAGGCAGGAAATGAGCAGGGAGTGAGACACAGGGATTTGCTCCTTCTAATGGAAAATGCTGTCAGAGTCCTGAGTCCAGATTCTGCCTCTGACATTGATTCTGTGTCTGGAGTTAACCCTCTGAGACTCATCCTGGGTAAGGTCCATTCTGAATAAAGCCTACCGGAGGCAGCTGCTGTGGGCATCATGGAGATCATGGATGCAAAAGGAGTTTGTAGACACAAAAATGAAAGGATTCTCATTACCCTGCAACACCTGGGCTCCTAGGGCTAAACCTGACGCAAGGTTTCTGGGCTCACCCTGCCTTGCCCTGTGCAGCCGACCCCAGAGGAGCCAGCTGTGCCCATGGAAGGGGGCTGTGGTTCTGGCCCATGCCCACCCTCCTGCTGATGCCTGGGGTGCAACACAACCTCCCAACCCCACCGGCAGCCCAGGCTCCAGGCAGCGACCTTCCAAGGGATTCGTTTTTCAGAGATGCAACTCAAAAAGGACTCACAGATTAAATAGGAATCTGGGATGTGTTTCAAAACAATCCGGGTTGGGGGCAGGGACAGAAGTAGGTGAGGGACGGATGAAATGAGAGTGGCTGCAGCTGCTGACGCATGAGGCTGGGAGGTGGCACCTGGGAGCACGTTGCGGCATTCTCTCTTCTCAAATATTTTTAATTTCCCATAACACAAAGTTTGGGGGGAAATGGGAGGCAGGTAATCAGATCTTCCCCTTCTACCCTGCACCCCTAAGTGTGCCAGAAATGGATTCAAACACCAATACTATCTTTCAAGAAGAAATAAGAGCCAGCTACCCAGATGGGAAAGACAACGAGAGATTAATTATAGTAAGGATAATAATAATAAATAAAAATGATCATCATCAGTAATCATTTAAAAATAAAGGCAGTGGCCACTTACCTGGGACTTGCTATATGCACACTGCTTCTTTCAATATAAAAACGCTATTGGGTAAAAGCCCAAACTATAAAACTTTTAGAAGAAAACACGGTCATAAATCTTCGTGACCTTGGATTAAACAACAGTTTCTTAAATGTGACCCCAAAAGCACAAGACAGAAAAAGAAACAGATAAAGTGGACATCATGGAAACTGGAAACCTCTGTGAGTTCCAGCCCCCATCTGCCCTAGGCCTGTGCTCTGAGGAGAGCCTGTGCGTGACCCGCCTGGCAGAGGCCCAGGGGCCCGGACTGACCCCTAAGCCAGCAGGGACGGCTGCGCACAAGGCAAGTCCTGGCAGGTCTCGCAGCACCTTCCCGTATTTGCGGGTCCCCCACAGCACAGAGAGGGTGGCAGGGTTTCTCCCCATTTTTCTCAGGACCCTGAGACTCTGAGAGGTTTTGGTCAGAGACAAAGTCCCGGGCTCCGGCCCTGCCCGTCCTAACAGCTTGCTCCTTCCTTCACTCAGGACCCAGGGGCTGAAATTCTGCCCACTGGGCTGCATGGCCTGAGCGCCGAGCGGGTACCATGGCAGGGCTGGGAAGGTCCTGCTCCACACGCTGCTTAGGAAATCTCTCCTCCAGTGGGTGGGGAGGCTGGAAGGGAGGAAAAGACCCCACACAGAGCCTGGAAACCCCTCCTCCTTGCTGGGCCTCAGCTCCCTTCTCTGTAGAGTGAGGGCTGATGGCATGAAGGGACTGCATGCCAGGGAGCTGGAGGCCGCCAGGCCCAGTTAACTGGGCCTTCCTCATTGTAAGCCCGGGCCTCACCTGTAAATGGAGATTGTACTTGTTCCTACCTCATAGGATTTTTATTAAAAACAGCCTGATTGAGATATCATTCACATACGATGCAATTTACCCCAAAGCAAGGGCTTTTGGAATATTAACAGGGTTGTGCAACGATCAGCTCAATTTTAGAACGTTTTCATCCCATCCGAAGGAAATCCCATTCCCTTTCACTCTCAGCCCCAAGTCCCAGCCTCTGGCAACCACACATCTACTTTCTGTCTGGGTAGATCTGCCTATTCTGGGCATTTCCTTCAAGCGAAGCCATGTGATGTGTGGTCCTTCATGACAGGCTCCTTTTGCTCACATCGTGTTTTAAAATGCATCCATGTTGCAGCGTGCGGCAGTGCTTTGTTCTTCTTTAAGATGAAATAGTACTTCACGGCATGGTGTAGTGTATTTTGTTTATCCATTCATCATTGGAAGGAATTTGGGTTGTTTCCACTTTTTGGCTGTTAGGAGCAATGCCGCTGTGAACATACGTGTATAAATTTTTGTGTCAACATACGTTTTCACTTCTCTTGGGTGTATAAATTGAAATGAAAATACAAAAGACCCCAGGATTTGGCTCCTCAGGCATGGATGTTTTAAATCATAGTCATAATGATCCACCACAGTATACAAGTGTAGCACTTTTCTGGTTCAACAAGGGCAGTGACACAAAATATTGCATTTGATTCTCAGAGCAGCCCCATGGTTTACAGAGCAAAACGTCTCTGTTTTTATTCCCATTTTATAAATAAAGAAACCAAGTTTCTGAGAGGCAATGTGACTGGCTCAAGGTCAAACACAACCAGCTGGGGGGCTTTGCCAGGATTCAAAATCAGCCATTCCAGTGTCAAACGCCAGGCCACTGCAGTGCACCTGGTCACCTACAGAAACAGGCTCTGTGACTGAACTGTTGTGCATCTCCAGAAAGGCTAGGGAGCACCTGAAAGCTAAACGTTAGTGAACTCGACATATCACTGTGGCTCGCGGTGGCTTGCGCCTGTAATCCCAGCACTTTGGGAGGCTGAGGCAGGTGGATCACCTGAGGTCAGGAGTTTGAAACCAGACTGGCCAACATAGCAAAACCCCCCGCAAAAATACAAAAATTGCCGTGCATGGTGGTGCACACCTGTAATCCCAGCTACTCAGGAGGCTGAGGCAGGAGAATCACTTGAACTTGGGAGGCAGAGGTTGCAATGAGCTGAGATTGCACCACTCCACTTCACTCCAGCCTGAGAGATAAAGTGAGACTCCAACTAAAAAAAAAAAAAAAAAAAAAAAGGCTGGGCACGGTGGCTCACGCCTGTAATCCCACCACTTTGGGAGGCTGACGCGGGAGTATCACAAGGTCAGGAGTTCAAAACCAGCCAGTTAGAGACCAGCCTGGCCAACATGGTGAAACCCCGTCTCTATTAAAAACACAAAAATTAGCCGGGCATGGTGGTGGGCGCCTGTAATCCCAGCTACTCAGGAGGCTGAGGCAGGAGAATCGCTTGTACCTGGGAGGCAGAGGTTGCATGAGCTGAGATTGTGCCACTGCACTCCAGCCTGGGTGACAGAGCAAGAATCTGTCTCAGGAAAAACAAACAAACAAACAAACAAACAAAAAACGGCAAGCACAGGCCTGAAAGTCAGCGTGGGCCTGCCTGGAGTTTGCTTCTCGGGACTCCAGCTTTCCACGTGGAATAGATCAAGCATCAGAGGGGGCACAATTCCGTCACCTCCCCCATGGCCACAGCAGCATCAGCTGGGGATGACAACAGCCTCCTGTACTGAACCCAACAGGATTCTAGAATCCTGATCACCACCTGGCTCCAGAAGGAGATAGGTGTCAGCACCAAGGCGAACCCAGCGTGCCACACCCAGAGGAAACTTCCCAGCCGACTCTAGGATCCACTGCATCAGGGCCTGTGTGTTCAGTTAACACTCAGCTACCCCACTAACACCAGTGATTCTACCCTTGACAGAAGAACTGAAATTACTTCCTTATGGCTGTTAAAAGTACTCACAGGGGCTTTCATGGGAAAGGAAGCGACCCTGGGCTCACTCAGCACAATTTCACTCCCCTGGCTCCTCCTGAGAGCACAGCCAGGCCCAGCTGAGGGCCACAAGGCCTGGCCTTTCCACCAGCTCCTCCGTACCCAGCGCCGGGTGAAACCCTGGAAGTCTCTGGTTCCTGAAGCCTTGGCATCTTGACGGGGGTCCTGCCAAGATTCCAGGGTGAGTTATAAACATGCTCACCACGCACGGGTCACAGACCTATACACCTTGCAGGAATGGACATGTTTCCCCCTCAAAACAACCCTATGTAGATCCCGTTAGCAGCCTCATTTGACAATCAAAGAAACTAGGCCTGGCCAGGTGTGGTGGCTCACGTCTGTAATTCCAGCATTCTGTGAGGCCAAGGCAAGTGGACTGCTTGAGTCTGAGAGTTCAAGACCAGCCTGGGCAACATAGCAAGACCCTGTCTCTACAAAAAATTAAAAATTAGCCAGGCATGGTGGTGCGCACCTACTCAGGAGGCTGAGGTGGGAGAATCACTTGAGCCAGGAAGGTCGGGGCTCCAGTGAGCAGTAATCACGACATTGCACTCAGCCGGGGCATTACAGTGAGACCCTGTCTCAAAATAAAATAAGAAGAAAAAAGAAAACAAAGTAGGGCTCAAAGCACCTAGTAGGTGGCCAGGGCTCTCCCTGCGAGCAGTGGCCAAGATGGAGTCTGAACCCAGGGCCTCTGGCTCCAGAGCCCTCCAGTCAAAGACCCAAGGCATGGAAGGCCTGGCGAAATGAAAAGCATCTCAACTCTAACTAGGGCCAGGGTTGCTCTGGGGCATTTCAGGAAAAAGGGAAGCCTTTCTCATGTTCACTACCCCAAGGCGAGGCCACCAGCCTGACAGTCCAGGGAGGCCGGGTGTGTTCCATTTGGGGTCTGCATGAGGTAGAGCATCCAAGAAAAAAAATAGTAGATCCAGTTTGCGATTTCCTTTCCCAGAGGGAAAGGCAAAGATGGTCAGAACTAGCAAAACCCAGATGGACCCTTCATCCAGCCCCCATCTTTTTGGAAAGGGGAAAGGCAGTGGTAGCGAGGCCAAGGTCGCAAGGGAGAGTGGCAGAGCTGAGACTGCAGCTCCCTTTCCACTGTTCCTCCCAACCCATGGTCCTCACTGGTTGTTTGTTCTCTCAAAGCCACAGCTGGACCAGAGGCTCTGCATCTCTTCCCAGCCCTGGAGCAAGACAGATGAAAGCAAATGAAGACACACACCCCTTAGGACAGTAAATACATGACATAACTGAAGGCCACAGTCCACAGGGCCTCTGTGAGGAGGGTCCGCGTGGCGCAGGGGGAAGAGCGTGTCAGGGCCAGCACTGCACTTATGCACAGGAGGGCTCCCAAGGCAGCTGCTGAATGGAGTGGCCCCTGCAGGGGGAGGACTAACAGACATAACAGTGTCAAGAGCAGTTGTACTTTCGAAGGCAGAAAGTGTGGTTCTGCAGAAAGCAAAGCCTCTCCCTGGGAGGTCAGGTCACATGGGGAGGGGGTGGGGCCAGGCCAAGCAATGCTTTCTGGGAAGGACAAGTAATGAACCCTCTTGGCAGACCACTGCAACCGTGAAACCAACCCCTGTTGATTAACTTGTCATCAACCAAGGCCAGCCGAACATCCCCCAGAAGAAGTCTTCCTGGCACCTCCCAGAACACCTGCCTGTTGATTACAGCTTACAGAAAACCACATGCCACAGATAGTCCTGGGAAATCCACACTAGGCCTAGGTGCAACAGAATGTGCCAGGTGGCCAGGCTGGCATAGGGTTGGAGTTGGAGATGCATGCAGGTAAACCTTGGAGGTGGGCTCTCAAGAGCCAAAAGGAGGTTGCAGCAGCATCCACTGTACGCTGGGACAGGACCACCAAGCCTAGCTACCCAGGGTGCCATTCACAAAGCCTACCACTGGGCTGGGCAGCGTGCAACCTATGTAACAGTCCTGACAGTCAGCCAAGGCTTCTGCCTGCCCATCACTGTCAGATAATCTTTTGCAGCCCAGCTACACCTGGCTAACTTAACCCGAGCGCGTGGGTCCTGGGGCACTGTGCAAGTTGAAACAAATGCAGAGTCAAGAAACTTGGGTTACAAGTCCTAGAACTGCCATTCACTTTATGTGTGTTTCTGAAAGTCACTTAAGTTATCTGTATCTCAGTTTCCCATCTGTAAGATGTGTGGGCTAGAATAATTCATTTATAACATCCTTTCTGCCTCTTAAGTTCTAGATTATTTGATTCTGTGATGTGACGAACAAACCAAAAACAGAGCTGTTAGGCCCCTGAACGGAGCCAGATGCCTCCCAGGCCCAGAGACATTCAAACGCAGGAGCCAGGGCCTGCTGTCCTCAGAGCACACCCACGGCATGGTCACTGCACGCATCCCAGTCGCCTGCAAGCCAGCGAGATCCATGCCCACCACAGGTGAGGGAGGGAGGCCAGCAGGAGGCACACCCTGGTGGGCAGTGGACAGCTGTGCATTGGCGACAGGCACCGACCACCAGCCCAAGCAAAGCTGTCCTCTGAGGCTGCGGTTCCCTGCGGTCTCTGTTTTGCCTGGATTCAGTCCTAGTGTGTTGAGGCCATTTCCTCACTCCTTCTTTCCTAACTTTTCTAAAACGGCTCCTTGGGAGAGTTGAGCTCCCCCATCAGCAGACACTTGGGTCTTAAGCAACCCTCATTTGTATTCCAGAGAAATCTCCCACGTCTGAGCACTCAGCCTGAGGCCTCCCAGACAGTACGAGAGCAGAAAGAGTGACAGCCTCTGAGAAGCACGTGTATGTGGGAGCTTGTGAGTGAGTGCGTGTGTGTGTATGAGTGTGAGAGCATATGTGTGTGTGTGTGAGAATGAGTGTGAGAGCATATGAGTGTGTGTGTGTGCGTGCGTGTGTGGTGATGGATGTCACCTATTCAGCTATAGAGCAGCCACATTCTCCCCACCCTCCCAGAGGCTCCTAAGTGGCGGCCATGTGGCTGAGCAAAGGAGAGGCGTGGGGCTGACCAGCAATAAAGGAGCAGAGGAGTGTGGGTGCGGGGGGCACAGGGTTGGGGGCTGGGGAGGAGCCTGCTGAGGTTGGTGATGTCAACCACAAAGGGCCACAGGCATGGGCCAGGGGAGAAAGGGTACTCCAAGCAGAGGGGACAGCAAAAGCAGAGGTCTGGGGTGAGGGAGTCCAGCACATTCACGGGCCTGCTGGGGGCCTGGCAGGGCTGGGGCGGACGGCAGTCTCAACATGAAAAGTGAGGACAAGGTAGAGAGCAGGAGACGGACCAGCTGAGGAGTTTGGACTTGACCCTAAAGCAACAGGGTCCTGAGCTGGGAAGTGACAAGGACAGCTATGGGTTATGGAGTGACCAGTCCAGCAGCCTGCAAGGCCACAGGATGGAGCTGGGGATGGATGCGGTCTTGGTGGTGTGTCAGATGTGGTGCTGGCCTTAGGGGTATGTGTGCTGGACCTCACTGTTCAGGAAGAACTGATGGGCTGCCTTCATCTTTTATACAGTGATCTCTGTGATTTGGTAGAGCTGGCAAAAAGAAAACTCTGATGCAATCTGCCTCTAGGTCTATCAGCTCCTGTGAGCCAATATTTAAACCCATGAGCTCAGGCTGGGGTGGTCAGACATGGAGTGCGGAAGAGAAAAGTGAAGTTTGAGAACACAGCACCAGACAGGGGCAAGATGGCCCAGATTCAGGGTCCGGGCAAGCCAAGTGAGGCAGCATGACACCACCCTTCCCAGGGCCTGGAGCTCCCAGCAGCAAAACCAACAGGCAAGAGGAGGAGACTGCCAGGATCCTGGCACCCTCCAACACTCTGTGACTCCATGCCAAGGTAAACTGATTAGAGACGCTTCCTAAGGTGGTGGAAAGGGACCAGTCCTTGGTTGGTGGCAGTGTAACTGGTACTGCTTCTGCAGAGAGAAACCGGACAACAGCCAAAATGCAGAATGCGCAAACTCAGCATCCCGATTCCTAGGTGTTTATCCTACAGAATTCCTCACCTGTGCACCCAAAAATACATGTACTAGGCTATTCACTACAGCATGTTTCTAAAACATGATCAGAAATGCCCTAGGTATACACCAGTAGAGAGCTGGCTTGGTAAAAAGGACAGGGAGGCCGTTTAACATGCAGCAGTTAGAATGAGGCTGCCTGCAAAAGACTAAGATGAGATCACTTCCAGGGCATACCGTACAGCCCCATTGTACAGGGGCTGTGCAGCGAGGAAGACTGTCTCTGTTCAGTCCCACAGAACCCCCTGGAAAGGCTCCAGGCCACTGGAACTGATGGCTGCCCCCCAAGATGGGAAGCGGCTGGCTGAGCAGCAGAGGGACTCTGTTCACAAACTTGTTCCAAATGCATGTGCCAGCTCGTTCAGGACTGCTGAGAGCCGAGCAGTGGTGCGCAGGGCAAGCCACACTTAGGATCCATCAGACTCACAGTCCATGTGCAAGCTGGTCAAACTCGGTGTCCCAGGCCCAACAAGGGGTAGGGGAAACGCTGGAGCCCTGGGAAGGGCTGGGGAAGCTTCCCTGGAGCAGACGCCAACAACAACCCATCCCCTCCCTGGTGAACAGAATGAATATAGAATAAGGGATTCAAAGCAACCAGGCTCCAGCCTCCAGGGTGAATGAACTGTACATGATTCTCCATTTCAGATTGGGGGAAGGCATTAAAAGGGGCTGTGTGGGGCGGAGCAGGGCAGGGGCCCGAGCACGCAAATGGGGCACCCTGAATGTGATTCTGCATGCAGACCCCACTGTGTCTCCTGTGGCCTGCAGGTCACAGGCACACCCATCCTGAAGGTGGGTGCTACCCACAATGGTCACTTCGGGTCATCCTCCCATGGGGGCTACTGAGGCATTACAGTGTCATGCTCCTCACTTAGCCGCCTGGCATGTGGTGTGAGCCACGGCTGGGAGAAACCACAGGCTCTCTGGGGGGGAAACTGTTGTTCAAGAGCCAGCAGGAAGACCCATGCAAAACAATGGTGTTCAGGCCAAAAAATAACCCTGACTGCTACAGAGGAGAGGGCTGGAAGGAAAGAGAACACTATTATTTGGAGACAGCAAACTCCCCCTTTTTCCAGGCCTGCCACTGAAAACAATACCTCCCCTCTGTCCCCAGATTTCACACCAAACTTTTATGAGCTTTCTCCACCTTCTGTCAGCGGGAGGCAGGCAAGGTGCCCAGCCAGAGCTATTCCCCTGACAAATGCCACATGCTGTGTCACAGCACCATCACACTAGTCAGGTCCTCTAGGCGACCAGGGAAGGATCCCGCAGGATGAAGGGACAGCTGGGATTTCCACGCAGATGGAGCTGGAAGGGGTCGGTCATCTGGCCCACTGTCACAGCTACCAGCTGAACAACAGGAGGGCAAGAAAGGGGCTGCCTGCCCAAGGTCACACGGAGCTGGGTTCCACCCACCTCAGCAGCAGCCCCACGCCCCCTAAGCACCTGTCTGAACCCCTACATGCATTCCCACGCACCTGCTCAGGTGGGCCTATGCAGCTGCCCCTCCCCTGTATACAATAATACACAGAAGAGCAGCTTCCCTACATCAAGGCCAAAGGTGACATGCCTGCTGGAGCCCCACCCACCCCACCCTGGCCCACAGTCGCCCGGCCGAGTCTGACTTTCAGTTCCCAGAATAAGCCAATGCCTCCTGGCAGCCCATGGGCTCCCCTGCCTTGTCCGTGTGATGCATTGCTGGGTTTGCAAATGTGACTCACAGCCAGCAGGGCTTACAAACTAGTGTCTGCAGGGAGAGAACAGTCATCCAGAATCAGGGCACAGTTTGCGGTGGTGCTGCTGACCTAGGCCAACTGGGTCACTGAGGCCAGAGGACCCCTGGGCTCCTCACCTCTGCATCCAGCCACCCGAGTCTTCTAGTTTCTGGTACAGGCTCTAGGTGCACAATAAGAGAGACAGATCCTGCTGCCAGGGGTGACCTGGCTACGACATCTACCCCGTGGATGACACTGGCCTCTGTTCCACATGTCAGCCATCCTCTTCAGTGGCTGCGGGCATGCTCAGAAGTGGGAGTCGTCCTGCCGCCCCAGGAGCTCCTCCCTGACCTCTGACTGCTGCAATGGGCAGGGCCCCTTCCTCCTCAGAGAGCTTGGGGACTAGAAAATGGCACGTTGTCTGTGGCTCAACTTGGGGCCATCAAAGAGGGGAGCTGGCACGATATTTTGTGTCCTCAAAGAGCTACCCAGCGCTCCCAGGAGGCCACCAGGCCCAGGCTCAGCCTGGCTCCTGCCAGCCCACTGCAGACAGCCCTATCCACCGTGCTCCAGCTGCACCCAGCTACTGCGGGTCCTTATGCCTCCATCCTGTTTCACTGAAGGGCCTGGTCAGGTGCTGCTCCCTTGCCTGCTCCCCTCCTGAGTGTCCTGCCCTTTAGGCCTCAACTCAATGTCAGCTCTTCAGAGGATCAGTAACAAGGACCTCCCTGTTCTCCCAGGCCTCGGTGTGTTTCTTCCTAGTACTCGCCATCACTGGGGCTGTGTTACCTTGTCCTCTATTTACCTATGTTTTGTTCCCATCATCCGATGCACTCACACTCAGATACAGCTCCAGCAGGGCAGGGGCTGCGTCCACCAGGTCTTATTCATTGTTGCATCTGTAATGTCTTTTAGGAGAACTCTGGCAGACAGTAAGTTCTCACTAAGACTTGCTGAATGAACATAATAGTTACTGATGAATGATCTCACAGATCAGTGGAGAGACAAACGGGTAGGGGCCAGGGCCAGATCCAGGGCTGGCTGCCAGGAGGCGTGGGAGGCCTGGGGCAGGGACCTATAGGGAGGGGCTCAGAGGATATCCTCATGCCTCACTCTGTCCATCCCAGAGGGCCGAGGTCAGCAGAGGCCCAGCGCGTGGTTTACCCGGCCGGCTGTGCTCTTGGCTGGTGAGGTGGCAATGGGATTTATTACATGAAGACAAAGGCAGACACAGTGGGCTTTATCACGGGCACACAGCCTGCACAGGCAGCACAGAAACACGTTGGGAAGTCATGCCACTCACACAAACCAGGAGGAAACAGAAAACAGGGTGTCCTTTCTGCCGCAGGTACTAATATTACTGAAGAAAAGAAGTGACAAGATGTTAGTCCTCTTGGTGTGTGATTCCAAACACTAAAACCCAGAAACTGCACCCAGTGGGGCCTCAGTGTCCACACAAAAATCAGAAACAACTTGACTGGCCCACCTGAGCTCTCAGAGCTGCTGGACCCATCTCTTACAAAATGCAGTGACGCTCGACCAGGGGTGGCATGGGCTCCCTCCACCAGGGAACATCTGGAGACATTTTTGGTTGTCATGAGGGGCAGGGTGGGGAGTGCTGTTGGCATCTGGTAATGAGCAGCCGGGAAGGCAACTAAGCACCCTGTATTGCCTGGGATAGCCCCTAGCAGTGCAGAATTATCCAGCCCAAGATGTCAATCATGTTGAGGTTAAGAAACCCAGAAATAATGTGCATAAAAGTTATTTCTAAAACTTTGGGGAAAATGTATTATTGATAAACATTGATATTTCTAAAACTCAACATGCCCCCAGACCTTGAGCTGAAAAACCCTGACCGTCCACACACAAGCAGAGGGGCTGCAGCCCACATGCTGGCTCAGAGCGCAGGCTTTGGGGTGCCCTCTCCTGCCCCTGTCCCAACTGGGCTGCACAAAGTCTAGCTCTGTTCCTGGTTGGTAAGAGGGCCACATGTCTTCCTGGGGACCAGGCTTGCTTTCCACAAGGGGAAGCAACTGCAACGGGCTAACGGCACAGAATGGTCCCACCCTCCCCGAAGCAGAAAGGGCGATTCCTGGCCTGGCATTGGTGCACAATGGACAGATTGTGTGGCTGTCTCCACCACAGGAGGAGTCGCCTATGACCCAGGGCAGCAGTCATCGAGAGGCTGACCTCACAGCAACCCCAGAACAGGACATGATCTGTTTCTCTGGGACCAGGGCTGCCAGATGCGTCCAACTCTGCCTCCCGTAGCATCTGCTGGCCAGCAGTCTCATCGTCACACGGCACCAGCTGTGTCAGAGGCAATCCCAGACGATGACCTCCTGCCAAGGTGGCCCTGAAATCACCAACCCTCACACCACCCACAGTGCCATCAGCTGTCACCAAAGCCCCTCCGAGCTATGATCCTGACCTTGCCACTTTCTACCTGACCCTGGGCAAGTGACTTAACTTCCCCGGGCCGCAGTTGTCTCCTCCTGAAAAATGGGGAAATAATTCCATTATCTCAGGGACTGAGATGGGGACCAAAGACATAAGAGATGAGAACGCCCGTGGCAGAATGGGTCACGTGGTACATTCTTAGAAAATAGGGAGCCCTCCCATGGCTCCCTGGTGACAACACAAACCCCTTCCCGGGGCCCATGGTTCTTACTCTGACCCCACTGGTCAGCAGGCACAAAGGCAAAGCCGACACAAGCCCACTTAGATTCTACGGTGTTATTTATCCTCTGATAGGTTTAGATGTTATCTTCCAAGTCGGACTCGAACACCTAGAACAACAAAAACCTTTGTTTCTTCTACTTCCTCTCCATCCCTGTGCTGGCGACTGCTCAATAAACATCAGGGGCCAACAGGGTTTGATTCAATGCAGCTGTGAAATCACATTTGTGGCAAACGTGAACCGCGGCCTTGGGTAGTCCTTTGGAGGCAGACGCAACAGCTCTGAAGGTGTTCTGTGCCATCCTGCACCTTCCCTATGCGGTAGGCAAGGGGACCGAGGCCCAGGTGGGCCAGCAGGTGAAGGGTGGGGCTAGGAACAGCACTTGAGTCCCTCTGACCCCCACCTGGCCCTGCCTTTTAGGCATTTCCACTGCCCTAGCACAGAATGCATCTCCCGTTTGGGGACACTTTCATAATCACTGCCTCACTGACTCCAATTAGGACTGAGAGCTCTCAAGTCAGCTGGGGCCACAGATAAGGCTGACAGAGTAGTCCTACTGTCACTGTAATAATAATATTGACATAAGCCACGGTGACTGATGGTTCACTAGGCGCCGGGCCTGTACTGAGTGGCTCGTACGCATCATCACACCCCAGGCACTCACAGTAAGCGTGGCTGACTGACCCTTACACACACGTGCACCACTCACACCATGCCAGGCATTCACAGTAAGCGTGGCTGACTGACCCTTACACACACGTGCACCACTCACACCATGCCAGGCATTCACAGTAAGCGTGGCTGACTGACCCTTACACACACGTGCACCATTCACACCATGCCAGGCACTAGGGGAATCGCAAATTTTAATTAGTTTAATGCTAACAATAACCCTACAAGGTATTTTAATTGTTTTTAAGAAGAAAAAGGAACTATGCAGTATTGGGTTCCCTTGCCTGTAGGGAGGTCCAGTGAGATGGATGAGTCCGTGTCACCACAGGGCAGACACTGAGAGCCAGCATAAGCCTCACTGCCTTCTCATCCCTCTGCCATGACGGCTGTCATTTCAGGCTGCAAAGCTGTAGTTAACCCTCCGTGACCACGTGGTGCAAGCCCAGCTAAGCCTGTGCTGGGTGAGGGGAGCTGTCTATCCCTGTGGCGAAGCCTGGCCTCGCTTGGCGGACTAGCAGGGAGGGCCCCAAACATCACCCCCTCCCACCAGCTCCCAGCCCTACTCACTTCCTGTCCCCTCAGGAGGATGGTGGGGTCGGGGAGGCACTACTGAAGGCTACACATGGTTTCCTTCCAGGGACAACATGAGAAGAACCAGTGTGGCCAAGTGTGCATTCTCTTCCGGCATCCTTCGGGGCAGGAGCTTCCTTCCCAGATCCACTTTAGATGATTACACACTGAGAGGAGCCAGGAGGTGAGTGCAACTTTGTCCTGTGTAGGCTGGGCAAGGCTCAAGCTGCTCAGAGGCCAGCCTTCATGGCAGCGGAGGGAGGGGATGCTCAGGACCACATGCAGGGGCACCTGGGGCTGAGGATGGGCACAACACTGAGCCTGGGGCCATGAGCTCCTTCTTCAACTTGGACGCACCTGGGCTCCAAAGAGTAAACAGTGTCCTCAGCTGCTCAGAGTTCATCTTGCACTGGCAATCTCCCCTTCCAAGCAGGGCCTCTCTCTTGCCAATTATATCTGATCATATCACCGCCATCCCCGCCCCACCCTCCCTGCAGGATAGAGTCCAAGCTGCACAGCCTGGCATGAAAAAGCCCTCAAGCTCCGGCCTTGCTGCTCCCTCTCCAACCTCGCTGACACCTGGAGACATCGCCGCACATGCCCATCAGGCAGCGCCATCTGCCTCATTAACGCTCCTGGCCTCCTCCCTCCCCGCTCCAAGCAGCCCAGCAGAGCCACGTCCTCCCTCCGCAAGGCCATCAGGGCACCCCATGAAAGGCCGCCCCAGCGCATGACCAGCACTGGGCATGCGCCGCCACCCAAACACTTAGGCACTGCAGGCGGCAATGGGAACACCAGCTGCTGGGAGCAGACACAATCCCTGCCGCAGTGAAGGGACAGACAATAGCCACTGATAAAGAATTACGAACTTCCGAAGGGCATGAAGGAAAAGTGCAAAGTTGGCAGGGCCTGGGACGAGAGATGTGTCATTAATCAGCTCACGAGGGAGGACATTTCTTGGGAAGGGGCACTGAGCTGACGGAACAGCTTGTGCAAAGGCGCTGAGGTGGACACACATCAGAGCCTGGGCAGCTGCTGAGGGGGCCAGGGAAGGAGCGGGTGGGGCAGATCACCGAGGCCCCATGGGTCAAGCTGGCAATCATGGCCTTCAGTGTCACAGCAATAAGAAAGCATGGGATGTTTTAAGCCAAGCTGTGCTGTGATCAGACCTGTGTTTTTCCTAACTCATCACTTTAGGGGCCGTGAGGTCAGTTCTGGGTCTGCCTGCTGGCCTCTCCTCCTGGCCAGGAGCTCGCGGGCAGGGCACCCAGCAGTGCTGCCGCAGAGGACACTCTCCTAGCAGTCTGTGTGCAGACCGGGAATTCAGGGGACATCTGAGGGACAATTACCGTCCTTCCAGCTGATAAAGACAGGGCAAAGGCAGCAGTTGAGACTGAAACTTCCTTCTTAGTCCTAAGCTTATTCAGGGAGAACCCCAGGAAGGTCCCCCGAGGCAGCCCCACATGGCCCATGGATCACAATCACAGCACCCCTTCAGGGGCAATTCCAGGGCTAGAAGGGGCAGCAGAAGAGGACGGTGGGCCCCTCCCTTCCCACCCTGCACCCACACCTGTCAGGTGGCTCTGGGCGCCACAGCGAGGAGAAGGCTCGTGTTGCCCCCCTGGGAAAGCCACTCACCAGGCCAGGAGGCCCCTAGTGTCCCCGAGCCTGAGGCAGGGACCCTCTCGGCATGCCGGCCCCACTTGCCCACGTGGGCAGGCCCTGGGGGCCCCTGCCTGGTTCTGCACACTGAGAACCAAACCTCAGGCAGAGCCTCAGGGGCAACAGGCTGCTGGCTCCACATGAACCTTGGAGCAGAAAAACAACTGAATCATCCCAATTGAGTCTCCAAGCCAAGCCATTTAGAAGCCAATCAAAAACACACAAAAAACAAACAAACAAAAACAAAAAAAATCCAAAACTCTGGGGCAGTGATGAAGGTTCTGTGACAAGCAGCTTTAATGTTCTGCAGTAAGCCTCTGGCCCACAGCCTCCACCTGCCCACCAGGGCAGCCAGAAGCAGGCACGGCCTCCTGGCTCTGGGAATTTCTTCCCTCCCTGGGGACCGGAACTTTCACAGAGGCAGCCCAGTGCAGTGCTCTGGGGCCCTGAGGAACATCTCAGAAATTCATTTTTCTCCACCCACACAGCCCCAAACCACTTCCTCCTCCCTCCCAGGACCTGAGTATGGACTGTGGAGAAGGCCCTTCAAGCTGAGTCCCTGCTGGGGCAAAGCATCTTGCCTCGGTTTCCCTGCTCACAACAAAATGGGAGGACCCCAGCTCTGGGTGCTGCTTCCCCTGCCTCTGCCTATAGCATCCCTATCCCTCCCAGTCCTCAAACCACACTCATGCCTCCTTGTTAATGTCTAGAGAATAAAATTTAAAACAAAAATCTGAAAACAAAGGGCACGACTGAGGTCAAGTGTCCGCCTCCCTGGGTCTATGTGGTCTGGCTCTGAACTTGCATCTTATGGCAGAGGGAAGGGGACGATCAATGCTGACAGCCCAGTGACCGGTGGTAGAAGGAAGCCTCTTCCCCAGCCCCCATCCCAGTGCCTCTCAGTCATTCTCTGTGCCAACCCTGCCTGCCTCCTCTCTCCTGGGGCCTCTGGAAAGTGCAGCCCCGCACCCTTTTCTCCAAAGGATTGTTCTCCTCACAAAGGAGGAAACTTCCCACCTTATCAGATATCCGGCCTCTTACTGAAGCACAGACGGTGATGAAAATTTATCCCAGAAATATCAGTGCTGGGAGGTTATGGTGAGGTCACGGCAACCATCCCCCAAGACCCAGACAAGACACTGCCTGAGAAATGCACCTGTGGCTGCCTGACAGCCTTAAGCCACAAGGCCCCATGCTGCCCTCCACACACGCTCCCTGTTAATATTGTTTTCTGCCCAGAAAAGGAACACAGCGGGCACTCTCATTCACTGTTTGGACATCACTTGCCTGGGCTGTGGGCTGTGTGTGTGTCTGGGAAGTGGGCAAGAGGGATAAGAGCTTGGGAGCAGATGTTCCAGAACTCCGGGCCCAGGCTAGCTGGGAGATGTGGTCTCTAGGAAGAGCAACCGTGTGGGTGTGATGAAGTGGCACTCAGCTACAATGGGCACTTTACACCCACAGGCATTTACTCCTCCCAGCAACCTGCCCACCCAAGGAGGAAGGAACTGAGGCTGTGGGGAGGCACGCGGTTCCTAAGTTTTGGAACAAGGATCTGCCTTGAAGACAGTTTGACTCCCAAGTCCTCCGCCTCATCCATCTCTGGAGAGGCCACACGACAGGTGAGGAGAGCAAGCTAGCGCAGGCTCAAATCCCACCTGGACCACTTTCTAGTTGTCCTGCAGCTGCTTCTTCCTCCACAGGACGGGAATCATTGAACCTTACAGCTCATGGGAGCAAGTGGGTCAACCGCCATGAAGCGCTTTCGAGCAGGGCTTGGTAAGCGGTAACTGCTCTGCAGTGCTTTCTGAGGTAACGGTAATCAGGCATCTGGAAGGCCATCGTCCCCCAGATGGACTCAGCAAGAGATGCACCATCCCTGCCCCAAAGGTCTGCGTGGCAGCCCAGGCATGGCTGTGCTCCTCCAGAGAATAAGCCCCAAGGGCACCACAGGCACATGAACTGGGCACTCAGGGGCCTTCCGAAGGAGACGGGGGTGAGGCAGGAGCAAATGGCTCAGGGGAGAGGAAAGTCGCTGTATGACTTGGGATCAGCTGGGACCACACCCCAGGACAGTTGTGTAGGTTGGAGGCAGAGAGGAACAGAAGAGCAAGCCCTCAGGATGAGCAGCGGCTCACCTGAGAAAGTCAAGACTGACCCCCGGCTCTGCTGGGTCCCTGTGGACAAGCTGCACATGCTTCCACGCCTCCACTTCCTGCTTATCAACAAGGCTGGTGAGTCTGCACTGAGGGCTGTGGGGATCAAATGTAGCACATGGGTGAGTGCTGATCAGCCCAGCCCTGGCACAGGGCAGGGACTCAGGAAGCAGCACATCACCAGGGCACACATCTCCTCTGTCTTGTTCCCCTCGAACCCCAGCACACTCCTCCCAACATGGTCTGAGCTTTTCTTATTCCTAGCACCCATTTTACAAATAAGGAAACTGAGGCTCCACGAGGTCACAGAGGAGCCCGACCATGTTTTTCCCACAGTCTCCAGTCCGATCAAGGAGACAGTGTTCAGCAAGTGGAATGGACTTGGGGCCACTGGCAGGGCAGACGCCCTGGAGGGCACAACGTGGGACATGCCCTGCCCCCAAGCAGGGGATGCCAGGAGCAGGCTGCCTCTGTGTCCGGGGCCACTTCCTGGTGGGAAGCAGGAATGTGCAGCAGGGAGTTGGCCAAGGAACGGGGTGAGAGCCCCAAGGAAGCAAGGGGGGCCAAGGCGGCTGACCCCGAACACACGGGGAGAGAACAGTGTCGGCAGGACGGCAGCACCGGGTGACTAGGAGGCGGGTAAGATTCCCTTTGTCCTGGTGAAGAAAAGCAGGGCACCAAATCTGCGCCTGTCACACGCTAGAAACCCCATCTCAGGCATCCCCATCCCACTAGGCACACCTGAAAACAGCTACCATCTTGACTGCACTTTCACTGACAATACAACTTTGTTTTTCATGACCTCTGAGCCGCTTTCTAGAGGACAGAATCACGTTCTTGTCCACAACAGAGAGAACACAGGACAAGTCAGTAGCCAGCATGAGAACCCCAGGGCAGTGGGCAGGTCACTGTGCGATCAGGACCTGGGAGGCCGCTGGGGAAGTGGTGTGGGGAGAGGGAAGCAGCCAAGGGACTCAGCAAGATACCTCAGGCCATGCTCAAAGGTGAGTACCCAGGTCAAAGTAATGGGCAGAGGCAGGGTTCTCCACCAAGGCAGGACTCAGTTCAAAGGCCCTCGGGGGTCCCCTTTACCAAGTGCAGCAGAAGGGTTCCATCCCTTGTGCCTACCTGAGCCAGGGGAAAGGGTTGCACATGCCTGTGCTGAGGACGTGGAGGCCACACTGGAACTCAGCGATGCCTCATCAGTAAACCGTGTCTACACAGCCAGGGGGTGGAGACGGCCCAACCATGCCCTGGTTCAGTCCCCACGCTACACCCGAGGACACTGACGCCGCACAGAAGTACCTGCCCACGAGCCCATGTCTTGCCAGTGGCAGAGCCATTTCTCCAGACTATACCTCCAGAGAGCTGCTACCGCCCTAAATACACACACGGCCATTCCAGGGCCTCCCCTCCTCCTCCTGAAAATGCCACAGCCAAGGGCTGCATGGTCCTCACTCACCTGGAACCTGTGCACCAGCTCCAGGGACTGGCTATCATTCTGGTCGGCTTCAAGGATGACGTCAGTCAGCTTGTGGATGATGACGTCCAGGGGGCCCTGCTCCTCGATCGGCCGGCTAAGGTTCAGCTGTGAGGCAGGGAACACAGACAAAAGCAACAACTTCAGCACCTGAGTCCACTGCCCCCATCCTCTTGTCCACCCTGGGGCATATCACCAGAGGACCCTCGAGCCTCCCTGTAGCACTCTGGAGATGGGGCAGGAGGAGGGCTGACATGGAAAATACAGACAGGACAAGCAGGACAAACCCTCCAAGACCCCACAACTCTTCTCTCCTGCTAACTCCTCAAGGGCACACCCCACGTTTGTAACTTCTGTTCCCCAAGCCCCATGCTACCCAGGATGCAGAAGACACATAAGAGGAATCAGGGCAATAGTGTCAACAGGCCAGGCAAGTGATGCTGAGAAATGGCTTTACAGAGAAAGGCTTTTCTCAACACACCCCATCTGCCCTAGGAAAACTAGGGTTCCAAGGGGTTATGTAAATGACTAACATCGCACAGCCAGATCAGAACTTAGATCTAAGTGGATACTGCTTCTGCTAATCTATAAAAAGCCTTAGCAAAGCTGTGGTCCTCAGGAATCTAGAAATTGCCGCTTTGAGCGACCAGCCACTTGCACTTCACACTGAAATCTGGGCTCATCGGGAGAAGCGAAGGCGCGTAGGGCTGCCTGCAATCTGTTCCATACTGCTCTCCTGCTATGCCAGGGAAGGTGTTTATTTTTGCAAGTGCCTGAGGTTGGGAAGATCAGGCCCCAAGAGAGCCAGAGCCTCTGGCCAACAGTCAGCGTCACCTGACCCCAAGACAGGAGCACCTGCCAAAAGCCAGGGCAGCCTGACCCCCGCTTCCTGACCCGCCACATGTCTCCCTCCCGGCACGCGGCCACCACCACCTGCAAGGCCAGTGCCTCGGAGGCAGCGGCGCCAGCCCGGCACCTGGCTGACCCCCAATCTGGCCTTAGCAGAGGCCAGAGAAGGCCACAAGCCCCACCCCTGCTCTCATCCCCACCCCCAAGTGGGTTTCCCTCCAGGATTCAAGGCTGACTGTTTTAAAAATGTTACGAAAGACATCATAATGACAACTACAAATGGTCACTGGCAGTGGGCACCACGCTCAAAGCTTGCGTGCATTTCTTTCATTGTATTTAACAACCACTATGAGAAGTGATTTTACGAATGAGAAAAGTGGAGGACGGAGACTTTTAAAACCTGCCTAGGGTCTCACAGCAGGAAGGCGGTGAAGTGGGGACACAAACTCAGATCTAAGGCTGCGCTTCTCACTCCATTCCCCGCTGCCTGCCCCTGCAACCCCGCTCCCCACGCCTGCTCTGTGCCCTAGGCAGCTGTCCTCTCAGGCCACAATCACCTGGCTGCCTTGTCCTCTGGCCAAGTCGGGCCAACTGGAGGCACAGCAGAAGATGGGCAAGAAGGAGAGAGGGAGGGAATGTATTTGCAGCATCCTCACGCCCCCACCCCCTGCCATATTTCTGGCAGCAGTCACAGCCCCCATGGAGCAGGGCAGCCCCTCTCTCAACACTACCGCCTCCCCTATGGCTCCAGGTACATTTTTGGTCCCCTAGTCCCCTCAGGCCTAGGGGTGGTGACAGCTCTCAGGGCTTGTTAGCACCGGGGAACTTTGTCCTGTGCTGGCTCTCGGGCCTGCCCACACCCTGTGATGGTCCCTTACTAAACTCCTCTCCGTTGCACCCCCGGAACGCAGCAGCTCTTGTCTGCTGGTGTCTTTAACTCCTCTTTCTTACTGTTTGCCAGGAAAGATGTTAAGGGATTTCCCCTATATAGAAAAAAAAAATATCCTTTAGACCTCACAATAAGAAACTACTAAGGAATGCTGTTCCCTCCCCATGGTGACAGGCCTGTGTACAAAACAACATAAAATAAAACCAAAACCAGGCTAGCTGAGAAGCTGCCCATCTCTGGGGCTCTTGGGTGAGGAAGGGGAAGGGAAAGACACTTCCCAATATCTCCTGAGACTTGGCGCCGGCTCATCCTCACGGCAAGCCCAGGGGCCGGGGAAGACGCTCCCTGCTGCAAAGACCAGGACACCAACGGCCCAGGAAGGAAAATGACCAAGCAAGGCCATGCAGGTGAAGCGGCCAGGATGGAGGCTGTGCAGCAATGCCCATGTGTCAGTCTCCATGAGCAGCCCGCTGACCTGGGCTCACCATCCCCTGGGGCCTCAGTTTCCCCTTTGATAGAAACAAGAAACTGCAAGAGCTTTGATGGCTCTCTTCACAGATTCCAAATTACACTCCACCCAATACCTCTTCCCAGAAAAAGCAGACTCTGAAGGAAGGTAGAGAGGCCATGGGCAGAGAACACTGGGCTCTCAGACAGAGCCAAACACCAACCCATTTCCACTACAGCCTGTGGCTTCGGTGGGTCAGGCACCACAAACGAGAGGCCAAGACAGCTACGAGCGCAGGGGGAGCCGGGCCACAGGAGCGACGCATCCGGGCCCACAGAACCCCCATGCCCACCAGCACCCACATCTCCAGACAGCCCTCCAGGTTTCCCTGCCTGGGAGAAACTGTGGGGTTCCCTTGGCGCTGGGGAAGGAGGTGAGCAGAGGGGACGCCCTTGGTGTCCTCCCCTGGCATCAGCCTGAGGCCCGTAGACCTGACAACCGCAGCTGTTTGGAAAATAAGCTCTCCGCATCCCCGGCGCTCCACTGAAGGTAAACAGCTGAGCTCTGGAAACGGGCCACCCTCCTTTGTGTATTTTCCAAGCATTTTCATGCCAGTAAAACCCTTCTGTGAGAACAGCAGCTTGGGACACACATCAGGCCTGGGCTGCTCTCGGGTGCGGCCGCCTCTCGCTGTGGCGTCTGTGCTGGGTACCAGCAGGGCTGCTGGCAGCTCTAGTGGCTCTTCCTCAGGTGCCTGACATGCCACAACTGCCCTGAAGGGGTCTGTCCCCTGAACACACTGCAAACAGGCTGCGGTCTCCCTCCACTAGCTAGAAAAGAGATGGGCCCTTGGGTGCGGCCCCCACAGGAGAAAGGGCCCAGCTCCTGAGACTGGGGAGGCCACGGAGAAAAGGACACTGTGCAGGGGGATGCCCGGGGGGAAGGACACCACAGAGGCAGGTCTCCCAGATGCGATGGGGACAGGAACTCATTTCAAGGTTGTCATTCTGCTTTTCTGACCACACTCTGCCCCCAGAAAAAAGAACATTCCCAGGGACTTCTTGTTCTCCTCAGAGGACGGGGTCTGGTTTGTCCCTCCCAGCAGGAGCAAGGGTGTCTCAATGAAAGGCTGCCCGCCGGGGCCTGAGGTCTGTGGGCACTCCGTTTCCAAGTCATGCCATCTCGCAGGGCCCATGCTGGATCCTGCTCTGTGTGGCGCTTGGAGTTCAGAACTCAGAGAAAACAAGGGGCCACTGTTTCCCTCAGGGACGAAGGCAGAGACTTACTAGAGGTGGGGGCAGGGCTGGGAGACGGCACAAAGGCCTGCAAACCCCAGTGGCCCCAGAGTCCTCTTTGACTTCCAAAATGATTAACCCAATCGTACCCAGCCTGGTAACCAAGCTGAGCTAGGCCCTGACACTATCCCTGTCTCTCCCAGGATCTGGAACTGGGGAGGGGTGGGCCAGGCAGACAGGCCTAGAAACCCATCTCCAATCCACTGCTTCTGAACAAGAGCAGGTCACTGAGCTGTGTGGTACCTCAGTTTCCCCAGTCATAAAATGAGGATGCTACTCACCCTTCCCTGCACCTCACAGGATTGTTATGAGTCCCAGAGCAAAAGTTCAATCCTCTTTCACATTTCTCAACTCACCTCAGCCCAAACAGGAAGAATTAGTGGCTCCCTTGTGTTGCCCACAGCCCCAGAACCCTTTGCACGTCGCTCCAGGATTGCACCGTAACCCCAGTTATGATGCTGATTCTTTAATCCACTGTCTCCTGCTCCTGCGCTGGGGGCTGCTCTTCCCCCACGGTATCATATAATCTTTCTGACCCAATTCCTCAATTTCTCAGTAACTGGTTTCCAATTACTCAGATAATGGGGAGGGCTGTGTGGCCACCGCCCTCTAGGAACCTCAGTTTCCTTGTCTTTAAAGCAAGAAGCCTCGCGATCCCAGCACTAGCACCCAGCTCTTGCACACTTGCTCGGTGCCAGGCTCTACTCTAAGCACTTCACATGCACTGAGTTGCTCAATTCTCACAATAGTCTGAGACGGGGACTCATGAGAGGCACAGGGTGGTTAAATAACATGTCACAGTCTCACAACTTCACACTCACTCTTAGCAGTACCTAGCCAGTGACACTCAATAAATGTCAGCTATTGTATTTCCCTATACTTACTATTCTTATTATTACTGACCAGTGGAAACTTCCGAAAAGTTTTGTCCCAACCAAGCTTGAGACAAAATGGCCCCAATAAAGGGTGAGAGGGCTGAAGTCTGACTTATTCCTCTGCCCTCTCCATGGATCTGAGAATCTGGGACAGAACTGCCATTGCCAAAGTTCAAAGGCCTTGCCAAGCAGAAGCAGGTCTCTCCAGAAGGGAAAGTCAGATCTGGGAACCTCATGGACAGACTTCCAGAAGGATGTTGGGGCCGGACATAGTGGCTTGTGCCTGTAATCCCAGCACTTTGGGAGGCCAGGTGGGCCGATCACTTGAGGTCAGGAGTTTAAGACCAGCCTGGCCAACATGGTGAAACCCTGTCTCTACCAAACAATACAAAAATTAGCCAGGTGTGGTGGTGTGCACCTGTAGTCCCAGCTACTTGGGAGGCTGAGGTGGGAGAATTGCTTGAACCCGGGAGGCGGAGGTTGCAGTGAGCCGAGATGATGCCACTGCACTCCAGCTTGGGCGACAGAATGAGACCCTGTCTCAAAAAAAAAAAGAAAAGAAAAAGAAAAAGAAACGAGCTTGGCCTCAGAGGACTCCATGCCAGTGGTGTGTTTTCAGTGGGTTTGATTCCAAAGGAAGACTGGAGAAGAGGAGATGGAGTCTTTTCCCTGGCAAGAACAACTCTCATTCTCAAAGGTGCTCCAGAGAGGTCAAGAGCTAAAGGTCATTTGGGGCTGCCACCAAGACCAGCAGGCTGGGACAAGGATGGTACTGGTCACCCTAGCAGCCTCTGCCCCAGGCTGGGGAGGGAAGCTGTTGAAAATGCTCTCTGACCCAATTCCCTGATTTCTGAGTAACTGGTTTCCAATTACTCGGATAATGGGAAGAAACGGCAAACTCGTGAAGGCATAAGAGTGGGTAACTTTTCTCCCTAGAAGATAAAGGGTCAAGACAACTAAATGGCCTGAGGATGGTGCTACCTTGCAGAGCCAAAGTTCTGGGAATTTACGAGCTGACATTAGACCCAGAAAAGCTACACCCATTCAGCAAGCACAGCTCCTTAAGAATAGGACTGACCCTGAGTTCTCAGGATGGGCCAGTCCTGTTCTGCGTTCCCAACACTGGGTGCTGGAAGGCCAGGTCCAAGAGCAGGCAAAGGATAAGCACACCCACTCCCAGGATGCTGGCCTAAGGAAATGATCAACAAGTGAAGGCCACTTCTGGCCTAGGGAGAGTCACTGACAACATATTGACAAGAGAAAAGACACAGAGAGCATGTGTGAAAACGGGGTGCTGGCTAATGCTGGGCATGCCACCACAAAGGGCTAGTCAAGAGCCACTGAGATGGTGTGGCTGGGCACAGTGGGGCACACTTGTAATCCCAGCTACTCATGGGGCTGAGGTGGGAGGATCATTTGAGCCCAGGAGTTTGAATCCACCCTGGCCAACATGGCAAGACCACATCTTTTTTTTTTTTTTTTTGAGACAGTCTCGGTCTACCGTCGAGGCTGGAGTACAGTGGCATGATCTCCACTCAGTGCAACCTCTGCCTCCCGGGTCCAAGTGATTCTCCTGCCTAGCTTCCCAAGTAGCTGGGATTACAAGCGTGCACCACCACACCCAGCTAATTTTTGTATTTTTAGTAGAGATGGGTTTCACTACTCATCTCTACCAGATGTTGGGCAGGCTGGTCTTGAACTCCTAAACTCAAGTGATTCACCTGCCTCAGCCTCCCAAAGTGCTGGGATTACAGGCGTGAGCCACTGTGCCTGGCCATATCTCTTAAAAAACAACAAAAACAAAAAAACAAAAACAAAGAAAAAAACAGTAACTGAGATGACAATGAAGAGGTCTTGATAGAGATAAGAGTAGGTGCTTGAATTACAACCACATGAACCAACATTTACTGTGGAAAAGGCTGATAAGAAAACCCAGAATATGAAAATAAAAGGACTGTGGGTATAGCAGCCCCTTTTCTGTTTTTGCTTGTTTGTTTGTTTGTTTTGTAGAGATGTGCTGGGTTTCACCATGTTTGGCCAGGCTGGTCTTGAACTCCTGATCTCATGTGATCTGCCCGCCTTGGCCTCCCAAAATGCTGGGATTACAGGTGTGAGCCACCGCACACGGCCTATCAGCCCCTTTTCTGGACACAAGGCAGGACTGCACTTCCTGATTCCCTGGTAAATGGGTGATCATGTGACTCGTTCTGGCCAATGAGCTGTGAGTGAAAACAGAACATGCCGTTTCCTGGGCAGAGCATGTAACTGCAGGAGTAAGGTCTCCAGAGCCCTCTCTCCCCTCTGGTGCAGGACCAGCAACCTTCCAGATGGGGCTGCTCAGTTTTAGATCTCTGAGTGAATAAGATGGACAGAGCCCCCAGCTGGCCCTGTGGACATGTGGCATGAGTGCGGAATAACCCACGGTTTTCAGCTAAGATTCTGAGGCTGTTGGTTAATACAGCACAACCAAATCTGTCCTCATAAAATAGCTGGTCCCCCTACCCCAAGCTTTTCTTTTTCATTTGTTGAAACAAAGGAAGGATGGAAGGGAAGGGAAAGGGAAGGGGAGAAAAGCAGATTAAGGCAAACAGGCCCCGACAGGTAACTGCAAGGTTGAGAACAGGATTTAGCTATGATTTTTTTCACATTGTAGTTTATTAGTATTTGGATGAGAGAGGAATGGGGATTTATCCTGTAAGGGGAAGATAACTTGTCAGAGCCCTTAGGAGCAAAAGGCAGGAGCCTTGATAGAGCCACATCACGACGTGGCTATTCCCCAGCATCCTAGGAAAGCTCACCCCTAGCAGTCCCCTCAACCTGCCAGATGAGTCCCTCGATCCCGTGCATCTTGGCCAAGGGGCTGCTTCATCTGTGTTATTGTTCACAGTGGCACCTGAGAGGCCAGAGTCAGAGCTGATAGGAGCTAACCCCTCCCCTCTGTTGCCAGGCACCAATCTAGTCCTGTCCTGGGGGGAAAGTACGAATCACAGGCTAGCAGAAAAAGAAAAAAAGGGAGCATAAAAGGGCTGGCAGGTCTGGATCCACAAGGTGGGGAGTCAGAAGCCACGTAACAAAGCCTGACCGCCCTGTGTGTGTTGCGGGGAGAGCGGAGAGGATCCCACACATGAACCTCCTGTTGCCAGGCCTGGAGGAAGGAACTCGCGGAATCCTCTTGCCCACAGCACTCCTCCATGGCTGGCCAGTGCTCTTCTTCCCAAGCCACCTCAAGCACAGAGGTGCTCCCTCCCCAGGCAGAAGGATGCCCAGGGGTTAGAGGGCAGGGGCTGAGCCTCCAGCTGTGCAGCCTGGGGAAGGGCACATCCCTCCCCTCCCCAAGCCTGCTTCCTCGCCTGTGGAGTGAGGGTAAAGAAATATCCTTCCTATAGTCGCGATGAGCACACAGCCAGGGCCAGCCATCGATTACCTCCCTCTGTGACTAGAGCTGACCATGCTGTACAGGTGTCAGCAAATAGGACTTTCTTCCTCACATGAGGCTGGATGTTCTCTGGCCTCAGCGGAGGCCTTTCTGGCCTTCTTTGGCTTTCCACCAGCATGATTCTGATAATCACCTCCACCAGAACTACCGGGACCCTTATATTCCAGGTGCTGCAGTGAGCAAATGACAGACCTAATCTCCTTAGCACATAATCTCCATGTCCTTAGGAGGCAGAGGCCACTGTCACCATTTTACACATGAAGCAAGGAAGTCAAGAGGCAAAACAACCGAACTGAGGCTGTATAACCAGCAAATCTCCCCCAACACCCCCAGGTCCCTGTGGCTCCGGGACACAGGCTCCTGAGCCTTCTGCCTTCATCAGGAAGGGGAGTGGGCCGACAACACAGCTGGCTAGACGTCCTTTCCTGATGTGCAGGGATTGAGGCTGGGGGGAGCTATCATGTGGTCCGAGATACAATCTGAGGGGGCCAGAGGCAGGGAAGCACCCACAAGCACAGCGTCAACAACCCAGACTTGCCCCAGTTCCAGGAGAACAGGACAATTCTGAAATCCTAGCTGGCAGGCCTCAAGTTTTCAACCACAACGCCATCTCCTGAGAGCCACCTGGGTCAGGAAGCGAGAACCTGTCCAGGGCTGGAATCAGGGTCTTTCCATCCTGCCGGCCACCGACACAGCACACCACTGTCAGCTTTGCAGAGTTCTCCAAGATGAAGGGCCTGGCACTGGCACCCCAACCCGGAAATCAAGAGCAGGAATGGAGGCTGTGGGGGCAAGCAGACAGTGGTAAGGCCTGCCTAGCGCCGCCCACGTTGCTGTCTTTCTACTTTAGTTGTGGTGGTTTTGCCAGGCAGAAAATCTTGACTTTTCTGTAATTCAAATGTATAAATATTTTCATCTTTTGATCTTTGCTCCCTAGACTGTTTTTTAAATCAGCCCACGGTTTTCTCAACTATTTTTACATTTTAAGTTTTTATCATTAAATCTTAAATCCACCGGGAGTTGTTTCAGTGAAAGACTGAGGTGTGCATCTGTGTATGTTTTCCTCCGGATGAGCACTCCAGTGTCTCAACAACATTTACTTACCCATCTTTTACCCACTGTTTGCAAATGCCAATATTTTCATAATTCTCACATTTTTTGGACTCTTCATTAACTTGTCTTTCACCAATATCACAATGATTTCGTTTGGTTTTCTTTTTCCCACATTGTTTTAATTACAATTGCTTCATGATAAGCTTAATACCAATAAGATCTAGGTCCTCCCTTTTTCACAATTTTCCTGACCAGTCATGCTCATTTATTTTTCCTACACATCCTTAAGAACAGGACTTGGAGCTGGGTGTGGTGGCTCATGCCTGTAATCCCAGCATGGGATTGTTGGAAGGTTGAGGCAGGTGGATCGCCTGAGTCCAGGAGTTTGAGACCAGGCTGGATGACAGAGTGAGACCCCATCTCTAAAAATATAAAAAATTAGCCGGGCTGGTGGTGCACACCACGCCCACGCCTGTCATCCCAGCTACTCAGGAGGTTGAGGCAGGAGGGTGGCTTAAGCACGGATTGCGCCACTGCACTCCAGCCTGGGTGACAGAGTGAGGCCCTGTCTAAAAAAAAAGAAAAAAAGAATAGGACTTGGATGGAGAATTACTTATATTTATGTATCAATTTAAGGAAAACCCATGGTTTGATCATGAATCCTCTTAGCCAGGAACACCACGTATTATATTTGCAGCTTATATCACAAATGACTAATCTCTCTCAAATATATTAAGATCCTACAAACTGATTTTTTTAAAAAGAAAACCTAACACAACAGAAAACATGAACAAAAGATATGTTTGAATGTTAAGTACAGAAAATTAACTACAAAAGGCTTCCAACATATAAAAATTAGAAAATACTCAACCTCATTCATACAACAAATGCAAATTACAACTACATTATGATAACCATGTTTTATGTACCAGATTGGTGAAAGTCAGAGAGACGGATAACAGACTGTATCGGCCAGGGCTGGGGGGATGCAGATTCAACCGTCTCGACGGCAGCAAGTTGGTAATATCCATCACAATATAAATGCATAACCTTTCTCGTCCAGGAGTCTCACTTCCAGGAGCTGATCTCACAGGGTGAACTCACCCACATATGCACTCACACACATTGCTGCACTGTTTGTAATCGCCAAAAATTAGTAACTAAATAAAAGTCCAACAAGAAGGGACTGAATCACTTATGAAGATCCATATGGTGGAAGACCATGCTGCCACAGAAGAGAACGGGGAGTGCTTTCTGTGGTGACGTGGAAAGATCTCCAAGAAGGGGCCGATCACTGAGTATACCATGCTAGAATATGTATGGGGAGGGGAAAAAAGGGTTACACAAAATCAACATGTGCTTGTACAGTAAGTCTTCACTGAACATTGGGGATAGGTTCTTGGAAAGTGCAGTATCAACTGAATTGTACAGCAGGTCCTTAAATAACATCAATTCCTTCAACGTCACTTTTTTATAACAGTGAGAAAAAAATTGGTTTCATTATATATTTCATTTAAAGGCACAGTCCTCAAGAACCTATCGAAGACGTTAAGTGAGATCTTACTGGATATGCACAGAGTATCTTGGGATGTGCACTAGAAACTGGTCAGAGTGGCAGCCACCACAGGGGAGAGGACCAGGGGGCTTGTGGGATCAGGGTGAAAGGGAGACTGCTCATCATGTGCTCCCAGAAATTTAAAACCAGTGAAATGTCTTATTTACTTACTGAAAGTTTGTAAATTACCAACTGAGCAGTCTCTAGGAAGAGCACACGTTTGGAGTCTGAGAGTCAGACAGGCTTAGATTCAAATCCAGCCAATAACTAACATCCATCGAGCACCTCTGTGCACCCAGCCCAACTCTACGCACTTCACATGAACTATCTCACTTAATCATCTCAATGACCCCATGAGGCAGAGCCAATTATTATTCCCATTGTACAGATGGGGACACCAAGGCAACTCGCCTTCATCCACACAGCTAATGATGAAGGAGCTGGGAGGGGGCCAGGGAGGCAGACTCTGGGCTAGACAACTGGAGAACCACACTCCAGATGTTCCAACACAGGGACACGTCTACAACATGTGCACGCACGTGGACAACTGTGTACACGTGCCTCAGGACTCCTCTGCAGATCTCAGAGCCCGTGCACTAGTCACTGAGTAAGCAAGACAGTCATCAACAGAAAACAGAAATGATTTCTGCTGCTGTCCAACTGGTGCCCCCATTCCCACCAAATGGCACACGTGACAACCTCAGTCTCACCCAGGGCCACCTGACCCAGCTGCTTTGGCTGAGCACAAGGGGCTCACTGAAAACCCTTCCCTGCTCTCAGTGCCCAAGGAATCCTGGCTCTCCTCTCTCCAACCTCTGCCCTGAGGCTTCAGTACTTTCCAAGTCACCCAGAGAGCAGTGGGAAAAAAAGGGGCTGGTCCTTGGCTTTCTGCACTGAGAGGACCTCTGTGGGAAACCGGCACTGTGGGTCCATGCACCTGCTGGCTCCCGCCAGAAACCCGGAGGCTGCTCTCCCACAGCCACACGCCCAACATGCCCTGGTTCCCTTGCACACGCACAGGAGCCACAGGACGCGTCCTGGCCAACAGAATGGGAGCAGACGTAGTGGGTGCTTCCAGGCCAAGCTAGTTCAAGTGTATGATGAACAGCGTGCCTTCCCTAGACCCCATTCATGTGGCTGACGAAAAAGACTTGGATGACAGAATAACCTGATGGAGTGAACACAGATTCTTGAGTCACTGCTTGGAGAGGCCGCTGGTCTCCACTGGACTGTGACATGAGCCGGAAACCAACCCCCAGAGGTACAGGGCAGCCTGTTCTAACACCTTCGCTCAGCCTGTTGACGAGCTCTCCAGCCAGGACAATCTCTCCCCAGGCACTGCTCACTGTGTGCCCACGCCAAGGATGGCTTTGGAACTCAAGTCCCAGATACTGGAAGCAATGGAGGGGTGGAGGCAGCTGTGGGCAGACCTGGGCCTTCAGTCAGTGATCTTCAACCCCCTTGAGACACTGTTTCCTCACTGGTACAATACAGCCGATGACAGCTGCCATCAGCATTCCACGAGACAGTGTTGGTGAAGCCTTAGCACCAAGCCTGGCCCAGAGCAGGCCCCCTGCAGGCACCTCCCCAAGCGGATGTCAGCTCTCAGACCCTCCGGAACCTCAGCAATCACAGTTCCCATTGGATCTCCCACCTCTAACGCCAAACAGTAACCGCCTTCAGGTTCAGCTTCGGCATTTCTAAGCCTCAGCGTCCCAGGCACGATGATGGGGCTGTGGCTCCTCCCTCCCATTGAGAACACTTCACTGCCTCCTCGCAGTGGTGCCTACTCAGGGAGAACAGAGACGCTCAAGCTGACTGAGCTTACGTGGCTGATGAGTTGCAGAGAGTTCTCCTTAGCCTGTGCCCCCTCCCTGAGGACAGGGACTATGTCCTATTCCTCCCCGTGGCCCCTGTGTGGCCTGGCATCATGCCCAGTTGTTCTAGAAACCAGCCAACATGGACTGAATTGATTCCCCAAAGCTGGAGGGATTCATGCCATTCACCTATCCATACAGTATATATTGGGCATTGGGCATTTCCATAACCACCCTCCAAGGACATGTTATCCCTGCTTTGCTCCGAAAAAAGGACATGATGAGATGAGGGAACTCGTGGAAGGTCACTGAGAGTAAGCGGCAGGCCCATGTTTTCTTACCACTCCCTTCCCTAGAGCCAACACCTCACACTGCCCGCCCCTCACCTCCACCTGGGGTCTGGACCCTTGGGGACCCTGAGCTTAGTTGTGTCTGTGTTGGACTCTGGAGGGTATGGTGGGAGAGGTGAGAATCTTCAGGTTAAAGAATTCCACGATGTCCCAAGCAGCCCCAGGAATAAGCCACACATGCCCTGGGCCTAGCAGGGTAAGAAAAATAAAGCCGTCTCTGGGCAACAGAGCAGGCAAGGACACCCGAGCCACCCGAGCTTCAGCCCCAGGGTGCACCTTGCAGAGAGGAGACATGGGCCCCAGGAAGCCCAAAAGGCACAGAGGCTCCAGGCAGCTGTGCTTTTAGCCAAGCCGGCAGGCCACAATCTTTGAGGGCTGAAGATGCCACAGCTCTGACAACAAGCACACAAGGCAGGAGATGAGCCACCACCCTTGGTCACTGGCACGGCTTCCTGGGCATGACTCTTGTCCTCCCAAGCAGGCCATGAGCATCTTGCAGGCCCCTTCCTCTACAGCCAAGCATAGTAAGGATCAAACAGTCACAGACACTGACCCTCCCAGGCCCAAGAGAGTGGACAAGGCAAGGGTAACAAAGGAAGCCACTGACAGTCCCCAGCAGATTGTCTTCGGTGCACCACATCTGACTGTCCCAAAGCTGTGGCGAGGGATGGATTTCTATCTGAGCTCTCAGCCAGATGAATTCAAAGGCTGCTACCCCCTTCCAGAAACCCAGCTACCCTGTCTCTCTGCACTTCCCACAGAGGATTTCAGATCCAGGACTGCACCACCTGGATCCCAACTTCCCTCCCAGATGGCAAGCACGAAGTTAGCGCGCAATGCAGGCTGCACTCCCTTCCAACTGCCAACATGGGAACTGAGGGTGTGAGAGCGGCACCCCGCATTTACACTCAGTAGAGCTGACTGGGGAATGTGCAAAAATAAAATGAGGTGACACGTCCCACTTGACAAATGCTGAAAACATCAAGAATGCAGTCACAGCCACCCTTCTTGCTTCTGCCCTTTATCCAAAATGTAAATAAAAGAGAAACCGTTACTGCTTCATGAATCACACACAAAAGCCTGTTCTTTACTCTCCTCTGGTTTTCTCAAAGCCTCAGTTTGTGTGAGTGATGCATGGGAAAGACAACAGGACTTGTTTTCTTTTCTTTCTTTCATTCATTCATTCATTCATTCATGCACTCATTCATTGAGTAATTAAGTGAACAGAGTAAGTTTGTGCCTAGCATTGCTCAAGCTCTGAAGATGCAACGTGAAGATGACCGCCAGGTCCCTGTCCTCAGTGCTCATACTCACAGCCTAGTGTGGGAGACAGACAACAAACAAGCAAAGGAAGCGACTGGAGGCACCACCGAGGGCTGCAACATCAATGAAGTGCAGAGGGCATGATAGGAAAGGGGGGCACTCGTCAGAGAAGGCCTGGTACAGGCTAAACTGTGTCCCCAAAAAACGGTATGTTGAAGTCCTAACCCCTAGTACCTCAGAACGTGACCTGGTTAGGAAATGGGGTCTTTGCAGATGACCTTTGTTAAGATGAGGTCATTCCAGAGCAGGTAGGTCCCTAGTCCACGATGACTGGTGCTCCTATAAAAAGGGGAAATTTAGACACAGACCCGCACAAAGGAGGAACATCGTGAGGAGATGAAGGCAGAGATGAGGGCGGTACTTCTACATTCCCGGGAACGCCAAAGATGGCTGGCAATCCACCCCCAGCAGGGAGAGATGGCTGGAACAGGCCCCGCTGCCTCGGAAGGAGCCCCACTTGGGATCTCAGACTTCTCACCTCCGGAACTGGGAGGGGTGCATTTCTGCTATTTAAGCTGCCCAGTTTGTGGCCCTTTGTGACAGCAGCACTGGCAAATGAATCCAAGGCCTCTCTAAGGAAGGCCTGGGCAAGAAGAAGGCCCAGGAGAGACCTGGGGAAGAATGTTCTGAACTAAGAAGAAGGCAAGTGCAGGGGTCCCGAGCAGAGGAGGCCAGCGTGGGTGCAGGGGACGGGGGACAAAGAGGTGGGGGCACGATTGGAGTCAGTGTCCTCAGAGTGGGGGAAGCTGGCAAAAGGCCATGAGTGAGGGAGTTAGATGCCTCAGTCCCTTTGGAGAGACCGCTGTGGAAGTTAACACAGGTGAGGTGTCAGCACCTTGCCTGGTACAGGCTGTAAGCGCTTCATACATGGCAGTTGCCATTTTTATGGCCTCATGGAACAAGGGACTTAGGTAAGATTTTCAGAAACCATGATGCTTCGAAGACAGCAGCGGGCCAGGGGTCAGGAGCCTGGCACTGACTTGCTGTGGGACCTCGAGCCATCATTTCCCTTGTCTGGAAGCTGGGGGCCTGGGCTTTAATGAGGGCCATAGACCCCCCTAAGGCCTCCTGGTCTGGCTCCAAGAGGTGGTGGTAAGAGAATAAGTGCCCATCCCCAAGTGGGATTCCGACTTCATGTCCCCAGACTCCTCCCTTCCACACCCTGGCTTCCGGCCTGGGATGTTTATTTTTGCTGACAATAAAAAACATATTTCAATGTTTGCTTTATCTCCATGTTCCCCCTAGAATGGCAACTGGCAGCCCCGGCCACAAGTGGCAAAGAATTCTCCAAGTCAAAAAAATTTTCTATGCATCCTTTTTAACAATAAGGAGGGAAACTCTGACTCAAACTCCTACAAAGCCTGCATAGATTATTATTTAAGCCCTGAAGCTGTACTCTTTCTATATTCATTGCTTTCCAATCCGAAGAGAGCATTCCTTGAGGCAGTTTTCCAAACTGGTATTTGATATAATAGTAACAAAGCAGCCGGGTGCAGTGGCTCACGCCTGTCATCCCAGCACTTTAGGAGGCTGGGGCGGGCGGATCACTTGGGGTCAGGAGTTTGCAACCAGCCTGGGCAACACAGTGAAACCCCATCTCTACTAAAAGTGCAAAAATTAGCTGGGCATGGTGGTGCATGCCTGCAATCCCAGCTACTCGGAAGGCTGAGGCAGGAGAATCACTTGAACCCAGGAGGCGGAGGTTGCAGTGAGCCGAGATTACGCCACTGCACTCCAGGCTGGGCGACAGAGCGAGACTCCATCTCAAATAATAATAATAATAATAATAAAGCATTAACAACCTTTTAAACATCACATGAAAAGGGGAAGTTCAGTACTCAAAATCATTTGCAAAGACTCGGTTGCGTCAAGCTAAGCAGCAGCAGAAGCTTTCCTGCAGGACTTCTCAGATACTTTAATATGTTCACTTGCACAGAGATTTGCAGAGAGGAAGAAGCTGACACTGAAACCCTTGCATACTCACTTGGGAGAATTCCAGAGAATGCTGCCAGGTCACAGAAATTTACTGACCCACATCTGACCTGCCCCACCCTCAATGGGAGGAAGTCCCCCAGGGACCACATACACACCATGCTGGGCGGGGCAGCTTGATGCCCTTGAATATCTTCCGATTAGCCTCATCTAGAAGGCACATGTCCACCCAGCTCTGGCTGTGACCCTGGTGAGTTGCTGGGACTCACGAAGGGGCCATCGCACTCTGCAGACTGCAGCGTACTCCACAGCTCTGAGCAGCTGCTCAGGGAATCGGGTGACAAAGGCCAGCACGGATCGGATCGTGCACCCTGCAAAGCCAGCCCTTTTCTCTAGGGGGTGAGCCCTTTAGCAAAGGAGCTGGTGGGCTTCATCTCCCTGGGCAGCAGTTGTGAGCTGCTGAGAAGGCATGGACACAGAGACACCTAGAGAGACTCAGGGTGAAAGCAGATCTGTGCCAATGCCCTGCCAGGGCTTGGGAAAGGTATAAGCATCGGTTTTCCCAGGGTCTACAAATGAAATCAGCACACTCAAATTTGTTGGGTCCCAGTTTTTGCTCAGAGGCCTGTGATTAAGTGTCATTTGTTATTCCTGCAATCCTACAGGTGAGAGTAGGACCGAAGGTCATCTCAGCCAGGCCTAGGGACAGGGTCAAGGGAGGTTTCCTGGGGTGGGTGATGTTAAGATAAACCAACTGTGCATTGGCACAGCAGTGCCTCAGGGACTCTGAGGCAGCAGCCATGTGACCTGTGAGCCTTGTGAAAAGGAGAATAAGAAAAGCTGGATCTGCTGCAATAACTTCCTAACCAGAGAAGGAAGGAGGCTTCCTCAAAGCCCCACAACAGCCAATGCCCCCCAACATTCCCCACCACCTCCTCTGGGCCAGCCCTGCTGAGCACAGACATCAGAACCAGGGTCTAGAGAGGGACCACTGATGAGTAATCAGTCAACAGTGACCACCCAGGAGTGAGGGCCCCAGGACAGGACTGGTAGAGGAACAGTGGGAGCCTTGGGGCTGGGAGGCTCCTGCTGAGAAAACCAAACAGCACTTCATGGAGGAAGCCAGGCCAGACAGGAGGTAAGAGGTACGTGTCTAAGGAAAGGCAGAGAGGAGAAAGAGGCGCTAGAGAGAGACAGACACACACCCACTGGTCCCCAGGGCCTCAGGAACCAGGGAGGGTTTCTCCTGGAAGAGAACGGAGTGTGTGAATGTGCGTGCCTGTGCATGTGGGTGTGTGGTGGGGCACAGGAGGGCTCTCGGGCAGCACAGGGGTAGCTAGGTGGAGAGGTCTAGAGCTAGGGCAGGAATGATGCAGGGGAGGAGACAGAAAGAGAAGCAGGACTGCACAGCAGCTGTGGGACTGGGGACTGAGGATGGGGCAGGGGGCAAGCACAGGACCTCTTCTGGTGAGGGGCAGGGGTGAGGCACCAGCTGGCAGCCTTTTTCCAAACTCAGGAATGGGGGAGAAAGAGTGGGCTCTGATGCTGGGAGCCCCCAGCTCCCTATCCAAAGTGTAGCCCCAAAAGCCGTCTAATACTTCCCCATGGGTCCCTGGTAAGCCCTGCCCCGACACCTTCCTCCCAGGTGCCCTCCCCCACATCCTGCCCCCAGCACACTGAACTGGGAGGTGGCTTCAGCCACACAGCACCTGCAGCAGCCGGGGGTTCCCATGGCAAACCACCCACCCCCAACACTCCCCCACCCCCTGTCGGAGCAGGAAGATGCTCTGGAAAACCTACCCTGACCAGAGGCAAAGTGACTGGGCTCACAAAATGCAAAAAGGCTCCTGAGTCTCTTGATTCTGACCCAGAAAACTCTTCTGGGGGCCCTACAGGCCTCCTCAGAGGGCGACTCCGGCCCCTCTGCCCAGTCTGTGCCTTCACTCCTGTATTTCTGTGCTTTTCCTCTCCAAGAATAGAATGGGGAGGCGGGCTCCACCACAGCTGGCCCCCACTGGGCTGGGAGATCTGTCTGCTCTGCTCCCCACTAGAGGGCAGGCCAGCCTGAGCTGCCTGGGGGCCCCTGGGACCTCCCACATCCTGCATGAAGGTGGGGACTCAGTGAAAGCCTATGGCTAAGTGGGCACATAATGACCCACCAAGCAAGGGAGAAGCAGACACTGAGATGGAAGCGGCAGCTGTGCCCACTGAGGGAGGGTGAAGAAGCCAGTTTAGCAGCGGAGAAGGCTGGCATGGCCCCAGCACACACGGGCAGTGGGCAGTGGGCAGTGCCAGTGCCCAGGGGCTATGCCCTGTGTGGGCCTGCACCACAGGGCCGAGGATTCAGTGGTTCCCTCCAACCTGAGGTCCTGGCCCTCCCATCACCTATGGGGCCTGGCAGGCCTTCCCTTCTCCAGCCCCACCCCAGGTAGCACTGACGGGCCTGGCCTCTGGGCACCTGCACCTACAAAGCAAGTCCTACAGGGTGAACACACCTCCTTCTTTTGGGTCCTGCCTCTTCTCCGCTAGGTTCTAGGGGCTTCAGGACAACAGCCTGCTGTCCTCTGCCCACCACCCCCTCTGAAACACACAGATGAGCTCACCTGAGCTCTCAGCTCACTAGGATGCTGATCTGTGGGACCTTGGTCACATTACGTTGCAGACATTCATTCAACAAATAGAGACCAGGCACTCGCTGTGGACTTCATGCTGCACCAGGGCAGCAGGGATGGCCTCAAGGGCAGACATGGTTGGCAGTTGGGCCAGTGAGGCAAAATAAAATGGAGGCTCTTCCAGAATGACCCAAAAGAGTGCAGTGAGCACACAAAGGCAGGCACAGGTATTCACGCTGGGCAGTCAAAAGCCGACTCAAAGGAGATGGCAGGTAAGCTGAGCCTTGAAGGACAGTGGAATGCCTCCCTCATCTCCCATGGGTGTGTATATCTGCACATGTACACCAGAGAGCCCCAAATCACCAGTGCAGACTGATGTGCTATGGAAATTCTGCACTGAGAAGCCAAGGGGAATGGGAGGTCAACAAATGGCCAAAGAGGCCATGCTGCCTAGGAAACAGGACGGGAGGGAGGGAGGGAGGGGGCTCAGGCCGCAGAAACCTGTCTGGCTGCTGTGACACTGGTGAGTGGGAGGCAGTGGTCTACCAGGCACTGCATGAGGCCCAGAATGGGAACAACCATGGCTGTCCAGGGCCTGGTGCCCGACAGCACCGTGAACAGCTGCCTCACCCTCCTGGGTACCAGGAGGTGGCAGAGGCAGGTTTCAACCCACCCAGGTCGGTCTGGACCAGAGCCTCCTGCTTCAGTTACTGGGCCTGTCACCTCCCACCAGAAACCAGCTGGGCCCAGGGCCTAGCCAGGAGACCAGAGAGGTCCAAGGCCTGGGCTAAGGGTGGCAGGCCCAGGTGGATGTATGTGGTGCCAAGTGGCTGCCTCTTCCCAGCCTGACTCCGGCACGTGATGACTAATTTGAATTGTTCTAATTCCTGAGGAGCATCCTCAGAGTTTGGAAACAGGTGGGAGGAGCACTCGCCAAGCCCAAGGCCACCCTTTCCAAGAAAGGGCTACGAAAGCAATGGTGGCGTCAGTGAGACCTGCCCCTCCCCAGGAGCCCAAGGTCCCAGGAGCCCAAGGTCGGTAACTTCAAGAGCTGCGGGGAGCAGAGGCCACAACCGGAGGGACACTGTCCCCGTCCTACTGGGAAGGGCCGCTCCTATAGCAACCAGCCCTGCCCCAGGAGGTCCACATGGTGCAGTGGACTGCAATGTCTAAAGGGCATCCGGTTGAGGCCACAAGGTCATGCTCTGTGACAGCGTGAGAAGAACTGCAAACATCTCACTGAGGTTTAAGATAAACCAAAGATGCTGAGAGAACAAATGTGACAGGCTCCTCAGTATTCACGGCTGCTTTCCCGCACGTCAGACACAGCCAACAATGACAAACACGTGACCTCCTCCGAGAGGCTGGTGGGAGCACGTGCCCCATTTGACCCCCACGGCTCTTGCTGTTTGCTGGTGGCAGCCTCTCCACACCCCCTAACCCCCAGCCACTCTCCCCGGCGTTCTGTGGCCCACACCCCTCATGACTCACCAGGCTCAGCACCCCAGGGGCCGGGTGAGGGCTCTCCCCCAGGAACACTGCCCCTATTCTCTGGGCTCTGGGATCGTTACCAACAACCCGCACCGCATTCTCTCCCACTCATCTCAATACCGCAGGGGAGGATGCAGCCCCCAGAACTTGGAAATGCCAAGAAAAATCCCCCCAGAGCAGAGCAGAGAAGGGCTGAGAGATGCTGACAGCTGCCAAAAAGGGACCTACCTGCTGTCAAGGGGTGGAAGCCCCAAACCTCAGTGCTTGTGACTGTCAGAGAGCTGGGAAAGCCACGGAACACACAGAGCCTCCCGGCTCGGCGACAATGCCCTGGCTGTTCCCCCGGCCCCCACCCCCTAACAATGCTCCTTTTTTCTTGGGCACTGACCCTCACTTATCAGGGCTCTGTCCTCAGAAGAGCCTGCAGGCCCAGGCAGCTGGACCAGGGAGGCCCTGGAAGGCTGTTCCCCTGCTCCCTGGGTGGCTCCTGCTCTGAGCCAGGCCAGTCCCAATCCCTGGGGCCTACACAGGAAGCCCCGGAACCACAGCAATTCTCCCTGCCAACCCTCTGACCCCGGGACAATGGCATCTCCATGCCCCTTGCATGGTCAACAGGGCAGTGTTGATAGGAAAAGAGGAGACCAGCATTTCTCAGCCTAGGACGTCAGATCCTGCCTGCATTTCACCATGGGTGTGTGTGGGTGTGTGTCTGCCTTTCTTTCAAACAGATGGTCAAGGTCAAACTCACTGAAAATTCAAAATTTGGTAAGAGTTATTAAAGGTATTTCAAGGAATGTGACGGTTGGGTTTCACTGCTGGAATAAACAGCAGCCACTGGCTGAAGGCGCAGGTAAGCTTCAGGATGTAGCCCCAGGCCCCAGCCACCTAGATGCACCTTACATGCTCACCTGAGCAGCCACCTGCAAGGCTGGCTCCCACTTCACAACGGGAGTCCAAGGCCAGGCCCAGGACTCAAGAACTCCTACTGGCGAGCCCGGGGCTGAGATTCAAACTCAGCTTCCTGACAAGGTGTGGTCCGGATGTTAAAGACAAGGAAGACAGAAGAGTGCCACCTGGGGCTCTAGGAACCCTTAACATGACCCAGCTGCCTCCTGCAGTGGAGATGGTGAGACTCAGGCAGAATAAAGATACCAGCTGTGTCTATAAAGTAATACAGCTTTTCAAAAAAACTGTCTTTTTTCTCTGATCAAATTAATGTCCATTGTAAGAGATGTTTATATCTCCAGTTATTTACTCAGGGATCGAAAAATTTTAACTTAATCTCAGAGATAGCCTGTAACATTTGTATTACATAACGTACTCCTCCAAGTTTTTAATATTTATCTTTGCTAAAACTGAAATTATACTACACAAACATCTGGATCCTACTTTTTAATTAACAAACTATAAGGAATATATTCCTGTGACATGACATATTCTTTTTTTTTTTTTGAGATGGAGCCTTGCTCTGTTGCCCAGGCTAGAGTGCAATGGCACAGTCTCAGCTCACTGCAACCTCTGCCTCCCAGGTTCAGCCTCCCAAGTAGCTGGGACTACAGGTGTGAGCAATCACACCCAGCTAACTTTTGTATTTTTTGTAGAGACGTGGTTTTGCCGTGTCAGCCAGGCTGGTCTCAAACTCCTGACCTCACGTGATCTGCCCACCTCAGCCTCCCAAAGTACTGGGATTATAGGTGTGAGCCACCACGTCCAGCCAACATTGCATATTCTTCTAAAGCATTATCATTAAAAGGTAAATCAAGCATAATTTATTTAATCAATTCCCTACCTTTTAATGTTTGGTTGTTTCTAATTGTACAATTATACATAACACAGGAAAAATGATTAAATTATATCCATATACTCTCTTTTGGAAGGGAAAGAAAAGTGGGATATATGTGGGTTTTTGTTTGTTTGTTTGTTTTTTGAGACAGAGTCTCACTTTGTCGCCCAGGCTGGAGTGCAATGGTGCAATCTCGGCTCACTGCAACCTCCACCTCCTGGGTTCAAGCGATTCTCCTGCCTCAGCCTCCCATGTAGCTGGGATTACAGGCATGTGCCACCACACCCGGCTAATTTTTGTATTTTTAGTAGAGATGGGTTTCACCATGTTGGCCAGGCTGGTCTGGAACTCCTGACCTCAAGTGATCCACCCGTTTCGGCCTCCCAAAGTGCTGGGATTACAGGCGTGAGCCACCGCACCCAGCCAGATATGTGTTTAAAACCGGAAAACCATTCTTCTGAAGACAAAGACATAAGTGCCAAGCAACTATCTAAAAAATGCATCCAGTGGAAAATGGCATTTCCTGGACATGCCAGAAAATAAGATACTCTAATACCGTTCCTAAAACCTGTGACCTATTTCTTGCTCAGTTTTTCTCTGAACTGAGCCCCAAAAGATGTCCCAAGTTGGGAGTTAAGTTCCCTTTGCTACCACCGCCGACCTTGCTGCCATGGCTACAGCGTCCGCCTGCATACGCCCAGCTCTCACGGGGGTGCTGCCAAACTCAAGAGCCCACCACTGACTTCCCCTTTCCTACTAAACGATGCCCAGAGTTCTGGGCACAGGCCTTTTGGGCAGGCTCTGGCCCCAGCATGCTTTGGGCTCCCTCTCCTATTTGCTCCATGCTCACCATACCCAGAAACACCCCCCACCTCCTTGTTCTACAGAGGCTGTTCTCTCTCCTTCTCAGCTACTCAACCTTCTCTCAATCCATGTCAACAAGACGCCTCCTCTTTTTTTGCTAGGCATGGTGACTCACACCTGTAATCTCAGCACTTTGGGAGGCCAAGGCAGGAGAATCACTTGAGCCTAGGAGTTCAAGATCAGCCTGGGCAACACAGCAAGACCCCTTGTCTACAAAAAAAAATTAAAAACAGAAACCTCCTCTTCCACCCTGTGCCTGCTGGAGACTTTGTATCTTTACCAGCCCAAGGTGCTTGGTGTCAGATCCCCAGACTCTGGAATCTTGAATCCGCTGCTCGCAGATCTGACTGGTCACTTAAACCCCACTGTGCTTCTGTGACCACTGAATGGGGGACCAGGACGCACCTACACCTCACAGGGTCGCTGTGATAAGTCGCTGAGGCCGTCTCAGCCCCACACCCTGCAGCAGGCCAGCAAGCTGTCAGGCTGGTATTCAGCCTCAAAAACACTTGAGGAGCTAAACTGGGAGTTCTCCCTGCCAAAGTCTCCCTTGCTGTCAGTTTCAGTACAGGAAGTACAGGGTGGTTGGGAGGGGACAAATGACACCTTTGCTTCTCCAAGGCCACTGAGTGTTCTTACTGGCCCTCTGTCCTCCCCACAGGGCCTCCTCCAGAGGGTGTCCCGCTGTGCAGGGCACCCAGAAACCCTCTGGATGGGGTCAGAGCGCACACGGGTGCTCCTGCCAGCCCCTGCTGGGAGGCACCCCACCTCCAACTCAGGCTGACGGGAAGAACGCCCAGTGCCACTTCTATTAATTCAGCCAATGTTTTGTTCTTTTTGGTTAAACTGCCTTAATCTTTAAAACCGCATATCCACACGTCTGGCAGGCTCTTTATGCTCATGATTTCTCTGGGAGGAGAAGCAAGACAGACTTCATAGCCACTTACAGACCAGAAAACTGAGGACTCAGAGGGTCTGTGTCAGGGTGGACAATGGGGAGCCTGGGCTTCAGCTACATGAAGCAGAGCTTTGCTTCCTCCTATGAAAGCAGGGCCTCGGCCCAATGTCCTTCACTGTGGCCTGGGGTATAAGGACAGAGCAGGGGTAGGGAGGGGAGATAGTGGAGGAGAGGCGGTCTTGGTCCACTTTGCCACTCCCCACCTGCAGAGGCCCTCACCACCAACAGAATGAGGTCAAGGCCCCTGGCCAGAGCACACATGGTCCCCTGCCACACCGCTTGGCCCAACACCCCTGCCCAGGCACCCTGCAGACACTGTATACACCAAATACTTGGAGTTCCCCCAAATGCTAAGCTGGCTCGTGCCTTGAGGCTTCCTGCACGCAGTCCCTCCTCTTCCTCAGGACCTGGTGAGCTCCCAGCCTTCTCTGAAGGGCCCATTCAATGCCCCCCTCTCCCCCCCGCAGGAGGCTGCCCAGCACTCCCTGAGCAGGAAGTAGCTCTGTGCCCCCTCTGGGTCACTGCCATTCTCTTTCTCTGGTGACTGCCTCCCTCTGGGTGGGGCCGTATGCAGCTGTAGGAAACAGCCAAGCTTGGGAGGCAGGAGAACTAGAAGCAAGGTCCTGGCTCCATCACCTGGATGGAAGGCCCTGGGAACTACTTCACCTCACCAAGGCCCCGTCTTCTCCCCTGTAAAAAAGGAAGGATCCTGCCTACATCTCGAGGTGTCGTGCACATTCAACAAGATAGGATGTCTATGCACTGAGCTCAGAGCAGAAGTGTAACTCTACCACTCCCCATCAATACAGAGTGTGGGGGGAGATGGTTGGTCTCGTATATACGACAGCCATGAACCTAATCCCCTGTCAGGAGGGGGCTATTTTGATCAGTGATTAGCCAGGCGCTGTCCTCAACCATTTACTCCTCACAAAGGCCCTATCCCACAGGCACTAGCATCATTTACATTTCAAAGAGGCTATAAGGCAAGGGCCAGGCTTCCACTGCCCGGCCAGGATCTGAACCTCCCTCCAGGCCCTCTGTCCTACAAAGTACCTTTCAAATGCCCCCTCCTCCAAGAAGTCTTCTCTGACTCCTCCCTGCGGCCAGAAGTGGCAACCCTGTCTCTGCACAGTATTGCCTGGGCATCCTTCCCTCCTCTCAGTATGAGTTACTCTGAGGCCCAGAGACCAGCAGGTTCTGGGATGTGAGCACCAGAACCTTCCTGGGGCTGACCTGAGCAGCAAGGGACCTCACTAAAAGGCCACTGTGCAGGTCAGAAAACACAGGAAGCTGGGAGAGCCACGCTCAGAAACCGGGCCTCTGCCAGGGAGGCTGTTCACCCAGAGAAGCACAGTGAAAGTAGGCCCTGTGGCAGGCAGGCAGGCAGGCAAGGCCCCTGCCCAGCCCACACCCGGGCACACAGGGCTCAGCATCCCATCTGGCACCTGCCTCTGCCACTGAGCCACCATGACGAATGCTCCCTGTCCTGCTTCCTGAATCCCAGCACCAGGGGGTGGGTCTGGCTGGCAGGCCCCAGTCCTGTGCTCGCACCCAGCACTACAGGTGACAAGAGTTCCTGGCCTTTCCTGTCTGGCCTCCAAGATACATATGGAAGAGAATCCTCAGATGTAAACTCAGAGGGGGTTCAGATGCTAGGAACTCCCAAAACACAGCAAATCTATCCTGCAGCCCCCTGTTAACCATATGTTCCTGGTAGCAAGGACCCTATCTCACCCAGCCTGTGTCCCCCGCGGTGTCTAATCCTAAGGGCCACCTACTAAATGACAACAGCAGTGACCGCCTACCACACAGCTGCCATGTGCAGGTGTCATGCTGGGTCCTCACAGACTTCCTCTCACCCAGTCCTCACAACACCCACTGCAGGAGGTACAAATCAAGTTATTTTATAAGTTGAGGAAATTAACCTTCTAGAGAACAAATGACTCAAGTGCCCTGAATCTCACAGTAACAAATCCAAGATTCTGACACAGGTACAGCAAACTGGAAACACGTTTTCTCTACTCCGCCACCCTGCTGTTCTAGTAAACGTTCATTCAGTGAATGATAGCCATATGTGAACAGAAAGTGGCTAAGAACAAAAACAGTCCCTCTCTCCCCAGCCAAGCAGCTTCGACCCTAATCCCTGAGTGGGCCTTGATGCTGGGGGTTTTGGAACATGCCTGGCACATGTTTGGGTCACCAAAACCCTCCTAACATGCAGCCATTTGCCAAAAGGATTTGTTTGAGGCTGCGATCTCTCTAGTTTTGAGGGTGCTGATCGGATACCCCTAACAGCGACAGGGCTGGGAACTGGGACAAGGCAGAGCTGGACTTAACACGGCTTTGAAGCAAAGATCCAAAACTCAGGCCAGTGCCCCACCTGCATGTCCTGATGGGCCTGACAGGGCACTGGGGCTTGTGGGGTGGCTGCAGCGCTCAGAGGGAGAAACTGGTGGGCAAAGAAAGGGAGAAGGGCCTCGGACAAGGAGAAGGAAATTAAAGTTTCAATCATGGCTGGCTGCGGTGGCTCACACCTGTAATCCCAGCACTTTGGGAGGCCAAGGTGGGCAGATCACTTGAGGTCAGGAGTTCAAGACCAACCTGAGCAACATGGTGAAACCCCATCTCTACTAAAAACTCAAGAATTACCCAGGCATGGTGGCGTGCACCTGCAATCGCAGCTACTCGGGAGGCTGAGGCAAGAGAATAGCTTGAACCCAGGAGGCGGAGGTTGTAGTGAGCCAAGATCGCACCACTGCACCCCAGCCTGGTGACAGAGCGAGACTGTCTCAAAAAAAAAAGTTTCAATCTTAACTCTACAAATTGACTTGAAGTCCAAACTCTTTCTCATCCAGCTACTGCCAGCTCCCCACCGAGGCCCACACTTTGGGGAAAACCCTTAGAAACTTCTTGTCATTGGTTAAAAAAATATTGACCCAGGATTGGCCACGTGGGCCACAGGTGGTTTCACAGCACACACAGAACCAGAAGCTGGGGCTCAGAGAAGCAAAATAACTTGCCCAAGATCACACAGCTAAGGAGATCGGATTGAAATCCACCCCAGTTTATGTGCACAGACAGAAGGGGAGAAAAGAGATGTGGGGCAGGTGGATTTCTGAGGGCAGGAAATACCAGTGGGAAAGCCGAAGACAGCACAGTAGAGACTGCAAAAGCCCAGTGCTCTGTGGAGTCACTGCAGAAAGCACCGAACACATCCAAGGCTCAACCCATCAGGCACTCTTTCCTTTGGGGCTACTTCCAACAGGAAATTCCAAGTGTCCCTGTCAAGCAGGGGAAATGCCATCCTGGGTCCAAGGCAGCAGGGCAGCCTCCCTGCCCCGCCCAGCCCCACCTACATGAAGAACAAAGTGCACCAGGCAGGAATGTGCACTCAGGCCGTAGCCAGCCTCAGCCTGGCTCATTCTTATCTGTGGCTTGATTAAAACAAGCTTGGATTACACCACAATCTTTAAGCCCCAAGGCTGGGGGTGGTGTCACCAGGAATCTGTTCCAAGCGCACGTCATGCCCAGGCCACCGTTCTCCTTCCCCTCATTGGTGGCAGGCTGGCATCCTGCAGGAGGCCCTTCCCAGACCACAGCCCCACCCTTCCTCTCCTGCCGCCCACCTGAAGGCCCCAATACACATCTTCCTACAGTTCTGGCTTCAACTCTGTTCCTGAGACCTTTACTGCCCCAAGTCCACTACCCTGAGTTCTGGGCAAATGAAAAATCTTTTCCCCTTCACCAGATTTCTCAAATCCAACCATTCTGGAACCCGGCTTGTGGATGGCTAGGCTCTAGCCTCCCTCCTCTTCTGTCCCATCACCCTGGGAAGACAGAGCCAGAGGGTACTGAGGAATTCAGGTGGGAGGGGTTGGGGGGGAGGTGAGGAGGGGGTCCTAGGAGCAAATGGAGGGTCACAAACTGAAGCGCCCATGGGGCAAATGTAAACCATGAGGCTGGTGGTGTGGGACAACAGAGAATGGTGGGGCCTAAGGGGCAACCAGCTTAAACACTGGCAACAAATTCAAAGGAAAGAATGTAAAATTCCTGTGTGGGCCAAACAGATTGCATGCAGGCCCAGGTATATCTGAGTCACCCACGTGTAATCTGGTCCAACCCCCTCCGCAGAGATAGGAAAGCTGAAATCCAGACACAAGGAAGGGACCATGAATAAGTTTGTGCTGGCGATTACTGAGAAAGTCTAGCATAAAAATTAAACCGAAGCCTAGGCCGAACACTGGCATCCCTCTGCTTGGCTGTGAAGCTGGTGAGGATGCTGCACTCGGCCTGGCAGCAGATGGAAACTCTGGAACTCGAGGGCCACGGATGAGCCACAGGGCCCCCCAGGTAAAGGACTGACAGCCAGCCATGCAAGCCCCTGGGACTGACCCAGATGCAGAACTGACCAATGTGGCGACAACCATCACCCAACCCTGTGGGGCTGTAGATCTCAGAGGAGGTGGGACAGTGGCCCAGCGGACAGCAACACGGCAGAGAGGGAAGAAGGGTGTGGCCTCTGTCTATGGCCTGGCCAGAAGGGCCACCGCAAGCACCAAGGCTAGCAAAGGAGGAAGAGGAAGAAGCAAGAAAAACCCGACACCGTGACGGACTAGCGTGGGCCGCAAGTCAGGGTTGTGGTTCTTTAGGATATATCTTAACAGGGTAAGGGCCTTAAATGCCCTTTCCCCACCAACCTGACAGGGTTTAGCACCAGGACTCCTGGCCAGGGCAGGCCCCAGGGCTCTAGGATCTGTCAGATCAGGAAGAAAGGGGCATTTAAGGTCTCCCTCCTGTAAGATCTACCTTAAAGAACCAGATCCCTGACTTTGCAGCCCAGTGCCATGCTGCTTTTGAGCCTGAAATGGAAGTCTGTGCCTTAGTTCCAAGTCACCAGGCACTGGTTCCTTGCCCTTGCAGGCACAGGGCATCAAGATCAAACCAAACCTCCAAGCCTCACCTCTCACAAATAAGCAGAGGCCAGTTACCCCTCTGGGCAAGACCTCAGGCCCCTGTCCCTGCCAGTCAGCAGCTCTGCCTCCCGCAGCGCTTGAGGGCTGGTCCATGCAGCCGGCCAGGAAACCACAGAGGCCAGGTCAGAGTGGCCTTTTAATTCAACTCCCCTGGTGACCCTGAAGAGCACTGCCGCAGACTGAGAGGCTGGAAGTAGGCTATGCTGCCCCTGCCCCATAACAAAGACTCTACAGCAAATCACCAGGATGGGGGAAGATTAGCGCAAAGTGGGTGGAGAGTCTCCCTGAAACGTACTGACAGCACTTAAAAACCAATTAGATGGCACGTGCCTGTAGTCCCAGCTACTCAGGAGGAGGAGGTGAGAGGAGGATCACTGGAGCCCAGGAGTTCAAGGCTGAAGTGCGCTATGATTGCATCTGTGAAATAGCCACTGTACTCCAGCCTGGGCAACACAGCGAAACCCTATCTAAGAAAATCCAATTAGAGACCTTGGCTTACATGCAATCAGAGAACTAATTAACAAGGACCAGTAATTAAAATTAAGCTATACTCTCTAATTCAGACTTTTTTTTTTATTCTTTCAGAACTAATTTCAGGATCCAGTTTCTAGCCTGGACACAACCCAATCCACCCTGGGCCAGAACTGCCAGAATACCTTCCCTGAAACTGTCCTCTGCAACTACCTAAAAACCTTCAATCGCTCCCCAGTGCCCCCAAATGAGGACCCACGTTGCCTCCGACTTCCTTTCCACACTCACAGCTCACTGCCTCCCAAGCGGTCACTGCTCTGGCGGGACGGGTCCACCAGTGGTCTGTGAGCCGGGCCTCAAGCCCTCACCAGGCACACACAGAGTCCTTTTTGACCCCATCCCCACCCCACGCTCTTTTCTTCTGCAAACCTCCCAGTGTGGTCTGGGGCAGTCAAGCCGCACCCCTCCCTCCTGACTCTCAGGGCATCTTGACCTCATCGCCCAGGCTGACCACAAGTTCCAAACAGGACTTTCTTGTGGCCATTGCTCAGGTCCCAGGCATGCACAAACCCACTCACAGACACTTGGCTGAGAGAAATCTCAACCATTAGTGCTACTCCCATTTTCTATTCTGAGGAGGTAGAAACTGAGGCTCAGAGAAACAGCGCTAGCCCGGGGCCCCACGGTGGGGACAGCAGGGTCTGCACAGGGTTGGCCTGGCTCAAGCTTCCTTTCCCACATGGCCCCATGTGCTCCAGATAAAGGCAACTATGAACCATGTTCCTGTCATAAAGGAGATAAGACATACACACAGGATATGGTGATTGGGCAGGACGCAATTTAGTGCTCAGACTTTCCTAAGTGCTCTGGGCTTCAAGACCTTCAGAAAAAGGCTAGGTAAGCAGGGATGGCCCAGCAGCCGGGGGCGGGGGGGGGCGGCGGGGGGAACACAAGCAAACAGAAACATCTCCAAATGAGTGGTCAACTGGAAAGCACAGGGCAGAAACAGGAGACTGGTGTTTTTCCATTTCTTTCGGACTGCACACTCCCACAGCCTTCTCCCACAGCAGATGAAAAACTAGTGAATGAATAAAAGCAGCAAACGATGGTTCATTACCATCAAAGCTCAGTCACTAGCTAGCCCACCCAGGCTGCGAACCCCCATCAGAAGCTCTGCTCGGTGGAACTCCCACAAGGCCGCACATGCAGCCCAGCACCTAGGCTATCTGAGGCCCATGCTCCAGCCCAGAGCAGGCGGCTGGTAGGGAAATCACAAGGGCCTCCCTGCTTTGGGTCTCCCTTCCCTCTCCATTCACCTCCAACTAAACTAAGCGCCCCCTCCTGCAGAGTTAAAGAATGGAAGTCAGGAAAGAGGGGACCGAACTGGGAGAGAAGAATCAGACCAATGGACCACTCCGGACTGGAAAGCTGGGGCCCTCAGGCCAAGCCGGGCTGCTGGTGAACCATTACCACCACTGCCTTTGCCAAGTTTCCATCTGTGGACTGCCCTCAACTTAGTTCCCTTGAAGAACCTTCCTCCCCGACGTTTAAGCCACGTAACTCCAGGGGGTTGACCCACACTCACTTTGGGGTGGGCAAGTGATACAGTCCTGGCCAGCTAGAGTATCATGTCATCCAGCCCAAGGACAGGTGTCATGGGTTGAACTTTGTCCCCCAACAAGATAAGCTGAAGTCCTAACCTCTGGTACCTATGAACATGATCTTACTTGAAAACAGGGTCTTTGCAGATATAATCAAATTAAGATGAGGTCATCAGGGTTGGCCCTGATTCAATATGACTAGTGTCCTTATAGGAAAAGGAGAAAGCCAGGTGAAGACACAGACACCCAGGCAGGACGGCCAAGTGGGGATGGAGGCAGAGACTACAGCGATGCTCCCACAAGCCAAGGCGTGCCTGGGACTATGAGAAGCTGGCAGAGGCAAGGAAGGCTCCTCCCTTCGGGGCTTCAGACGGAGCAGTGCCCTGCTGACATCCTGAGTCCAACTCCTAGCCTCCAGAACTGAGAGTGAATTTCTGTTCTCCTAAGCCACGCAGTTTGCAGTGACCTGTTATGGCATTCCTAGCAGGCAAATATGATATGTATGTGACCCAAGCCAGGCCAACCAGAGCCAGCCAGCACCAGCCAGCCCGACATCTGCTTCCTGCAGGGCTGTTAAGCCAAGGGGATGAAGCTGCAGGCAACCAGTTTCACATGACTTGGCACAAGCCCACCCAAAATGACTTTCACAAGGAGCATGAAAAGTGAAGAAATATTTCTGATGACAATACATGTGAGTTCTTAATGGCCTGAAACCTGCCAGACCTATCTCTGGACCTTCTGAGACATTCAGGCCAATAAATTCTATTTATTGACATTTCCTTAAGATTTTTCTTTCATATTGACAGCTGCTACTTACAACCTGAAGAGGCTTTACATTTTCTCATAACATGGTGAACATGGTATGATTTGTTTTCTGACATAACATGTCCAAATGAACAGGGTGCCCAACGGTCATCCTTTTGGGCACCTACATTTCTGACATCGATGGTAGTAACACTCAAAGCACTGGCATCCTTCTCTTTGGCAAGCGCCTTCGGCCTTCAAAGCTTTGTTTCAATGATGGCCAGTCTTTACGTCAAGGGTGCATTTGGTTTTCGTATAACAAAAAACAATTCCAACAAGCTCAGAATCATGAGTGAAGATGTGTCTGGTTTTAAGTGGTGACTAAAAATGGCTTTAATCATAAGGACGGAACGTTAGGAGGGAGTGGAGTCTCCAGGGTGTTTCAACAGGTTGACATCAGCAAGAACCCATACTCCTTTCAAGTTTCTATTCTGCCATGCTCGCCATGGTAGACCTTTGTCCACGTGCCTGTCGCCTCACGCTCACAAGACAGCTGCCAAAGCTCCTGATACTCCCACAAAATATCTGGAAGCGGGGAAGAAGGGGCCAGGGCGAAATAGCCAACCCTTTGAAAGAGAAGAAACACTCTTTCCCAGCTGGGCGCGGTGGCTCACGCCTGTAATCCCAGCACTTTGGGAGGCCAAGGTGGGTGGATTGCTTAAGCTCAGGAGTTCGAGACCAGCCTGGCCAACACCATGAAACCCCATCTCTACTAAAAATACAAAAGTTACCCAGATATGGTGGCACACACCTGTAATCCCAGCTACTCAGGAGACTGAGGCACAAGAACTGCTTGAACCCAGGAGCCAGAGGTTGCAGTGAGCCGAGGTCACACCACTGCACTCCAGCCTGGACGACAGGGCAAGACTCTGTCTCAAAAAAAAGAAACACTCTCTCCAGTCATGTCTTACTGGTTAGAAGTGCACATAACATGGGCACCCCCACTGCAAGGGAGGCTGGGAATGAAGCATCTCATAACAGGCTCAGGCCAATCATCACTGCCACCCAGAGGAAAAGGGACAGTGTAGACAATGAGAAGTGAAGATCTGCTGAGAAGGAAACTTTGCAGATATTAATGATACTAAAGAATAACAGATTCCATTTGCCCTTTAAAAGCCCTACAAAACCCCTTCTGTGGCTTCTAGGTAGACCTGGGGGGAAAGTCAGCAATACACAAGAATCCTGTGTGGAAGGCCTCCTGCATGCAGGGCTCTGTGCTAAGTACCAAGGTGAGTGCCTGCGAGGAGCCCACAGGTAAACACAGTCGGCTCAGAGGAGGTGAGGGGACAGAGGGGAAGCCAGGAATGCTTCTGCCAGCAAGTGACATCTGGCTGGAGTAGGTCGGACCAGCAAGTGCAGAGGCAGGGAGAGAGTGCGCAGGTGTTGCTGGTGTCTGAGTTGGGAATGGCAGGGGGTGAGGCTGCCTGGCTGGCAGGACCAAACTGGGAAGGGCCTCATAAACCATTCTCCAGGGCTTAGACTTTAACCTAAAGACAATGAAAGGCCAGGAAAGGTTAGATCAGTGGAGTGACTCAGATATTCTCGATGAAAGATCATTCTGCCAGGTGGGGGCTGGACTGAGGGTGGGAGAGCCCAGAGCTGGGGATGCCAGCCAGAGGCTTGGCAATAATGGGTAAGGGGGACTGGGAGACTGACCGGGGTCACAGAACAGAAGGACGGGGGTGGGGGGTGGGTAAGGAAATATCCAGAGGGAAAAATCAACAGAACCTGGAAACAGAAAAGATGTGGATGTGGAGGGACAGAGGCACCGGGCTGGCAGCTGGGGTGGGAGATGGGGGGAGACCTTCATGACCATCTAAGAAAACACAGCACAAGCAGATTTGGAAGGGACAGAGGGAGTCAAGTTACAAACACGGTCCCTCCAGGCAGAGGCACTTGGCAAAGGTTCTAGGCCTGCCATGGGGGTGGGCGCCGACAATCCCTGCTGCTGGGAAGTGCAACTCCTGCTCAGCTTCCCTTTCGAGGAATGGCCTTCCCGGGGCAAAACAAAGGCCAGGGGGCAGCAGGCCGTAGGAAATACTCTCACTGCCTTAAATAGAAGCAAACCATCTGGCCAGTTGGAGAAAGTTTACACAAGGAGGACTGGGTTGCACTCGGTGCATTTTAAAGAAAGCCCGGCGGACACACGGGTTCTCCTGCTGGTGCTGCCAGCCTGGAAAATGACAGCTGAGACTCAAGCAGGCAGGATCGGCTGCCTCATCTCCAATTCCCGTGTGTGGGGTGAGAGGAGGTACTTCCACTCCCCTACCTGGCTGCAAGCCCCCGAATATGTCCTGTCTAGGGAGGCCCTGCTGCCACACAGCAAAAAATAAGTGATTCACTCTTGAGTTCCACGTGCTCCAAATGGTTCTCCAAGAGCCCCCAAGTGTCAACTTCTGTCCTATCCAAGGCAAGAGAGAGGAGCAAGGGCTGATGGCGGGCACCCAGGGATCGCAGGTGGCCGAATACTGCAGCTGGCTTTTGAAGGCATCGATGCACACTTTGAGGGCCTGCCTTGGCTCCTGCACCCCACCTCAGTTCGTGTTTCCTCCCTTTATTCTCTCCACCCAGAAAGGTGACAAATCCAAGCCCTGGATGTGAGGGGGGTCCACAAGAGTAATTCTGGAGAGATGGGGTCAGGTGAGGAATGGTTAGAGACCCAGGGAGCCAAGTCACGGGACCTCAGTGACCCCATGGCTGACCTACCGAGACCTCCAGTCGCCAGCATCGGGTAGGCCCACACGTGTGGGGGAGGAAGTGAGTGTCACTGGCCCATCAGCAAGCAGAGCTGGCAGAGGTACCTGTGCAGGCGAGTCCAATGCCCAGCTCTTTAATAAACACGCCTTGCGGTGCTGGAAGAGACTCAAAGTCCATCCAAGACAGATTCTGTCTTCCCACTAAACTGGAAGCTCCTTAAGGACCGGGATGTGGCAGTTTTGCTCTCAGCTATGTGCCCAGTGCTCAGCACAGGGCCCGGCCTGCCTGGGCACTCAGAAGGACACCTGACGGACAAGGAACCAATCAAACGGTGATGGCCACACTCCACCCCCAGGACCTGACAGCCAACAGTCATCACGCACCTGGCAGGCCCACAGCTCTCTGCACATACACATGCCTCAATTTCCCAGGCATGGGGGAGCTGAATATCCCAGGATTCTGCCCCAGACACCATGGTTTTCAAACTCTCTCTGACCTCAAATGTCTTTCCTGAAATGAAATCTAACATGCAGACCCCAGATCAAACACAGATCAAGAGAGAGTGGCTGGGAAAGGTGGCTCACACCTGTAATCCCTGCACTTTGGAAGGCCAAGGCGGGCGGATCGCTTGAACTCAGGAGTTTGAGACCAGCCTGGGCAACATAGTGAAACCCTGTCTCTCCTAAAAATACAAAAACCAGGCAGGCTTGGTGGCGCATGCCTGTAATCCCAGCTATTCAGGTGGCTGAGGCAGGGGAATCGCTTGAGCCTGGGAGGCGGAGATTGCAGTGAGTCCAGATCATGCCACTGCACTCCAGCCTGGGTGATGGATGAAACTCTGTCTCAAAAGAAAAAAAAAAAAAAGAAAGAGCTGCTCAGGTGAAGGGAGTGGTGAGCAACTCATCCCCCTTGAAAAGCAGGTACCCCTTCAAGGAACCCCTAGGGGTGCCTCATAGCCAAGCGTGAAAGCCAATTCAATGAGACCGGAAACCACCCTGTGCCTCCAAATGTCTCAGCATGGGGAATGGAAGACAGCAGATTGGGCGGAAGCCCTTCCATTGTAACGCTAACTCACTCCCTAATCCCTGCCACTGTTATGGCTATGGGGTACTCACCTCTGCAGTTTTTGGCTAAGAAATGCCAAGAATAAGTACCTATTTCAAGAACAACTCTGTTGTGAGAAATTCCAGCACATTCCACTCTGAGGGCACCACCATCTTCACCCTTTTGTAGCTGGAGCTTGCACCAGGGGAGCGCCTTCATCTCTGCCTGGAGGGGCCACGTGGTGGAAGGGGAATAAGACAGCAGAAAGCACAGAGATTTGGGTGGCAGAGTCCCCAGGCCAAATCCCAGCTCTGCCATTTAAAAGATCTGTGACCATGGGCAAGTTATTTAACCTTTCTCAACTTCAATTTCCATATCCAAAAGGTAGGATAATTAATTGTCCCTGCAGCTTGTAGGACTGTCTTTGGGTTTATATGAGGGATTTTTTTCAAGTGCTTTATAAACCACTCCCAAATGTTAGCTCTATTTACACTGATTTTATTGCTGGGCTCCTAGGAGGCCAAAGGCAACAGACTTAGTTTCCACTAAAGGTCTTTTATTACAACAGACGCCAGGCATCTAGGGCGGCCTGTTGTCTGAAGAACAGCCTGATTCTCCCATAATCCCAAGCTCTCCAAGGTCTAAGTCTCGATACCAGGCCCTGGCTGACTCTCTGACCCAGGGAGGCCTGGTCTGGGTTGTTCTTACCCTGGGGGCCTTATCTGTCCTTCTGTGAGGGCCAAAGGAACCCCCAGTGGGGTAGGGGGACGGGAGATCCTTCAGTGGGGCCAGAGACGGCCTGAGAGTGACTCAGTGGGCTGGAAGTTCGCCCCCAAGCCTCACCGGCCTTCTGGCTCACTCTATATTCAATATAATACCTGCCCGCACCACCACCCTCCCTCCAAACCCAGGTCCCCAAGGGGCTGGTGGTACAGGAAACAGCCCTACATCTCCCATCCCAGGGTTCAGTCCCTCACTCAGAACTGGGAAAGGGGCCGGGCACAATCTCCCAGATGCCCCAAAGACTTGGAAAGCGCTCTGGTGGCTTTCTGAGCAGGCACATCTGGCCCAACCACACCTTTCGTCACCACTGTTTAAAACCAGTGGTTCTCCACATGGACACAGGAAGGGGAACATCACACACCAGGACCTATTGTGGGGTGGGGGGAGGGGGGAAGGGGGAGGGATAGCATTAGGAGATATACCTAATGTTAAATGACGAGTTAATGGGTGCAGCACACCAACATGGCACATGTATACATATGTAACAAACCTGCATGTTGTGCACATGTACCCTAAAACTTAAAGTATAATAAAAAATAAAAATAAAATAAAAAATAATAATAAAAAAAAACCAGTGGTTCTCAGACAGAGGGGCTCACAAGCAGGGTCAACATCACCTGGATACCTGTTACAGATGTGGATTCTCAGCCCCCTCAGACCTACTGGTTCAGAGACCCTGGGAATGGGGCCAGCCACCTGTTTGAAGATGTGCTCCCTGGGGGTTCCAGTGCACACTCCAGTTTGAGAACCATTACTTCAATCCAGTGGTTCCCCACCCGCCCCTCTCCCGGCTGCCTGTTGTCCTGGGGGCCTCATGACAGCCAGTGCTCAAGAGCTGCCCCAGAGATCTGGATATAATTGATGCCACCCCATCAGCACTTCTTTTTAGAAGTGCTTTAAAAAGAACAGGCGGTGCAGAGGACTTTCACGGTAGTGAAGCTGCTCTGTATGGTATGGTAATGGTAGATGCAGGTCACTATGCATGTGTCCAAACCCACAGAATGTGCAACACCAAGAGTGAGCCCTATGCACACTGGGGACTTCAGGTGATCCTGATGCACCCAGGGAGGTTCACTGATTGTAGCAAATGTTCCAGGCTAGCGTGGGATGTTGACAGTAAGGGGGGCTGCATGTGTGTCAGGGTAGGGCAGATACGGGAAGTCTCTGCACCTTCCTCTCAATTTTGCTGTGAACCCAAAACTGCTCTAAAATAGAGTCTATTAAAAATCAATCTCCCAGGTGACTGTGATTCCAGTAGTCTCTGGAGCCTGGGCTGATGTTTGGGAGGTAGACGGGACAGCCAGGCTTCAGAAACAGCAGGTAAAACTACCCAGTTGTGGAGTCATCTGGGAAGATTCTAGATGGAGGGAAGTCAGACTGAAGTAGGGAGAGATGGGGTCGGGGAAGGAAGCGAAGAGCAAAGGCTTAGAAGCACTTCCTGGCAGCCCACCCAGCACTTCATGCATCCAACCCTGACTGAACATCTTCTTTCCCCACATCCCCTCCACCCTGTCAGTGGGTCAAGTGCTAGCCTGGGATTCACCCCACTTAGAGGTAGAGTCCCCACTTCTAGCAAGTGAACCGAGCCAGTCACCCACGTGTAGCTGCTTTGACGTCATCTGTAAACAGGGTACTGTGGGGCTGGACTAAGACACAGCCCAGTGCCTGGCACAGGGCAAACAAGTAATAAACGCAGGTTTTAATAAACTGATTGACAGAAACTGGAGCCCATGTCTGCTGCATGGAAAACAGCATCCAGACAACGGGTGGTCTTATCTCCTGCCAGTACCACCTCTCTGGCTTGGAGGTTAGACTTAAAGCACAGGAGGGAACCCTGTTTCTCCATGCCCAGAAACAGACCCTATATTCCCAAAGACAAGCTAAAACCATTGGGAAAAAAACAAAAAACCATTCAATCTGTAAATGCTCACTGTCTATTCTAACTAGACACTGGGCCAGGGGGTACAGAACATGTACTCCCTTGATTACAGAGAGGCTCCAGTCCAGTGAAGAGCAAGAAAGATGCCGCTGGGGCTACTGGCTTCTCACCAGGTGGTTCATCCTCGGAGCCTGCATCACTCCTGGCAAGGAGAGCTTCAGGAGGGGCGGTGGCCATGTCCTGATATGTACGGTGGCTTGAGAACCAATGTTCTAGAGAATCTAAGGGCATATATTACAGAAAACAGCACTCTCTCTGCCTCTCATGGCTTTTTTCCCCTTCTGTTTCTTTCTTTTATAAGCCTTTCACTGAAGTATAACATAAGAAAGGAAGGACATGCCATAAGTGAACAGCTTGAATATTTCACAAACTGGCACCCAAGAGGAAGACTGAGGAGAGGACAGTTGCAAGACACCAGCAGGCTCCTCACATTCCCACCCGGCACCTTGTCCCCAAAGGTGACCGCCAGCCTGCCTCCTGTCCCCAGAGAGTAGCTTGGCCTGGTCAAGATCTTCATGTAAATGGAATCAGACACTGAATACGCCTCTGCACCTGGCATCTTTGGCCACGTTTCATGCCTATGGGACTCATCCATGGTTCATTCTCACTGCTGTATTCGATACAACTCCATGGCCAGATGATAACACAGGTCATGTACGTACCCATTCTACAGCCAATGGGCATGCGTGCTGTCTCCTCTTTGAGGCCATCAGGAATGCTGCTGCTGGGAACATTCATTCTACACGTGTCTTTTGGTGGACACAGCCCTCCTTTCTCTTGGGTACATGCCATGGAGGATTTGCAGGGCCAAAGGGTCAGCATCTCCTCAGCTTTAACCAAGCCATGTTCCCAAATCCCACACCAGCCCTCAGCCCCTTACTCTCCTTCATTTTTCTCCCAGTCCCCCTCCCCCACCTCACTCGCCACCCACACTTCTTTCTGTTTTCAGTCTCTCAACCTAGACACAAGTGCTCCACGAAGGCAGAGGGATTTGGGGTTTGTTTACTGGGACTCTCCCGAGCCTCGGTGCTGCCTGGCCCAGAACAGATACTCAAGGGACATACAAATGCCACCTGAACTTCTGCACTCACCTGCGCATGAGCTCGGGACTCCTCTCAGCTGTCCCCTCCCATGCCTCCCTCCCACAGCGCCTTTCCAAAGTCCAAGGACCCATCCTTATCCGGTCCTAGCCCCAACTGCCAGTCAGGCCTCAGGTAGAAACTGAAGGTGCCCAGCGGTCCCTACCACTCCCCGGGCAGAGAGTACAGGCTCTTGGAAGAAGTCCAGACTCAAGTCTCAGCCTTGTGAAGCCAGCTGACTGGAGTGGCAATGACTCCACAGACCTTCCTGAGCGCTGGCTGGGGTCTGAGCACCCAGCAGACGGGAGGAGCAGCCGGGGCACCCAGTGAGGTCACGGCTAGGGAGGTGAATCAGGCAGCCTGATGAGGCTGGGGCAGGTGAGGTGTTTAGGCCACAGGAGAGCTCCAGTGAAACTGAACATCACCCGGTCTGGGGAAAGGAGGGAGGGCTTCACAGAGGAGGTGTCTCAAGAGTTGCCTCTTCCAAGATGTCCAGAGTTCCCCAGATAGAGAAGGCTGGGGTGACTGTGTGAGTAGAGACTGGTGTGTGCAAAGCAGGAGAGTGGCCTGGGTGCAGCAGGGTTGAGAGGCAAAGCCCACTCCTGGCCAAGCAGAGGGAACTGTCGGGGAAGGAGTCAGAAAGATCACAGGGAGGACGGTGGCAAACACCAAGAACCGCCAGGCCAAGGCCTCTGGGGTCACCCAAGGGCAGTGTGGCATGTGAGGGCTTCTGCAGCTTACCCATGCTGAGAAGGTGCCTGAAAGCTTGGTGAACTGCAGACTGACTCAGCAGGTCTGGGGGCAAGGGAGTCTGCATTTTTCATGGGCGCCCCATCAGTGCAGCTGCCACTGGTTCCCAGACCACACTGGGAGCAGCAAGGGCTTAGGGAAGCAGAATTAGGAGACCTCAGCAGTGCACCCCCAAGGGAAGAGGGACCAAGAGGGGTGCAGTGATGTTGAAGAGGAACCAGGGTCTTAAGCAGCTCAGTCCACCCACGGCTGGGTCTCAGTGCAGCAGCCACAGCTCTACTTCACACCACCAGCCCATTCCAGAACCTTCTATACCACCTCAGAGCAGTGCCCCTCCTCCAGAGCCTGGTGTTGCCATGGCAACAGTCCACAAACAGGGGGAGCCCAGGCTTCAGTGCCATAAACAACTCTGACAGATTCAACAAATAAAGATGTACTATAGCAATTTGTGGGGAATTTATGAGAAATTAAAAATTCAACTTGGACAATAAACAACCCATTTCAGAATTTGCCCCACTTAAAGTTAAATAAACCCCATGCAAGCATTTTTCAAGCATGATGTTTCAAGGCTAAAAACAGGCCCTGCTGGGAATGCTTCCTGAGCCTCCAAAACTGGGTGCTGCTGGGAGAGCACATCACATAACTGCTCACATCACAGGGCACTTTTACAGCTTAGAAAGCGCCTGGCTCACCCTCTGGGTGCTCCCAAATGCCACCCGGGAGACCATAGGCCGAGGATGAGTAATGCTGTCAGGATTATGAGCCTCACAGGCGACTTGCCCAGAGCACAGTGACTCCCCAGGGTCACAAGGCTGGTCAAGGTCAGAGGCAGCGTGCAAACCCATCACCCAGACTCCAAATCCACCACGCATACACAGGCAGCCATGTGTGCATTTGCTATACACAGAAACACTGCACCCAGGCGAGGTCCAACGTGGAGAGCTAGCTGTGTTCTCTCGAAATCTGTCCTGCTGAAACAGCACCCAAAGAGCCTGCTTCAAGCAGATCGACAAATTCTCCCACATGCACACTCACTCACACATTCACTCACTCACACACACTTGCTCACTCCTACTCACTTGCTGCCCAGGGGGCGAGAGGCCTCAGATCCCTGGATTCTGCAGTATGAACAGGGCAACCTCACCAAGCTGACTTCAAGATGAAAGGCTAAGAAAGGAAACAGACGTGCGAGTACACCTGGGAGATTTTCTAGCCCCGTTTTCTGAAGAATCAGGGATTTACAGAAGGTGAGAGTGAAACGGGACCCATGAGATCCTATCAGCTGTCAGACAGAGAAAGAAGCAGAGCCCGGCCGAGGCCATGCAGGGAGGAGAGGCAGAACCAGCAGGGACCCCAGTCTCCTGCGGCCCCAGCCTGCAGCACAGGCAGCCGTGGCTTCATGCTCTCCCATGGGGGCCACACGACTCAGGGCTCACCCACCAGGCACCCTCCTGGTCATTCTCACCATGCTTGGTGGCGCTAGGCACCTTGATGGAGAGAAAAAGGATCATGACCCACGATTCTGGCATCACCACATGCTGTCTCTCAAGGGGCTACCTACTGACAGGTGGGAGAAACCCATCAGCTCGGCGAGAGCCCTCCCCAGCTCCCTGGCCCGATCTTCCCAGGCGGCCCCATGGTTGTCTGTCTCCCTGAGCTACTGACGCAGAAGAGGTCAAAGACTTGGTCATCTTAGAGTCCCTAGAGGGCAGCAGGGGACCTGCCACTGGGGCCTGGGTGAGCACCCAGCAACAGAAGGAATGAAGGGCTGAGCCCCTGTTAGGGCCCTGGGCCTGCAAGCCCATCAGCTCCCTTAAAGGATCAATCATAAATTGATGACAGAAATGAGCCATGGGGTGATGGCCACAGGGGCATCTGGGAGGGCCAGTCTGGAAGGTCGAAGCCAGAGTGGCCATGCGGGACTCTGGGTAGGGACAGAAGAACTGGGTCCGCTCTCACAGAGGCCACGGGACACATTGCTGCTCTGCCTTGAGGTCCACAGGGTCATAAGGCAGGGGTGGAGGGGGTGTAGGTCGCAACACAGGGGTGGAGGGGGTGCGGGTCACGAGGCAGGGGTTGAGGGGGTGCGGGTCACGAGGCGGGGTGGAGGGGGTGCGGGTCACGAGGCAGGGTGGAGGGGGTGCGGGTCACGAGGCGGGGTGGAGGGGGTGTGAGTCACGAGGCGGGGTGGAAGCGGTGCGGGTTACAAGGCGGGGGTGGGTGCTGGTCACGAGGCAGGGTGGAGGGGGTGCGGGTCACGAGGCAGGGGTGGAGGGGGTGCAGGTCGTGAGGCAGGGGTGGAGGGGGTGCGGGTTATGAGGTGGGGTGGAGGGGGTGCAGGTCACGAGGCAGGGGTGGAGGGGGTGCGGATCATGAGGCAAGGGTGAACGGGGTGCGGGTTACGAGGGAGGGTGGAGGGGGTGCGGGTCTTGAGGCGGGGGCGGGTGCTGGTCACAAGGTGGGGTGGAGGGGGTACGGGTCACAAGGCGGGGTGGAGGGGGTGCAGGTCGTGAGGCAGGGGTGGAGGGGGTGCAGGTCACGAGGCGGGGTGGAGGGGGTGCGGGTCACGAGGCAGGGGTGGAGGGGGTGCGGATCATAAGGCAGGGGTGGAGGGGGTGCGGGTCACGAGGCGGGGTGGAGGGGGTGCGGATCATGAAGCAGGGGTGGAGGGGGTGCGGGTCTCGAGGCAGGGGCGGGTGCTGGTCACGAGGGGGGTGGAGGGGGTGCAGGTCGTGAGGCAGGGGTGGAGGGGGTGCAGGTCACAAGGCAAGGGTGGAGGGGGTGTGGGTCACGAGGCAGGGGTGGAGGGGGTGCAGATCATGAGGCAGGGGTGGAGGGGGGTGTGGGTCTCGAGGCAGGGGTGGAGGGTGTGTGGGTCTCGAGGCGGGGATGGGTGCTGGTCATGAGGCAGGGGTGGAGGGAGTATGGGTGACGAAGCAGGGGTGGAGGGGGTGCGGGTCCTAAGCAGGGGGGAGGGGGTGCGGGTCACAAGGCAGGGGTGGAGGGGGGTGTGGGTCACGAGACAGGGGTGGAGGTGGTATGGGTCTCGAGGCGGGGGCGGGTGCTGATCCCGAGGCAGGGACGGAGGGAGTGCAGGTCACGAGGCAGGGGTGGAGGGGGTGCGGGTCTCAAGGTGGGCGCAGGTGCTGGTCACAAGGCAGGGGTGGGGAGGGTGCTGGTCATGAGGCAGGGGTGGAGGGGGTGCAGGTCACAAGGCAGGGGTGGAGGGGGTGCGGGTCACGAGGCAGGGGTGGAGGGGGTGCGGGTCACGAGGCAGGGGTGGAGAGGGTGTGGGTCACGGTCACGAGGCAGGGGTGGAGGGGGTGCGGGTCACGAGGCAGGGGTGGAGGGGGTGCGGGTCACGAGGCAGGGGTGGAGGGGGTGCGGGTCACGAGGCAGGGGTGGAGGGGGTGCTGGTCACGAGGCAGGGGTGGAGGGGGTGGGGGTCCCGAGGCAGGGGTGGAGGGGGTGAGGGTCCCGAAGCAGGAGTGGAGGGGGTGCAAGTCACGAGGCAGGGGTGGAGGGGGTGCAGGTCATGAGGCAGGGGTGGGGGGTGCTGGTCACTCCCTGCTCACCCCCATCCACACTGCCTGGCTCTGAGCCTGGGAGGCTGACTGCCGTAGAACGCAGCATTCAAGATCCAGGGCTTCCAGTTGCACTTGGCCAAGAGGGGTCACTGGCAGGAGACCAGAGGGCAGGAGGAGGGGGGTGGGGTATTTAGTCCCCTCTCTCTCCCTGCTTCAGTGACATGCCTGGGCAGTGGCTGTGGCTTGCTATGACTACCATCACAGAGCTTCTGCGACACTTTCTTCACCTTACCTGCGGCCCAAGAAGCAGAACAGCTCCTCTCTGCTGCCAGGCTCTAGGTGCCTCACCAGCCCCCGCTGCTCCCTTAACCCTGCCCACAGCTCAACAAACAGCCCCTGCTTTCAAGGCTCTCTTTGAACCACTGAGGGTGAGCTCTGCTTCCTGCAAGCTCCCTGGCTAATATGAAGAGGAACACGTTCTGGGTCACCACACATACAGGGTCAGAAGACAGGGAGCAAATTTGAGCCACAGAGACGAGCACAGAACCACCAGGCTACGTGGGCCAGGCATGCACCCTGACCAGGAGAGAGGCCAGGCTGAGGGTACACAGTCTGGAACAGGCGAGTATCAGCATGGGGACAGTGAAACAAGCTCAGGAATGGAGGGGACCCTGCTCTGCTGCAAAAGGCCCATGCTTGCAAGGTATTAGGGGGCTGATTGTGTGGTAGCCTTGGAAAATTCAGGAAGGCCACGGGAGGTTTTTATGAGGAACCAGAGAGGTCTGGTTAGCACTGGGGAAGGGGCAGGGGATGGAAGAGTCAGAGTAGAAAGAGCCTAGGCCATAGGCAACAGCAGATCTGAGTTCAAAGACCCAGAGTGATTGGTGCTTGGAGCTCTGTGACTAGAAATATCACAGAAGCAGGTGACAGATCTGAGCCTCAGTTTCCTCATCTGCAAAATAGGGAGAATAATAAATAGATCCCATCTCACAGAGCTATTATGAGAACTAGGAAGATAAAAGTAAAAAAGTCCAAGGCAGAGGGGGACACAGGCTCCACAATGACAAGGATTTTGGTTCAAGGTCAGGTAGCTGGGGTTCCCTGGAACAGTGACCCACACCCACAACAAAAGTTCCACTCCAAATCTGGACTGGCTCCATACCACTAGGGAATCACTGGAGGGATCACTCCAAAAGACAACTTAACATGCAAGCTGGTGTTTGATACTCTTCAGAAATTAACTTTCCGGACTGCAATTCCCCAAATGACTCCTAACCCTCCACCACTAGCTGCAGATTCCTCAACACAGATCTGGGGCCAGGCTGTGTGATAAGTACTTTGACACTGTATCTCAATTACCCTTCTTAACCTTAGAGGTTGGTGTTACGACAACCCCTTTTTCCAGGCAAGGAGGCTGAAGCACCCTCGGTGCTGGGAAGAAGCAAGACCAGAGGCCACCCGGGGACCACCCACCTCCTCCAGAGCCCACCACTCCTTCCTCCTCTCCCTGGGGTGAGGAACAATTGCAAGGGGAGAAAAGTCCATGGGCACAGCTGCGGCTAGGCTACAGCCCCCAGCCTCATGGGCAGAGAGAGTGGGTCTGGGGCAGGAGTGAGAAAGGAGGGGAGGGAGGGCACATGAGAGAGAAATGAGTTGCTGTATGCGTGCCTGGTGCACAGGTGATAACACAGCATTCAAATCTAGAAGCACAAACTCCCACAAGACCTTCCCTTTCTGTAATTCCCCAAAATGCAGGGGTTTGTTTATTTCACCAAGAAGTACATATTCCTCCTACAGACTACAAAAACAATATATACAACTTACTTATGTAACCCAAAGAAATAATCATCACAGGCTTGCCCAAACAGTATCAAAAGTGGATGTTTATCACAATACTATTTATAAAGGTGACAGACCAGAACCATGGTCAGCATCAACCAAGGGAATCAAAGAACTTCAGTTACAATCAGATAATATTATGCAGTCATTTAAAAAGCAAGCCTAAGTAGACATTTAACAAAGGGGGAAGCTCTAAGAGAATGCTAAGTGTGTTTGTGGGAACAGATTACAACAGAACCACAACTTTGTTTACAACTATGTCAAGGCTGGTGGCTCGCGCCTGTAATCCCAACACTTTTAGAAGCCGAGGCGGGCAGATCACTTGAGGTCAGGAGTTCAAGACCACCCTGGCCAACACGGTGAAACCCCATCACTACTAAAAATACAAAAATTAGCCAGGCATGGTGGCGCGTGCCTGTAATCTCAGTTACTCTGGGGTCTGAGACAGGAAAATCGCTTGAACCTGGGAGGCGGAGGTTGCAGCGAGCCAAGATCGAGCCATTGCACTCCAGCCTGGGCGACAGAGCGAGATTCCATCTCAAAAAAAAAACTGCATCAAAGATGTTGGTGCACACCATGGTCCCAGCTACTAAGAAGGCTGAGGTGGGAGGATTGCTTGAGCCCAGGAGTTCAAAGCTGCAGCAAGCTATGATCGCACCACTACACTCCAGCCTGAGTGACAGAGCAAAACCCCATCTCTAAAAAAAGTTTAATTAAAAAAAAAAGTTTTTTTAATGCATCAGTGTGTGTGCCATTTTTATGCTCAAAGGACATGAATAAAGTCACACTTTATTCACATTTTAGTGTGCTGGTTATCCTTCGGCTAGGGAGTAACACATTTTGTTCCCACAAGCTACACAGGAGGCTCTCCAGACCTTCCTGAAAGGCACTTTCAAACCTGCTTCTGGAGGGTCAGAACATCATGCAGGACAGAGGTCAGGCACTAGCAGGAGGCCCTGGTCCCACGGCAGGTCTGTGCTATTTGAAGTCGTAAAGCAGGTCAATGGTGGCCCAGTGTGAGGGGCTGCAGGGGCTGCCAGGCTCACAGTCAAGGCCAGGGCCTGGCCTACCATACACCAAGGCGTTTCATCTTCTCCCCAAGAAGATATACTGGGTGGGCAGGGGTCCTTGTCCCTGATGGACAAAGGAAGGCACTGAGGGCTCAGACAGCAAAAATAACCGAGGGTCCTGAGCGATCCGGCGGAATATTTGGTCGACAGGAAAACTCATCAAGTCCTGCCCTCACCAGGCCCCAAAGCCCTGGCTTAAGGGAGGGCCAGGCCTGGCATTTGTCAAGATTTAACAAGTTCAGTAAATGTGCGCCCCCACCCCACCCCCATCTCCCATCTCTCTCCCACGCCAGACCCTTCTCCAAGCCCCACTCCTTGGCCATTAGCTCAGTCCCAAAGGCATCCTTGCCCATCCCGGCTGCCGATGATCCTGTCAAAACACTGTAAATAACTTATTTCTACTTGGCAGGGCCTGCGGCAAAAATACTGCCTGGGCAAGGAAGGGAGTGAGCCAAGGTCTGCCTCCAAGCCAGGACCCACACCCTCCTGCCCAGGGACCCCTGGTCCCCCACCCACCTGAGATGGCAGAGACCCACAGTGGAGGCCAAACTCCTGCCCAGTGAGACAGGGGTGTGAGCTTCACAAGACCCCTCGAGTCATCTCAGGAGCCAGAAAACCAGTGAGCTTCCCACTCCCCACAGCCCCACACAGCACACTAAGCCCTGTCCCTGACCTCAGGCTACCCACGCTTCTCCTACGAGGGCCTGAGTTTTAGAAGGCCTTCTCACTTGCCCTCCCCTCGTCTCAATCATCCATCTCATCACCATCTGGTAGATGGGCCTCAGAGAGGTTGTGCCACTACCCAGGACTGCACAGCCTTGGAGGGATGGAGCTGGAACTAGGGAGGAGTCACTGGACTCTCACCAGGCAGGCAGTCTTCGGAGCAGAAGAGGCACTGGCTATGCCATCACACCTCTAGAATCCAATCCCAGCTCCACAGCTCACATGCTAGGCTGTGACAAGCCCACCTGTGTGAGCCTCAGTCCTCTCACCTGGCAAGTGGGGCACTAACCCTGGCACTCAGTAGACGAGGCACACACAGGAGTTCTCACTGCTGCTGCCTGGGCTGCTCATAGAAGCCCAGCCCAGACGCCAAACGCACTTTGGAATTTTTACATGCGCATTCTAGAACTCTGAAGCAATCCTACTAGGTGCTTACTGCCCAGACAACAGGGCTGGTGACCTTTAAAAAAAAAAAATTGGCCGGGCATGGTGGCTCACACCTGTAATCCCAGCACTTTGGGAGGCCAAGGTGGGTGGATCACGAGGTCAGGAGATTGAGACCATCCTGGCTAACATGGTGAAACCCTGTCTCTACCAAAAATACAAAAAATTAGCCGGGCGTGGTGGCGGGCACCTGTAGTCCCAGCTACTTGGGAGGCTGAGGCAGAAGAATGGCGTGAACGTGGGAGGCAGAGCTTGCAGTGAGCCGAGGTCGCGCCACTGCACTCCAGCCTGGGCGACAGAGCGAGACTCCATCTCAAAAAATAAAAATTAAAATTTTCGTAGAGATGGGGTCTCACTATGTCGCCCAGGCTGGTCTTGAACTCCAGGCTTCAAGCAATTCTCCTGCCTTGGCCTCTCAAAGTGTTGGGATTACAGACACAGGCCATCATGCCTGGCTGCTGGTGGCCTTCCTGCAGAGAATCCAGGAGCTCTAAATGTTCCCCCAGGACACCTGATCAAAGCCCCCTCTCAGGCCTCTGTACCCCATTCCCACCGGAACCCTGGGAGCCACCCCAGGCGGCTTCTGTAGAAGTGCTGAGTGAGCCCCATGCACCACCGCCAAGTTTCTGGGACACAGCTGCAGGGCCGGGCACCAGCAAGCCGGGATCTCCTTATAGGGTATACTCTAAGGCCATTGCATAAAGCTCAAAAAGAGAAAGACTCAGATTGACAGTCGAGCTGGAAAACAGGCCTGTGAAAGGAGAACTAGACACCAGGGCAATCAGGTCCCTGAAAGGGCTGTCTCTGCCTACCATTTGTGCAGAACATCAGAGAACTTGAGGCAAAGACGGGAGCCACTGTGCTTCCCAGGGGAGTTCTTGAGCTGAGGGTGGATCAAGGGGAAGGAGAAAGACAGAGCCAAGTTACAACTCTGGATTTACACAGCTTTTGGAAAAGTCACGATGAGTGTGCGGGGAATCCCTGGGACCTCCCCTGCCCATAATGAACTAGCACGGGAGGGGGTCATGGGGCTAGGGTCAGGGGTCAGCACTCCCTGGGGGTGATGCCTTCACCCCATCATGGCTAGACCTGGGGAGATCCAGAAAGAAGGAAAACATAAATCAGCCCATGCCCCCAAATGCACCCCAGCCAGAGCAAAATCTGCTCTAACCCCAGAGGACAAGCTGGGACCTCACTCACTCACAGCAGGAGACTCATCCCTGGTCAGCCCTGCTTTAGCCAAACCAAACAGACATAACTTATGCTACAGACATTTCTGGCTTTTTTACTCATGAAAATAAATCAAACAGAAGAGATCCTTTCATTTTGGCTCATCTACCCATCGCATCATTTAACTACACAACACACCTCATTCAGACTCACGCTTCCCTGGGCCACTGAGGATGACAATGATGGTGGTGGAGGTGGCACCAGTAAATAATCACAAACAGCTCCTTCTGAGGACAAACTAGGTAAACAGGTTCTGTGCTGTTCCTTATCTGCATGACCTCACTCCTGGAACTCTATGAGACTGGGTCCATTATTATTTCCATTTTACAGAAGAATAAACTGAGGCTTAGAGGGGGCAAGTAACCTGTCCAGTTCTAAGTCCAGGGCCCAAGTGTGCTGGACACAGCTGACTAGCTGCAGCCCAACCTGTCCCCCATTCTCCCCTTCTTCTTTAGCAACAAAATCCTGAAGTCACTTCTAGACCATAACCCAATGAAACAGCCTGAGATGTGACTTAGGTCCCCAAAGATTTAGGTCCAGAGACACCCAGGGCAGGACTGTTAGTAACAGCAAACCAGAAATAACCTAGAACTTGAGACTCTGGAGCAGAGAAATGGTTCTAGATGCTGGGACATAGGGATGGTGGGAAGCTGGTGCAGCCACTCTAACAGCAATTTCCAAGGTGTTTAAATGGCACAGGCAAATGCTCAACTGTTCCCCCAAATGCAAGTGGCAAAACTAGGGACACAGAAAAGCCTAACCTGAATGCACATCATATAGAAAAAGGAGCATATTTTATGTAAAAATTGCTTCAATAATTATCTCTGGGTTTTCATTTGTGAGCCTATCTTGACTTCCCAAGATTTCCACAAGTACATATTACTTAATGAGCAAAAGAATAATCTAGAGTTATTTTTAGCAAGCACAGACCCTCGAGGCCTGGCCACATCCTGTGTAGCACAATACCTCAGTCCTTAATTCACTCACCCAGTAGACACAGCGCACATCAGGGCCAGACCACGTGCTCCTCAGAGACCAGCAAGTCCCAGCCTCAGGAGGACACACCAACAGGCAGCTCAGCTTGGTGTGCGTGCGTGTGTGCGCGTGCATGTGTGTGTGTGTATGTGTGTGTGTGTGTGTGTGTAGGGGGCAGAGGCGTCTGCTGGGAAAGCAGGGTAGGTGTCACTGCCAAGGTGACATTTAGCAATTCTTTTTTTTTTTTTTTTTGAGACGGAGTCTTGCTCTGTCACAGGCTAGAGTTCAGTGGCGCGATCTCGGCTCACTGCAAGCTCCGCCTCCCGCGTTCGCGCCATTCTCCTGCCTCAGCCTCCTGAGTAGCTGGGACTACAGGCACCTGCCACCACGCCCAGCTAATTTTTTGTATTTTTAGTAGAGACAGGGTTTCACCGTGTTAGCCAGGATGGTCTCGATCTCCTGACCTCATGATCCACCCGCCTCGGCCTCCCAAAGTGCTGGGATTACAGGTGTGAGCCACTGCACCCACCTGACATTTAGCAGTTCTAAAAGCATGAATAAAAATATGAGAGCAGGGAAGGGGCTGAAGAGGGAGATGCCAGGTCCTTACTCAACTGAAATACTCAGGGACGCTTCCTGGTCTTTGGAACTGACCTGAGGCAATGCATCTCCATTCCTGGCTTTGACTACGATGGTTCTGCGCCCAGCTGGACAAGGAGCACAGTCCAGGGCCCTCAGGTCAAGATGCCTCCTCCTCAGAGTCTCAGCCCTGCACCAGGCCAAACGGGAACCGACTGCTGAGGAATCCAGTGTTTGCATCCGAGTTTCTCCATCTGCACCCAGATTCCCTAGGATCACACTCTGAGTAGCAATGCTATGGATACCTTCACCCCAGAATGCCAGGACAGTCAGCTACTTTAAGAGCAGAATCTTGCTTCTGGCCCTTTCTAAAACCCCCGTTCCATCCCTTCCTATTTCCCCTGTGTACTTCATTCCATCTCTTTTCTTTGCTTTTACGTAAAATGCTTACCTGGCACGCTCCACTGAGGCCACGGAATTCTTGACATTTGACAGCCAAGCAAGGGTGGCAGGTACCAGGGAGATCCAGTCCCAACCCTGCGTGGTGTGGTGAGGAGGGCCTGGGGTTCTGGAAGCCTGCCTGCAAGAAGGCACCCAGGCACCCTGGAGCACAGGGAGCCCCACCTGCCCTGGCAGAGCTCTGTTGTCTTGACATGGGATGTGGGAACTTTTTTTTTTTTTTAAAGGATTTGCTCAAATTGACTCAGTGCATCAAAGGCTGGAGAAAGAATCACCCTAGAACTGAGTGCCACAGGCTTCGGAAGCTGCACAAGACTGCAACACGGTGACAGCTTCTATTTCTAACAGCAAACCTAAAAAGCTCAGGAACCAAAATAAAACGGATAGAAATGAAACCACTCAGAGTATGACGACAGTACTCAAAGCAACTCACGAGCATTTCCCCACGCTGTCTTCCAAAATGTGAAAAATGTGATTTTTTTTTAATGGCCACATTGGAGAACTGCTATGAGCAGACCTCATTTATATAACCCTTCCCAGCACCTCATGTATCATCATTATTAAAAAACACTATGGGGATCATGCTTTCACATAACTTTGTCTTATTTGTTATCTACATAGCCTAAGCAAATAGTAAATGATGGAGAATGAAAATAATTGTCAATGTTTAGGGGGAAAAAAATACCTGCATTTCAAATTTTTTAAAAAAACCATAAAATCTATCTTTTAAAAAAGGAAGGAGTAAGCTGGAATCCACAATTGTTAGAAACCCAAAAGTGATACAGAGGGGAGGCAAAAAAAAAAAAAAAATACTATATTCTCCACACTGAAACAATGTATCTTTCTCAACAGCCCAGTTTCATCTGTAGCTGTATTTTCCCCACTGAAATGCCACCATTAATCATAACAACAGATGAGTAAAAATCAATTAATATTCCTTCAGCATCTCTTAGGTGTCTTCAATCCTGTGCGCTGTCATCCCTTTAAAGAGGAAGGAAAAGATCCACAGCCAGGAAACAGACTCAGAAACTCAAACCCAGGTCTCTGGACCCCACAGGGAAGTGAGGCACAGCCAAGAGCAATCTGTGTCCATTACTGGCCTCAAATGACCACATGGAAACACTGTGTGCAGAGCCAGCCCCCCAAGCCCGTGGCGGTCCTCCTTGGAGATGATGGGGTCTGGGGAGAGGTCAGAGTCAGGCTCACGTGAACTTCAGAAAGCCACTGCCCAGGATATGGGTGGACCGCAAGTCTACCATGGGCTGTCCCAGCTCCAAAGACGTCAGAACCCCACAGCGATTGTTATTCCCAAAGCCCTTTACGCTTGGCTCCACAGCACACGGCAGAGAAAATCGACAGAAGGAAGGATGTTCACAGGTGTCCACCCCTACCTATGCCCCAGTGACCTGGAAATAAAATCCATCAAGAGCACCGGGGTCAGCCAGCTGGGGTACGCTGGAGAGTATGGGTGGCAGAGGGAACCCCGCTGTGGATTGATCATTTGACACTGTGTTCAGCATACCTTTTAAAAAAATGTTGGTACCATGTAAAAATATAACCTAAATAACAAGTACATTTTTAATGCTGAGATGGAGAATTTAGCACCTATAATCCTTCCAGAGATGCACACCACGCAACCACGTGAGTCCCCTCTGGCTCTGAATTCCGAGAGCAGCTACCAACACAGGCCTCCGCTGCCTGCACTCAGCACACCTATCGGAAAGCGCCAGTGCTGGCATGGGCTTTCCCTCCCTGGCGGCTGCTCCTCCTGCACCCCCATGCCCAGGCACTCCGGCCAGAAACAAGGGAGGAGTCTGGGGACTGATCCTCCCCCTCTCACCTCCCACATCTACCCAGGTACCACACCCTGCCATCTGTCTCCTGCTGCCCTCTGTCACTGCAGGAGCCCCTGGAGAGCACATCACCCCTCACTAGGCTGCAGCCACAGCCCCTCTCAGAAAACCCTGCTGTCTGCTTTCCAGTGCAGCCCTGTCTAATCACCCTCCATGTATCCTCCCCATGGCTCTTCCCCCATAGCCTCAGGTTGGAGCACCCAGCTTTCGCCTGCAGAAGCCCCTCCATGCCCCCGACACAGCACCCCATGAACAACTCACCTGGCACCGCTACTCTCTCCAGCCTGGTCTCTCACTAGCCCCCTCAAGCCTGGGGCTGTAGCCTTTCCAAGCCATTGGCAGCCAAAGGACCCCCTTCCCCAGCTGCTGTGTGTGGCCCTGGCCATGCTCCTTGTCTGTAAGGCCATTCTAACACCTCGCCTCCTGCCAGCCCCTACGCCCAGTTTATTCCATGTCAGGAGGTATGGCCTCCATCCCCTGATGGCCCACTCCTCCTTACATGCCCAGCCTTGCGTCCTCACCACTCCCCCACAGCTCAGACAGGCCTGCCCTGCCCCTGGGCTTGGGCATCCCCACGGTTTCCCTGCCAGTGGGCATCCCCACAGTTCCTTCGCCTCCAGAGGCCCAGCACCCAGTTCTGCCTCGGCCCCAGGCACATGGACCTTCCCTTGGGTCTTAGTGTCTCTTTCTCAGACTTGCCTTTTCTTGGTGGTTTGATGGTCACCCACCCAACCTCCTTCCCTGAAAGTCTGGTGCAGGAAGGGGTAAAAACACATATACAAAGGTCACCAGCAAGCCAGCCAGCACCAGCTCTGGAGAAAACACGGACAGAAAGACGTATGCCCACCATTCACTCATTCGCAAGCCGGGAGAACTTACTTACTTCCTTGCCTGCTTGAGAAACAGCCGCCGCACCAGAGACTGGGTTTCATAGTGTCTGAATTCTCAAGGAATGTGGATGGAGGACAGTGAATCTCTAACTGGCTGCTGCACTTCTCACACTTACAGCTTGCTCATTCGCACTTTAAAGTCAAACCTCGAGTCCCCTCATGCCAGCAGTCACCTTCTCCCCGATCTTTTACAGTAACTGGGGAAAGGCAGCCCAGAGAACAGGCCAGGGCAGAGGTCAGGCTGCAAAACATGCTTCCCTAAGGACGTCCAGGCTGGAGGGGGCCCGGCAGCAGGTGGGTCTTTCTTTCAGGGTCTTCCTCCACCAAATTCAGGACTATTCCAGAAAGAGGCAGTGAGTCCCTGGATGGGGAAACCGCTCCTCCTGAGCCTTCCCCACAGATTGGATCGGAGTGGAAGGTGCCCCCAGGTGACAGCACCTAGCAAGGCTGATGCAGGCCTTCTGCCTGGCCCACAGGAGAGCCCCAGCCCCACTCCCCAGATCACAGACGACCAAGGCTCCTGTGTACGGGGGAAGTAATCATAGTGCCGTGCTTGGCACTTGGTCATTTTAGCAACTAGGTGTTTTAGAAGGAAGCACAAGGACCTAGGAACTGGGTTGAGCTCTGTCAGGCCTTGCCTCTCAGTTAGGATCTGTTGGGTAGATGGGCTCATTGCCACTAACCAGACTCGTCTTCCAGGGAGCCTTCCTGATTTACCAGGCTGCGTGAGGGCCCTCCTCTGTGCCTGTCTGGTGTCCCTGCCTACCTTGGCCACTGTCTGCAGACATCACAGAGAGTTGAAGGGGCCTGGCTTGGGCCTGTGTGAGCCCCCAGCACCTGGGGCCTATCCATAGCAAGTGTCGGGGAAACTGCTGCATGTTACTGCGTCCCATCTGCACGGCCTGGCTATGAGGGGCCCTCAGCTCAGCACTCAGTGAGACCAACTCAACACTGAAATGGTGGAGTCAGGGTGGCCCGTGCGTCCAGCATTCCCATTACCATACTACAGAGCACGGGGCTGAGGAAACAGGCACTTGCCACCATCACCATCATGACAAGTAGCCTCTCAAGACAGGAGGTAGAGAGCATCTGGTCCCACGACCCTTACTACACTCTTCCCTTGTCCTGCAGCCCAACTCCCTGCTCTAAACACAAAGTAGGACATCCTCTTCTTCTGAGCTACCTGGGTCCTGGCTCCCCTGCAACTTCCTTTCCTGCCTGAGCAGCCCTGAGCAGACAGTGCTGTGTCTTTCATGATCATCATCACGTGGCCCAACAGACCAGGTCTGCAGACAAGTCCACTGCCAAGCAAGTCTCGGAGCACAGTTCTGGGCCCCAGAGTCAGCCCAGTCCAGCCCAGCCCCATCAGGGCCTCTGGACAGCCTGAGAGCAAGGCCTCGTGCTGTCCCTCTCCGAGGAAGGATTTGCCTCAGGCCTGGTTCTGAGAAGTAAACAGGGTAATGTTCTGAAGCAGTGGACTTCAAACCAAACCCCCACAAAATAAATGTTTAAAACTACATATCTATTTGCACATTTTTAAGTTGATATGAAAAATTTCTCATCATAAGTCTAAATACTTGTAGAGGATGTAATTTCCAACATACTGTAAATATTAACATTTAAAAATAAAACTGTTAATGTTTCTCTTTTAAATGGATCCAATGGTATCTAAATACCACGGCGATTAGAGATTCGCCATCATCCATTTTTAAATTACATAATCAAGCTCTTCTTTAACCATTGGAAATTTAACAGTGTTCCTTTTTTCCTCCACAAACTCTGATCTCCCTCAGAGATGTTTATACTATCACAGTGTATTTTATGCTTGAAAGCCTTATACTGATTATCCTATTATATACTATAGGGCCAAAAAATACAAAAATCAATGTTTTAATTTTTTTTAATTTCCTGTGATTTCCTGTGATCATAAAGCTCTGTCAGAAGTTTTCTCCTGGACTGAATTATTATAACAATTACTATAAGTATACAATTGATCAATAAGACAGAAATATATTGCAAAATTGTATAAGAAATAACCTTTAAAAATAAACTTAATTAGGCCAGGCGCAGTGGTTCACGCCTGTAATCCCAGCACTTTGGGAGGCCGAGGTGGGCAGATCACCTGAGGTCAGCAGTTCAAGACCAGCCTGGTCAACTGGTGAAACCCCATCTCTACTTAAAAAAAAAAAAAAAAAAAAATTAGCTGGGCATGGTGGCAGGCACCTGTAACCTCAGCTACTTGGGAGGCTGAGGCAGGAAAATCGCTTGAACCTGGGAGGCGGAGGTTGCAGTGGGCCAAGATCATGCCTCTGCACTCCAGCCTGGGCGACAAGAGCGAGACTCCATCTCAAAAAAAAAAAAAATTAAATAAGTAAAATTTAATAAATAAATCTTATTAAAAATACATCTATACAATGAATGGGAATTTTTTGAAAAATTATTTCATGAATTCTCAGATGAATATTGCCTGTTGCTAGAATAAGACAGGGTTTATCAATTTCATCTCCATTTTTTAATTTTTACAGATGTGAGAACAGAAACCACTTATTCAAATTTAAAAAATAGAATGGAAAGAGATTTACCACAGCAAATTCTTTGGATTCCTTTATAATTATTTGCCAAGAATTACAGTAATCTAGTCATCTCTTATCAAATATTATTCTTTTTTTTTTTTTTTTTGAGACAGTGTCTTACTTTGTCACCCAGGCTGAAGTGCAGTGGCACGATCTCAGTTCACTGCAGCCTCGACCTCCTGGGTTCAAGTGATCCTCCCACCTCAGCCCCAAGCGGTCATACACCACCACACCCAACTAATTTTTTGTATTTGTGGTTGGGGGGGAACCCTCAGACGAGGTTTTGCCATGTTGCCCAGGCAGATCTCAAACTCATGAGCTCAAGCAATCCACCCACCTCAGCCACCCAAAACAAAGGTCATTCTTAATGTGCTATCAGCTGACGACACCATCAGGTACTCTTTGAATTTTGCTGCAAGCAGGGAACTGGAAATACCTCCCTGGCCCCAGGATGACAATGACTGGCCACTGTACTTGACCACCAGGAGGGTTTTATGCCCTGAGGTCTCACACTCGGTCAGGTCTGCCTGTGGATAGTGTACAGTTCTCCTGCAGACAGCCAGCTTCCAGTGTGCCAGGCCCAGTGCCAATTACTTCACCCAAAGTAACTCAGTCCTCACAATGGTGCCAGGGGACCAGCACCATGATTATCCCCATTTTACAGATGAGCAGAAAGACACAGCGTCGTTAAGCAACTGGCCCAAGGTCACACAGACAGGAACCTGACCCCAGGCGGCCCTGCGCCTCACAGAGTGCACAATCCTCTGCAGAGGTGGGAGGAGGAACGAGGTGAAGAGGCACAGGGGTGGCAGGGAAGAAGGGCTCCCGAGCTCCTCAGCCTCCAGCACAGGCACCTGAGGACACTGAGATCTGCAAAATCCACTTTCTTAAATATGCTCCCACACCCACCTCGGGAAGGTTACACACAAATGCTTCCTTAAAGTAAACCCATGATGCCTGGTACACTGGAGTCCTCAATAAAAGGACTGTTACTGTTGCCATTAAATAACAGGAAGAGAAACAACTCCCATGACCAACCGACCTCCGGTCACCAGCGTTTTGCAGTCTTGAGTCCTGACCCTTGGCCCCAACATCCTTTTTTTTAGATAGCAGCCAAAGTCCAGGTAATAAGAGGAACAGAAGCATTTAGTAAATGGAGAACCTATGAACATGCAGAGGAGACCGTTCAGCAGAAAACCATGGGCCACAGGCTTTTGAGACAGACAGACCTGCACTCAAATCCCAACTCCACCACGGCCAGCTGAAATCCCCAAGAGAAAGCACAGCATTCTGAGCCTCAGTTTCCCCACCTCAAAAGGGTACTTAACACCACATCATCCCTGGGTGGCTGCACAGAACGGGAGACGCCCCTCAGGGACCAGACACAGGAAACACAGGAAGACGGCTGGCAGCAAGGGGACGTGTGTCCTCTTCAGTCACCAGCACCTGAACCCAGAGGACTGCAAACACCCCCAGCTCCCAGGGCCCAGCAGCCTGGAGATCCTGCGCACAGAAGCCCAGCTGATTTTGAAAAGCCAGCCAAGTGGCTTGGCTTCCTGTTTTTGCAGAGTCTTTCTCAATGTCTTAAAATCTAAAAGTTCTCCAAATGCAGGGATGCCAGGAGGAGGTGAACAGAGAGGTATCGTGGTAGGTTTTATTTTTAGATGCTGAAGTGTAAAGTGTCCAGTTTGGCTTCGTTCTGGTCCCCAGCCACCACTTCCTCCCCCAAGCCACCACCTAAATGAACAGCATACATGTCTAGAAAGATTTCGCAATGCTTCTTCTGCCCCGGACATTCTGACACAATGGCTCCAGTCTCCTGTTCCTCCCACAGACCGAGCGGATTAAAGATTTTAGTCTAAATCTTCCCAGAATGCCACATAAATGAAACCCGCCGACCCCTGTCCATCTCTCATCCTCTCCTCGAGCGGTGGGGGTGACACCCACTGTGTGACAGTTTGAGGTCGCGTATGGACAGGATCAGGCATGGGGGAAGGCTGTCTTGCCCTCTCAGGCAGTGTGTTTGCTGGGGAGCGCCTGAACTCACTTCCTCTGAAAATGGCTCCCACAGCAGTTCCCCCATGGACCCTCCCAAGTGGCTGGGCGGAACCACAGGGCAACCCGGGGCCTTCCTGAGCACAGTGAGCCCCAGCTGTCAGTCTCAGGCTTATTGTGGGTAAAGCAGCATCTGTAAAGGATCCGTGGATTTCCCAGTGAACCATCATAGAGGGCTAAAAGGGAAATAGAAGCCACCGCATCCTAGAGGTGCAATGGTTAGAGACCATCTAACCCCGTGATGAGATGAATAACCACACCTCCTCTTTCCACGCCTGTACCCCTGGCAGGCACTACAGATCAACCCCTGTTCCCACCCACTCACAGATTTAGGATCCTCCAGGCTGCCAAAACCAATCAAACAGAAATGGTCCCTGAACACACACCCCTAAGCCATTCCTGAATTCCAGTATCCCCCACTTGATGATGGAGAAATTAAAGCCCACAGAAAAATTCAATGCAGGTTGGGCGCGGTGGCTCACACCTGTAATCCCAGCACTTTTGGAAGGCCGAGGTGGGTGGATCACCTGAGGTCGGGAGTTCAAGATCAGCCTGAGGAACATGGTGAAACCCCATCTCTACTAAAAACACAAAAACCAGCTGGGTGTGGTGGCACACGCCTCTAATCCCAGCTACTCAGGAGGCTGAGGCACGAGAATCACTTGAACCCAGGAGGCAGAGGTTGCAGTGAGCTGAGATAGCTCCACTGCATTCCAGCCTCCACTCCAGAGCGAGACTCCTTCTCAAAAAAAAAAAAAAAAAAAAAAAAAAAAAAAAAAAGGAAGAGAAAAAAGAAAAATCTAGTGCAGAACATGCAATTCTCCAGAGCCAAGAAGAGCCTGGACAAAAACCTAGAGCTGCTGAGAGGCTTCCAGAAACTACCTCCTTACCCCAAAACAAATCTCAGTCTTCCAGTGACAAGTTCAACCCACAAACTACCAGGAGGGAGGTCAGGAGGATCCTTTACCAGCCCCACCCGTCAACCAGCCCCAGTCTGGTCCCAGGAGCAGGGGAAACCTGGGGCCTGCAATGCTGAACCTGCAGGAATGGGGACGCTGCTCTCCTATGACCGCTGAGGGAAGGCCTGGAGCTGAAGTTAACAGGGGTGGGCTGGAAGAGCTCCCCAGTGGGCTTTTTGAAAGCCCCTTAGATATTCTAGCAGGGGCCAGCACCTCCACTGCCCTGATCTAGTCCCCAGCTTGAGTTCCCCTCTCTGCAGCTACAGGCAGATGAGGCCCGTAAGACAAGGAGATGGGATGCCAGCCCAGCTGCACAGACCACAGTCACCCTCCACGGGGACAGCGTGGGGAACAGAGGACATGGCCAGGCCACCATCAGGTTTACCAAGTACCCATTAGGTGCCAGGTACAGCCTTTAGTGCAAATAACACAGCCTGCCCCTCACATAGAGTCTGAGAGTATTTTGATGTTTCCTTCTTCCCCCTCCATCCATCCTTCCCTCTTCTCTCCATCCATCCTTCTATCCTTCCTCCCCTCCATCCATCCTTCCTTCTCCCTCCATCCTTCCTTCTCCCTCCATCTGTCCACCTTTCCCCTCCCTCCAAGATCCTTCCTTCCCCCTCCATCCATTCTTCCTTCTTCTTCCATCCATCCTTCTTTTTCTAGTTAATGAGCACCTGAACCAAGTCCACCCAGGGTGAGGCTACACAGAGCACAAGACAACTGGACATCTAGCTGGGTGCCTACTGCCCCCTCACCCTTCCCACACCCACCCTAACCTGACCACTGCCATGCACACCCCCCTCAGGACTCCCAAACCAACCCTCTCCCCACTGACAAAGCCACAGCAACCCTCCAAACCCGAGAAGCCCCTGTCGGAGTCTGCCCAGGCCAGGGCAGAAACCACATCAAATCCACAGGGGAGCTAAAAACAAGCTGCACGTGAAGAAGAGAGAAAGCCGTGCCCAATGCTGGAGGAGAGAAGGAGAGACAGAGAGGTGGGCACCAAGGGCCCCACTACCCAAAGAACCACGGGGACGCGGTCTGTACTCACCTGCACAACCTCCATCCCTCGCTTCCTGTGGAGAAAAACAAAGAAAACAAGCGTTACTCCAGCAGGCTGGACACGTCCTTTCCGAAGGTTCCCGACAGCCGGCTGAGGGCAGGACCATGAGAGGGTTTCAGGAGGGAGCCGGCAGCTGCGCCTCTCCTGCTACTGTCCCAGAACAGCCATGCCTTCCACTCCCAGCCACTCCTCAAACCACCTTCCCACTGAGAGGGCTGGCTCTGCAGAGGGACTTGCTGGAGTCCTCTGGAGGCCCCACGCCAGCCACCTCCCTCCACTCCTGGGCCGGGCCTCTGTCAGCCGAGCTCCAGCCTGGGTCGTCCCAAGGCCCCTGCCACCAAGTTCACCACCATCCTCACCACCTGCCGTCCCTGCCGAGCTCAACCCCCATAGGTCCCCATGTCCTCCCCATCAGGTCTCGCCCCAGGACCTGCCACAGCCAGTCATGCCCCAACCCATCCACTGCCACACACGGGAGGCCCACACAGTCCTGCCCGCTGCCTTCCCAATGCTCCACTGATGCCTGCCCTGGCCTCGCCAACAGCCTCCAAGCTGCACTCATGTCCTCTACATCTTCCCCGCTCACATGCAGTCCCACGGCCACCACGTAACCTGACTCTTGCCACCCAATTTTAGGAGCCTCATGGCCTGGGTCGGGGTTTGCCCAGAACACACAAAGGCTTTCTGTTGACTCCTACCCTTCTCTTCCTGACCCATTTCTTTTTTTTTGAGACAGAGTCTCACTCTGTTGCCTAGGCTGGAGTGGAATGTTACGATCTCAGCTCACTACAACCTCCGCCTCCCGGGTTCAAGCGATTCTCCTGCCTCAGCCTCCCAAGTAGCTGGGACTACAGGCACCCACCACCACGCCCGGCTAATTTTTGTATTTTTAGTAGAGATGGGGTTTCACCATGTTGGCCAGGCTGGTCTCAAACTCCTGACCTCAGGTGATCCGCCTGCCTCAGCCTCCCAAAGTGCTGGGATTACAGGCGCGAGCCACCACGTCCAGCCTCCCCCATCCCACATTTCTTACTGTGGGCCCAGGAAGTGCCCACCTGTGCAGCTCTGGCACACAGGGCTTTCTCCTCCCTGGCCCTGGTGCCCACCTCCCACCCCAGCCTTGAGGATTCGGCTCAGCATAGCCTCTCCAGGACGCCTCCTAACCTGGAAGAACTTAAGGCTACCACTGTCTCGGCCCTTTGTTCTGGGGTATTGATTGCTACGAGCCAGGGACAAGCACTGGTGTAGGGCCACCAGGACCTGCAGGGACCGAGGCACCCAAGACAGCATACTGTGCACATTGTGCTGGGAAGAAAGGCCTCCAGCAGATGCTCAAAGATGGCTGCAGCCAGGCAAGGTCAGGAATGTGTGGTTTACTCACCCAAGCTCCTTGGAGCAGGGACTATGCCAAACTTTAAAGCTATGTGTGCCCGTGCCCAATTATGATGCCCACCTGGCACACAGACACTCCTCAACGGCTGCTGGCAGATGAAGGTGTAAATGTGTAACAATTTAGCTCAGCTCCTGGGCCCAGCACTCGGAGGGTACAACAAATGCAACCTCCACAGTCTGGGCCCTTGAGAGGCTCAAGGTCTTAGGGAGGAGATGGGCACAAGCCCCACAGGAACCTTTGGGCACCCTTGCTCCCTTGTTTCATGGCACAGCTGAGGCGCCGCCCACCAATTCCTACATCTGTTTGTCAGCTCATTCAGTGAGGGCTTCCTCAACACCTTCTGATAGCAAGGCACTGAGCGGAACCTCACAAAGGAGCCACTCCATGAGACAGGAAGACAGAGGCCAAGGAGAGCTGACCAGGTCCCACTGTGGGAAGCACCCAGCCCACCTTCCCTCAAACCCCCGACACCTCAACAGAAACCTGGGCCCCGAGGAATCCAGTTTGAGAACCACCCTGGTTGAGGCATTCAGGGACCCTCAGTGTCTCTTAGCTTGTCTGCAGTTCCTGTAGGAATGGTGGCCAATATCCATCTGCTTCCACGGTTTCATGAGGGACAGGGGAGATACACAACAGCATAGCCCTGGGCCACCACAGCCCACAGCACAGTGACAGATAGCATCATGAGGAACCTGTGCTACACCCAACCACCCGCTCACAACCTGCACCGTTTCTGAGCACCTGTGGACACCTCAGCCCCTGCCTCATTCCCAATCATCCTGCCCCTCCCCCCGCAGGGACGAGAAAACTGAAGGAAGCGTCACTGACGGGAACCTGACCCAGGACACACAGCAGAGGACCTTGAGGAGCCAGCCCAAACTCCAGCGGCCCTGCTCCAGGACAGAAAACTCAAGTCCCAAATCACCGAGACTGTGAACCGCACAATGGGAAAGGCCGGTGACAGAGGAGCGCAGACTTCCACTGGGCTCTGGGCCAGGGCCTCGGTTTCCCTCTGAGTCAACCCTGCTGGCATCTGGGTTATCCCAGCGTGTGACTCTCCTCTCTTTACTGAGGTCAATTCCAATCAGTCCACATTTTACATCATCCCAGGCAGCTCTCCCTCCCTTAGTCCTAAAAAAACAGTCTCTCACTGAAAACAGATGGAACACATAAAATAAGAAAGCAACAAAAAAGTAATCTAGAGAAAAGATCGGCTGCAATCTTAAGTGGGGTTGATCTCCCAGGAGCCACAGCAGTTCCTCTGTCGCTCAGAGCTCCAAAAAAAGGATAAGTTGCAACAGTGGCAGAAAAGAGGGGGCCACCCACGTATGCTACACACCCCTTGAAGCTCACCACTCACCAATACCTTCTGCAGCCTCATGAGGGTGGGACAGTGGTTACCCCATTACCTGCAGAGCAGGCCGAGGCCTGGGAGACTCAGGAAGTGCAGGAGCTGGCCCGGAACAGGGCTCTCCCCACACCCACGTGTTCACCACCAGGTGCACCACCGTGGGCAAGGGTGGCACCAAGCTGGAAGGCCTGGTCTCCAGCCTCCAGGGCCTCAGTGCAATGGAAGGACCAGGAGGTGGCAGCGGAAAACTGCATCCCCTCTGGTGGTGGAATCCCACATGCACCACCACAGCCTCTCGGGAAAATAAAACAACCTGTCGGGGCTCATTTTTCACTGGGAAACTCGTGCAGAGCAAAGGCACCAACAACCTCGATTCCCCAAGAAGCAAGTTCCTAAAGTCCTGCCATAACCAGAAAGTTCAGAAATTGAATGATGAAGCCAAAGGGGAAGAGGGAGAAGGAAGGGACATGGGAGACAGGAGGAGGGAACACAAATCAGAGCATTGGTTGTCAAGTGACTGTTCCTCCTGAAAACCCTGGCTCCATGATCCCACCTCATCACCCCACAGACAGGCTCAAGTGTGCAATATGTTTCCGGCTCTGCCCTGTTAATTACCAAACTGTATGTGATAGCAAAACACTAGCAGCAAATTAAACTTCCCCCAAGAGGGGACATTAACAAACCACACACAGTCAAAGGAATAGTATGCAGCAGTAAAAAAGAACACAGAAGGCCTCCATGCACCCACGAGGAATTATCTCCAAGACGTTGCTGTGTGAAACAGGTAAGATGCAAAACCCTGTGTGCTGTAGATAATTATCTGTGTTAAGAACAACATCCAGGACAAGCATGTGTGCTTGTGTACACACAGAGTGAACCTGAGGGCGCTACAGGAAAACAATCATGGCAGGGCCCCTGGTCAAGGGCAAGGGCAGCTGGGGTGGCCGAGGGACTTCCTTTTCACTGTGTCCCCTCATACATTGCTTCAATGTTGTGCCATGTGCCTATAACATGTTATCAAAAACTGGAAAATATATTTTTTAATTGTTTCTTAAATAGATGCTTGATAAAAGCACGAAGCAATCGATCAATGGAGGACACAAGACAGCAGAGCTCAGGATGTATCATGAAAAGCTTCCAAGTGCTGTCCCAAAGAGGAGCTGAAATGATGCCTGCAGTGGGGACCACCAGGCTGCAGCACTCGCTATGGGTTCTAAGCCCGTGGAAACATTCCGATACCTGGAAAACAGACTGAGGTGCGTGTGCTGCAGTGTTAACTGTGGCCACGGGGCTGTGGTTTTTCCTTCATACTTCCCTGTGTTTTCCAGATTTTCTACAATGAACATATACGCTACCCTCAAAACTATAGGGAAAGTAACAATAAAAGTTACATTTTTTTTTTTTGAGACAGAGTCTGGCTCTATCGCCCAGGCTGGAGTACAGTGGCATGATCTCAGCTCACTGCAACCTCCGCCTCCTGGGTTCAAGCAATTCTCCTGCTTCGGCCTCCCGAGTAGCTGGGACTACAGGCATTTGCCATGATGCCAGCCAATTTTTGTATTTTTAGTAGAGACAAGGTTTCACCATGTTGGCCAGGCTGGTCTTGAACTCCTGACCTCAAAAGTGCTGGGATTACAGGCTGAGCCACTGCACCCAGCCTACAATTTAATAATTTTTAAGTTTCATTAAAAACCTGCAGCCGGGCATGGTGGCTCACGCCTGTAATCCCAGCACTTTGGGAGGCCGAGGTGGGCCTCCCAAATCACCTGAGGTCAGGAGTTCGAGACCAGCCTGGCCAACATGGTAAAACCTCGTCTCTATAAGAATATAAAAATTAGCTGGGCATAACAGCAGGTGCCTGTAATCCCAGCTACTTGGGAGGCTGAGGCAGGAGAATTGCTTTAACCCAGGAGGCGGGGGTTGCAGTGAGCCAAGATCGTGCCACTGCACTCCAGCCTGGGCAACAGAGCGAGATGCCGTCTCAAAAAAAACACAAAACCTGCACCTGCGAATAATTTTACAGGCTCTAAACTGTCATTGTATTGATAAATATTACACTAATATATAAATACAATATATTAATATGAATATTAATAAAATAGGAATAGCTAAGTATAAACATGCTTTTCCAAAAGCTGGATTATTAACAAAGGGATGATCCGCTTTGCACAGGGAAGCCTGTCCCCAGAAGTCCAAGGAGCACGAACCCTTCAGGAAGTGAAAATACTCACAAAATGATTCGATCCTTTCAGAGGAGGAGGCTGGCAATAAAGGAAGGCTTCAAAGAGGAGGCAGCATTTGCCATCTGGCAGAGCAACTGAAGGGTAACTACAGACCGGTGCTGAGAAGAGTACTTAGAGAGGAGTAAGGTGAGTCCTGCGCCCTCCCCAAAGGGTGTCTGGGGCTCTGGAAGCTTAAAGCCCTCTCAGGGGGCGGGGGCTGAGACGCAGGACAGAGGATAAAGGTGGGGCACGCCTCAGAGGCCCAGGATGTCACCCTGTGGCCCAGCCTTTACCTATGGGCCAGTGGGTCCCAAATGCCAGGGCAGATAACCTGAGAACCACCACTGGAGCGTGTCAAAAATCCTCATTCGAGGCCCACCCTGAGGCCTCTGATCCAGGAGGCCTAGGGCAGGGCCTGGGAAGGATTCAGGGTTCATCGCACTCCGGGTGTTGCTCAGGAGCAGCTGGGTATGGGGACAGCTGCTTGTCCACAAGAGCGACTCCATGTGCTTCTCTGTGACCAGTGGAAGCAGGATCTGATTTGCTAGGGGAGGACATAGCAGGGGTGGGGTGGGGGGCAGCCCTTGCAGGTCTTGGGAAAAGGGTAAAGGAAACCTAAGAACCAGAAATAGTTGTGACGCTCACAGTCTGGAAGGAGCAGACTGAGGCCCTGCGCCAGGCCCAGGAGACGAGAGAACACTGCAAGAAGGCAGCAGCAGTCCACTTTTCAACCGTGGTGGTGCCAGGAAGTGGTTAGAAGCCCAGGACTGAGCTTCGCAGCATTCAGAGGCTTAGATGAACACAATTCGGGGGCGTAGGCAGGAGCGGAAGAGGTGGGTGAGCCCCTGAGAGCAGAACATGGAACCAGACCCCCCTGTACCTTGTGCCTCTGTTTTCTTATCTGTAAAATGGGAGAATCCTAGAACTCATCCCACACGGGCTTTAAGGGAAACAGAGTCCAGGCCTGGCACAGTACCTGGCTCATGCCAGGGATGGGGGTCTTGTGACCTGCACTCTGCCCTGCCACCCTGCCTTCCTACCCTTCCAGAACTGCCTCCTCCAGTCCACATGACTGGGGGCGGCACGCCCACTCCAGGGGTGGGCACATGACCTGTCACCTCACTTAGCAGCAGCATGGGAGCAGGACCCAAGCCAAGCCGGTCCTGGTCCTTTACCGGACGGGTCCTGGGGGACTGTCTGCAGTACAAATGGCACTGCCTGGAAATGCTGGAGGACACCATTGCTTCTATGTGGCGAGAATCCAGATGAGCCAGAGGCCAACCAGGAGAAAGGGCCAAGAGGGCTCCAGGAGGGCAAATTCCCCGGCCAGACCCGGCCGCAGTGGGGCTCGTCCTCTCTAGACCTTCAGCTGCAGATTTCTGCTCAAGCCAGCTAAAGCTTTCTGTCGCTGGCCGCTGAGCAGCAGGGACCCTGTGAGTGACAGTGGTTACCACTTCTGAAGATGATGAAAATTACTCTGGATGACCCAGCACTGAGGGAGAGGGGATGATAAGGGAAAACAATAAAGATGATCAGGGCAGAAGTAGAAAAGAGTGATGAGGAGCAGAGACACGTCCACGGCATCCACGCCACCACCAAGCCACTGCAGCACAGTACCAGGTGTGGCGTCAGGAGGTTAACACAAGACACTCTGGGATGACAGACCCCATCCAGCAGCAGGCCTGCCACACAGCACAGCAGGGCACAAAAGGCTCAGGGACCATGACCAGCAGCAGGCATGGGATGTGCTGCTGAGCCGCTCGGGGTCTCAGCTTTCATATCCGTTAAAAGGATATGACCTTTCCCACCCAAGAGGCCCTCCCCAGGGCAGGGTGGGGACCTGAGCGCTGCAGCAAGTGAAGTACATGAAATGGTGAAGAAGCAAGGGAGGAAGGTTCTACGGAGAACAACTCGGGGAAGTGGGAAGCCAGGCACATCCTCATCCAAGCAACGTGTGGCACAGTTCAGTAACTACTGATTTCAGGCACCCCAAATAACAAGACCCTTTGGCACCTCCAGGTACCAGGCACTGGGGAAAAAGCCCCAAGTTATGGTCCCCTTTCCCTGCCTGCAGAGGGCAGGGCCCACACCGTACCCCACAGAAGCCCAGGATGTCTCCCCAGGACTTGGGGCTCCTAAACAGATGACTAAGCCCCGTCACCCATGTGTGTTGATGGCCACACTGTTCCCTTCCTCAAATGCCATCCCCACATCACCACCTGACCCCCCAGGTCAGCTCCTCTGGAGAAACCTGCCTTGGCTCCCACCCTCCTCAGGCCCCACTGCCCCAAGCTGCCCACACCCAGCACTGGGCAGAGAGAAAGGCTGCTGGACTCCATTGCACTGACCCCACCAGGCTAATGCTCGGTGGTGAACATCAATGGTGGCCATCAAAGCCGGCAATTTCCCTCCTGGACACTCAGTGCCACTGTGTTGTCCCTGCCCCCAGTCAGGCATGGCCACAGGACTTGCCTTGGGCAATGAGATGTGAACAGAGGTGACCATGTCCCCTCCTGGAAAAAGCATTCCACTGCCAGCACCGAGGCCTCCCTGACCTCAGAAACAAGGAAGCACATGAGGCTGCCACCCACCAGCAGAGCCAGCCAGACCCGCCACCTGGAAACAACGCGGGCTGAGTGGCGACGAAGCCAGGCTGGGAACCAGAAAGAAACAACTGATGAAGAGGACCTCCAGCTAGCGCTGGTTCCCAACTATGGGCAACTGTGTGTCCCCCACAAGGAGATTTAGCAACACCTGAAGAGCTTTTTGATTGTCACACCGAGGAAAGTGCTACTAGAATCCAGTGAGGAAAGGGCCCCTGTAATGCAGAGGACAGCCCCCTAAAACAAAGAATTATCCAGCACAAAAGGTCCACAGTGCTGAACTTAAGAAGTGGGATACACACTGAGCCACTGCAGGGCAGACCACAGCCCCCGAGAGTCTCTGGATCCAGAGTGCATGCTGAATGAGTTGTGAGTAAACCTATTTCCGCCAGCCTTTCGACACTACTTGTCACTGCAGCCTAACCTGGCCTATCCTGACTAACAAGCACTCTTTCAGGGACACAGCTTGTGCCCTGTGTCCACAGCCCCAAATTCTTAGCAAAACACCTGCCACATGGGCATTTGGAGGTGCAGCTCAGAAGACACGAGGGGGAGGCAGCAGCAGCCTCTCAAACCCTCCCAGGAGGGACCCCAATCTCCAAATGCCAAGGCTTGACCTAAGTCTGCCTTTGCACAAACTGATCCCCCTGCCAGGCACCCTTCCTCAGCTGGCAAACTCCTGCCCACCCACCAAGAGCAGCTCAAGTGCCTTCCTCATCAAGAGGCAGGAATAATGGCTTCCACTGAAGCCTGCTCCATGCTCAGCATCAGACCATGAGCCCCTCGAGGCCAAAGATGGCTCTTTATTTCAGCATCCCTGTGCCCCCTGCAGACCCTGGGCCTGGCAGGCTCTCTGCAAACACTCCCCGAGTGCTGCCGGGTTCCTGGGCCAGGCTCCAGCCCCGTGTCACCCCTGCCCGCCTGCCCTGCGGCATCTTGGTTTACTTGCTGATTGTTTGGTAATTTGGATTTTCCTCCTATTAACAGTGCCAGAAACTGAAATGGCCCGATATAAAGACAACATACGAACAGAATTTTAAAGCCAGTACAAACATTTGAATTGTCTGGACAGCTCTAGGGAAGAACCAGATAAACTGGAAGCTGCCATGTGTCTTTTTTATTGAGTGGGGGCATCTTTCCTTTGACTGGGGAGTCACCAACCACCTTACCTGAAGACCCTCCCCCCGACCGGGTGCCCCACCCAGGGGAGGCAGGCCGGCCCCAAAGTCCGGGCGCCCCTCAGTGCAGGCACAGCAGCCTGAGTCAGTACACTCCCTCAGACCCAGAACAGCTTCCAGGGGTGCCTGGAAGCAGCTTTTCCCAGTGAACAGGCACAAGAGAGAGACAGAGTGGGTGACCCACCTTTGGCACCTCCCGGAGAGGTCATCAGAGCTGCAGGGGCTGAAAGCAGCACAGGAACTGAGGTGCCTTTGAGACTCCCCTCCTCAGTTCAATTTTCAGGAAGGAGGAAGTGAGGCGAGGGCAGGAGATCACGCAAGGCAGTGTTCTGCCACATCCAAGGGGCCACCACTTCAGATCAGGAATCATCCTGACTTCTTGCTGATCACAAACGTTAAATCTATTCCCTTAATGGCTCTCGACATCCCCGCTTTTTAGTGTGGAAATTCTCGACTTGAAATTGTTTTTGAGTCTTTTACTATCCCCTTGCAGGTGCGGTAATTTTTCTTTCCCCTAATTAGGGATGGGACCTAAATTGTGGGAAGCAGGGGAGTTGGCTGCTGGGAGAGGGAGGTAGTGGGGGGTGCTGGCAGGCTTGGTTCTAGCACCTCCTCCCCTCCCCGCTACCCCCACTCCCCCTCCTCCGTCAGCCAGCCAGCCTCAGGGCTAATGATTCAGTTGGTTCTCTTCACAGCAGCTTCTTAATCCCAAGAATGCAAAGTCATTTAGTATCAGCCTAATGAGCAAGGTAGGCTACTGCAGGAAGGGAGGCAGAAATTCCCGTGACATTTCCCTCCCTTGGACTCACTGGGGGAGGGAGAAGCCTGCTCAGGAAAGCCTGAATTGTTCTAGCACCTATCCTCAAGGTACCCCACACTCCTAAAATAGCAGCATAAGTGTGTGTGTCCCCAGCCTGTGTCCTGGATGCTGACACTCTTTGAAAGGCTGTGTTCCAGAGGAGACCGAAAGACTTCACCCAAATTCTGCTGCCAACACTCCTTACCTGGCCTGAGGGCTGGGGGCAGCTCCTGGTCCCTGGATCCCAAGCCCTTAAAGTTTAGTTGTCTTTGCCCTGCTGCTGCACCTCCAACCACAGGCAGCGAGAGTTTCCTGGTCTGATTTTGGTCAAACATTTGCTGGGCTTCTCTGTCACGCACTGGGCTGGCCTGGGACCAGAGGGGGACCCCAGACCGCAAACCCTGCCCCGAGATGCTAGCTGCCACAGGGCAGACCAGTGGGCTACATGCCATGCCCTCTGGCGGGTGTGCCACAGGCCCTTAAATAGCACAAACACCTGGGGGACAGCAGGAGGCACAGGGAAGTTTCAGTAGAGCTGCTGTGTGAGCCAGGCCCTGGAGGGGAGGGAGAGGGAGGCTGCCAGGGCACGCTAGAGAAGGCCTGCTAAGCACCAGGAGAAGCAAAGGCAAAGACCAGGTCATGGGCACTGGGGTTTCCTGGGGCCCCCCAGCCACAGGCATGAGTCAGCCCTGACCCCATCTCAGAAAACTTAAACCACAAGGCACCTTACTGGAGTATCTCCCTGGCCCCTCAGATATTTTCGGGATGGCAGGTCAAAGGAAAGTCCCAAGGTGTCGGGTCACATGGGCTCTGGCCTTGACCTTGACCCTGACCCAGTCCCTCCCTTCTCAGTCACAGATTCACCCACAAGCCCTAAGAAGAGCAGGGTAGGAGAAAACTGTATTCACTTCCCATTGCTGCTGTAACAAATCACAACAGTAGTGGCTAAAAACAACACAAATGTATTATTCTCTTAGGGTTCTGAGGTCAGAGGCAGGCTTCCTTTTGGAGGCTCCAGGGAGAAATCGATTCCTCCGCTTTCTCTAGTTCTAAAGGCTGTCCACATTCCTTGGCTTGTGGCCACAACACCCCAACCTCTGCTTCCACTGTCACATCTCCTCTGGCCCTCCTGCCTCCTTGTAATTACACCAGGCCCACCCAGGTAATGCAGGAACATTTTCTATTTCAAGATGCCTCACTCCTTCACATCTGTAAGCCAAGAGCAGTGGCACATGCCTATAATCCCAGCTACTTGGGAGGCTAAGGCGAGAGGATCACTTGAGGCCGTGAGTTTGATGCTGCAGTGCGTTATGATCAGACCTGTGAATAGCCACTGCACTCCAGCCTGGGTGACACAGTGAGACCCCCATCTCTGAAAAATAAAAATTTAAAAATCCCATCTGTAGTCATGTCATACCCTTTTACCATGTAAGGCAGCACACTCACAGGCTCTGAGGATTAGAACCTGCTGTCTTTGGTGGGGAGTGGCAGGGGCCTTACTTTGCCCACCACAACCCCAAGGCTCCCACAGCTCTGCCATCCCAGGATTCTCAGACATCGCCTGGAAGCATTCATGTGTCAGGCAGGAATGAATGAGGACCTGTCAGGAGTTTGTAGGGGCCTTCAACAGTCAATGAGGAGTTGATGGGGAGGAGCACAGCACAGCTTTGCACGGTACCCGCAGATTCCCAAGGGGCACTGGGTACAGCCCAGCATGGCCGCAGGGGTCCCTGATGGGAATGGCGGGAAAGAAGCCCAGGGAAGGGATGTGGGGGAACTGGGTGCTGGAGACCAAAGGCTCCAGGCCTGGAAGCCTTGGCTGCAAACCGGGGAGCTGGGTGATAATTACTGACACTTGGGCTCATCCTGAGGTCCATCAGAGGTGCCCAGGCACCTGACCCTAAAACAGGCAGCGCTTCATCGGCTACCCGAGAGACTCTCCAGTTTCAGAGAGGATTCCAGGGGCCTGAGCACGACCCAAATAAATGAGAGGCTAACACCAGTAATCCCCGAGCTCTCTCGTTCCCCACCCAGGCCTGCTCTCCCTGTCCCAGGCAGAAACAGGGACAGACGAGGCAGTGGCGGGGCAGGATTTGTGAGTGCCAGGCACTTCGTCCCCCTCACACTGGATCTCAGCAACCACTGGGTGGGTACAATGGTTGCATCTTTTCTTTTTTGGTTTTGTTTTGTTTTTTTTTTTTTTTTGAGACAGGGTCTCCCTCTGTCACCCAGGCTAGAGTGCAGTGACACGATTTCGGCTCATTGCAGCCTTGACCTCCTGGGTTCAAGCAATTCTCCCGCGTTCAAGCAGGAGCTACTTGGCCACCCAAGTAGCTGGGACTACAGTCGTGCGCCACCATACTCTGTTAATTTTTGTGTTTTTAGGAGAGACGGGGTTTTGCCATGGTGACCAGGCTGGTCTCGAACTCCCAACATCAAGTGATCTGCCTGCCTTGGCCCCCCAAAGTGCTAGGATTACAGGCATGAGCCTCTGCACCAGGCCTCTTTTTTTATTTTTTGTAGAGACAGGGTCTCACTATGTTGCCCAGTAGGTTGCTGGTCTCAAACTCCCAGGCTCAAGCAATCCTCCCGCCTTGGCCTCCCAGAGTGCTGGGATTACAGATGTGAGCCACCGCGCCTGGCCTGTCACCTCTTTTCAAGTGGGGAAATTCAGAGCAGTTCAGTATCCTGACCAAAGACTCACAGCAGGTAAGAAGCAGAACCACAATCTAAACCCATCCAAATACCAGTAATTCCCAGGCTCCCTTACTCCCCACCCAGGCCCGCTCTCCCCAAATCTGTCAGGAAACCCTCCTCATCCCACAGCACTGTGTGACTTCCTGGGGAGAAAGGGGACCTGTGTGATGGTGGGGGGCCCACCGGGTCTGTTGGGGATGAGGCTCTGGGATTTCTGGAACAGGGTTGTTCTGGACAGAGCTGCCTCTCCACCCAACCACCTGCTGCCCTAATCCTCCCTCAGAACCTTGACCCCAGGAGGCCAAAAGGATGGATGCCATTGCCCCAGGGGCCCCAAGACCTGAGGAGCAGCCCCTGAGCAGGCCTGCAGTGAAGGGCCCGGAAGGCACTTCCTAAGGTCCAGCCTCTGGCATGTCAGGATGCTGTGGGGTAGACACGCCCTGGGTCAATCCAGCCCAGAAGCCGGGGGAGCCAGCACCCTGTTCCTCCCCTCTCCACACGGTTGACAGTCCTGTCCAATATCAAACCTTCCAGGCAGAAGGAACCCTTCCTATGAAGTAGATTTCAGCTCAACCATAGGAAGAGGTTGCTGGCTTCCATAGGAAGGCAGTCAAGAGGTGATGAGCACCCCGTGACAAGAAGGATTCAAGCAGATGCCAGATGCCCACAGGCAGGGAAGAGAGGCCAATCTGTGGGGAAGGCAGTAGGGCTAATGTTTTAGGAGCCCTACCCCACCTCTAAAGGGTTCCACCAATGAGACAGAAATCAGCTGGGTCACAGGACTGCAGCTCATGAGAATGGTATGTCAGCTGGGTCTCTGGAGGAGGTGAGAATGAGCCTGGGGCCTCAGAGGACCCCAGTGCCAAGAGTCAGTCTCAGAGCCAGCTCTCGGCAGGCGGGCACAGCCCCCATCTTCTTCCTGCCGGCCTCCAGGCCTGTCAGGCTCTGCAGCTGGGAGCCATGGCTACAGTCCCCAAACAGCTGGAATAATCCCTCAGAGCCCCATGCAGGGGGTCACAGCTGCCACCAAGCCAAAGCCAAGAGCCAGGACCCTGGGCATTAGAGAGAAATGTCAAAAGAAGGATGCAGAATTCCAGAAGAGCGGAAGAACTGAGGCCAGCACAGGCAGGGCTTCCCACTCCCTGAGACACACAGCTCTGCGGTGCAGGCCACCAGGCGGTCTCCCTGCTGTCCCTGCACACACACTCTGCACCTTCTGCATCTGAAACATGGCTCATCACCCCCCAGCCCCTGCCCAGACTCACCCCCTGGGCTTCCCTCACCCCCACCACTTGGGCCTCTGCAGCAGGTGCACACCTCCTCACCCAGCAAGTCTCGCCCCATCTGTTCCTAGCACACCGGGCTTCCTGCCGTGCCCCACAGGTCGGTTCTTTCACACTTCTGACCACCTGCCCATGCTGTCCGCCCCTGGAACGCCCCCATCCCTGCCTACCATGCACAACACGGAAGCCTCTTCCTCGCACCATCCTCTCAGAGGGCGGTCCAAGAGGAAGGACACAGAGGAACCCAGGGTGTTGGAAAGGGTGGTCAGATCGAGACCTGAAGGGCCAGCACATGGTATATTCTCCTGACCTGAATGCCTCCCGTGTGAAGGACAATCCACAGAGTCCACTTCGTGCCAACCCTAAATGTCCAGCCCGTATCCCTGACTGGTGTGCTAGCCACCATCCTGGAGAAACCCTACTTGTCAGGATCAGAGCTCAAGATAGAGAGGAATGAGCCCCATTTGCAGGGGGTGGGCAACGGGGGCTTTTCTTTTCTTTTTTTGGCCAGCGTTTTCTGGAACTAAATTCCTCCTGATGAGGAATAAAACTCCAGGGACAGGAGGAATGTCTGGGGACCTGAGGGATAAGACTATTCCTGTGCCAGTTTGGTTACCTGGGCCAAGAAATGTATTTTTTTTTTCTTTTTGCTTAAACTCATCTGAATTGGATTTTCTGCCACTTGCATTCACAAGAGCCCTGGCTGCTTCAATGTCCAAATCGAAACGCTACACTCCATCATTTCCATCACCAACCTGCGCCTCCAGTCTTGAAAACGGACTCATCCTGTAGCCAAGCCAGAGGCCCCCATCATCCTCCCCTGCTCTTCCTCCTCATCCCTTCCTCCGCAATCACCATGGAAAGGTTTCCCTGGGGCTTGCAGGCAGCCAAGGGCCAGTGGTCCCTCTCCCAGGGAGATGGCTCACCGTGTGCTGGAAGGAAAGGCAGGAAGAGGAAGGCAGATGGCCTCTCAGCTGAAGAGGGAAAAAGAGAATCCCCAATAACACTAGCTGGCTGATTGCATATAATTATGAAGAGAAAAAGTTCTTTAAAATTAGCTTCCCAAATACAGATATAATTTCAAGTGTCCCTTGTGGTGTGATTACAGCGTCAGCCCAACAAATGTTTTCCCGTCAGTACAGAATACTCAGGCCCCTGCAGGCAAAAAATAATGAAGCCAACAACGGCGCCAGGGCCAGACAGCTCCCACAGAAGCACTTCCAGCTGCCCAGGAAAGCACCAGGCCAGGAAGCCCAGCCCAGAACCAGTCTTGCTCCCCTCCACAGCTGGCCTCGGGCTCTTCCCAAGAAGGCACCAGGCACATCATTCTTCATTCTCTCTTTTTAATCTTCAGGGCCTTTGATATTCAGACTCAAATGCCAAGAGCAACCAGCTCATGTCAACAAGGATGGCTTCACTTGCTGTGTGCCTCCTACGCCGAGTGCTGGGCTCTACACCTCGGTTTTCCGGCCTGGAAAATAGCACGGTGGCTGGGCATGTAACTCAGGACACTGCCAGAGGGTGGAATGAATGAGGCTGGCACATAGTGGCATCCAGTCAGTGTCACCAGCTCCTCCCCGCCTCCCATTTAACCTCAGTCTTCAGGTGTGGCACCTGAAGCTCAGACAGGCTCCAGGAGCCATGCAGCTAGTCATAGAAGAGCAAGGAGGCAAACCTAGCTCTGCCAGGTCCAGACTCCATGCTCTTGTCACACTGGGTCCTTGCTGGGCGTGAGGGATGACGGGAGGCGCCACTCCTGGGCAGCACTGGCAGGCCGGGTGCACTCGGACCTCAGCTGCTGCTCGGCCCTCTTCAGGACCCTGGGTTTGAGCCTTGATTTTAAAGCACCACAGGCTCTGGCACGGTGTCCAACCCCATGACTCCCCTGTCCCCCAGGCTCTCCACCTCATTCCCCACTTTTTACACAGAAGAGAGCCCAAGAACCCTTTTATAAGCAAGGCCCAGAACTGAGAGGGACTTATCTGAGGTCACAGAGAAGTCAAGGGGAGATTAACACACTGTCACCAGGCACCCACGCTAAGCCCAGCATGGGGAGGGTGGGCACACTGGCATTCGCAGCCTCCACCAGCACCCATGGAAAGGCTACCACAGCCCCACGCCAAAGATGCAAAATCGAGGCTCAGGGTCCCCTACAAGGACCAGAGTGCCAGGATTTTCCATCCAGGCCTCCTGACCCCCAGACCTGAGGTCCTTACGGCACCACGGAAGCCTGGAGCAGGAAGCCAGGCGCTCTGACTCCCAGGTCACATCAAGCACATGTCAGCACATGGCTACACGGGCCTTGACATGGGTGAGGGAGGACAGCATGCCAGCCCCCAAAGCAGGCCTGACCCACTGCCTGGAAACAGAGCTCGCCAGGTGGCAGTGCAGCCAGGCTGGGACCAGAAGGGAATGATGAAGAACCCTCAGCCAGCACTGGCCCTCAACGGAGCAATTTTACCCCCCACCCAGAGGACATCTGGAAGTACCTGCAGACATTCTTGGAAGACGAGAGTAGTACTGGCATCCAGTAGGTGGAGGCCAGGGATGCCGTTGGGCACAGCTGTGGGGAACCCAGCCAAAGCTGGGCCTAATGTGGTCCTGGCTGATGTCCACTGGGTCAGCCAAGCTTCCACCCCACGACAGCCAGGGCACCCTCTGCCCAGCCCCACTGCATTCGACTCAGCCTCCAGGCACCAGGAGACTCCAGCACGGCAGGGCCCAGGCCAGGGGGCTGGGCTGAAGAGCGCACTCCCCTGCCTCAGCCGAACCCACCAGCCACAGACTCACCCACCCTCCAGCCACGGCGCGTGCCTCCAGGGTGCCCCAGACCATAATAGTCTTTCCCTAGAGGAACCTCTGTCCCAGATCCGACTGCTGCTTCACTTGGTCTTCACAATGACGCCCCCAGCTCTCCATACACTCATTACCACATGACCCCTCATGACCAGGATGGCTACTCAACAAGCAGGATGCCGTTCTGTGACCAAGTCCAGGCCTGCATGGGCTCAACACCCATCTGCTGACAGCACAACGGCAAATACCCAACCTGTGGGGCAGACACGACCCACACCTACATGGACACGGCAGAAAGGACAAAGGACAGGGTCCACAGGGTTCTAGGGCCTCCAAGGGCAGAGATGGGGTGTGCAGGCTGCCCTGTGGAGCCCAGCTCTCTGCCCTGCCCCAGCGGCCAGGCCGTTTCGGCCCTTTGTGTTATAACTGCACTAGTCCTCAAGCCGCCCCTGGCGTGGGGTGATGTAGCCCTCCTCCCAGTCAGAAGTCTGAGTGCTCCGACATCATCTCCTCTTCCCCCGCTCCCCAACCTCCCCTTCCTCATGAAGTCAGGCCTTGACCTCAGTCCTTTCTTCCCCCCTCAGCCCTGCGCTGAGGTCAACAGGTTCCCTAAACCAGTGTTTGCAAACATGAATGTGCCGTGTGTACTGGCACCTCTTGGGGGTCTTGTTAAAACACAGATTCTGAGTCCGTGGATACAGAGGGCGTGGCGATGCTGAGGAACCAGGAGTGCTGAGGCCACCGGCCCCATACAGACAACATCCTGAGTAGTCGAGGAATAGCCGAGGTTGCTAATGAGTCCTCAGACCTGGATGGACTCTGAAGAGTTGATATCCACCACCACTGCACGATCTAGACCACCACTGCCTGGACAATCGCAGCAGCCTCCCCCTCCAATCCCACAAGCCCCTGGCTTCCACCCAGCAGCCAACCTCACACAACTGCTATGGCTCCCCCAGCCTTCAGGGCAAAGCCCAAGCGTGTACAATGATGGCTTATAGGATCCTGTGCAACCCGGCCTCAAAGGGATCCTCACCCCGATTGCCAAGCTCCAGGTGGACTAAACTTCTCTCAGCTCCTGGGGCGCTCCAGCCAGGCCCCCACCGCCTCGGCTCCACCGCTCCCGGGAGAAGGGAGGGTCTGGGGGCATCCCAGCTCTTACACCTGGGTGGTCTAGCAGAGGTTAGTTAACCTCTGTGAGGAGCCTCAGTTTCCTCCTCCGTTCTACCCGAGGATATGCGGGGCCTCCTCCTCCTCTCTCTTCCCTGCCTAGAGCAGTTCCTTGGAGCAGGGGATTGGAGGACAGACACTGGCAGGTGGCTGCCCTGTGGGTGACTTAAGAATAAGACAGAAGGAAGCAAGAAGCAGAGCTGAATCACCGTCGGTATGGGCTTTTCTGAAAACTCACCTATGCCCATGGCTCAGAGGAGGCTGAGAGGGAACGTCCTCCACAGGCCAGCCTAGGATGTCTCCCCCAGACCAGCAAGCAGTGCCAGCTGCACACCACCCATACAGCTAAGTCACCAAGGAGCTGTCAGCTGGACGTGGCCCCTGGGAGCCGGGTGAAGCCATCATTTTATCAGTGCATGCCCTGTGCTGGGTGCTAGACACAGACTCCTCATCTCCCCTCACACCAGCCCTACGATCATCTCCCTGGCGGAAGCTTAGGGACACTCAATGACCTCCCAGGGCCACCAAGCTTCCCAGTGAGGCAGCCAGGCCCCAAGCCGGTGAGCCCACCGGCTCCACGTTCTTCACCACTTGACGAGCATGTGTCCACACCTGGCAGTCACAGCGTGGGGACGGGACCCACTGCAGGCACAGGGAGAGGCAGGGGTGTTCCTCCCACAGCCAGCCCACTGCTTCCTAGAGGCTCTCAGCCCAGGCTTCCAGGGGCTCCCCACAGCCACCCATCTGCACCGGCCCTACATGCCCAGAGTCCGTGTTGAAGGACTCCTGGCTCCACAGCGTCACGCCTTGGCACAGGCTTGCCCGCTTTCTCCACTACCTTCCATCCATACCTGTCCGTGAGCGAGCTCCCTGCGCCCTCAAACATACCTCTCAAGGGTCACCACCTGTGGAAAGCTTTCTTCCATCTTCCCAGATAGAGAAACTTGCTCTGTTCCTCGAGCAGAGTTCATCTAACACTTCACCTCCTGTCTCTGTCTCCGCACCAACTGGGCTCCCGGGGTGCAGGAGGAACTCGGTGCTCCAGCACCCCGCATGGTGTCTGAAACCCAGACCACAGCACCACCTACATACCACCACCACCACCACAGTAATACCATCTACCGCTGATTGGGGCCTACGATGAGTTATTTGTAGTAATTGTAAATAAATCTAGCAGGCAGTGAACTATGGAACTTTATACCATTAATAATTATTTCAACTGACACACCAACCACAGAAGTTAAGAAGTGCTTTTTTTATCCTACAGACAAAGAAACAGGCTCAGAGAAGCTCGCTAACTTGCTAGACAGGAGCAGAAGCAAGTTTGACCCAGTCCCTCCAATTCCAAAGCCAGCTTCTGGGCCCTGTGGCAGGCAGCTGGAGGGATGGGAAGTAATGAAGCCGCTCCAGGACACAGTCACACTTATCAGCACCACCCAAAGCTTTTAAAAGGGTCACCTAGAGTCACGGACTAGGTTTTTTTTTTTTTTTTTTAATAAATTCAACTTTTATCTTAGATTCAGGGGTACATGTGCAGGTTTGTTACAAGTATAATGTGTGACACTGAGGTTTGGAGTATGAATGATCTCATCACCCAGGTACTGAGCATAGTACCCAATGGGTAGTTTTTCAGCCCTTGCCCCCCTCTCCCATTTCCCCCTCTAGTAGTCCCCAGTGTTGACTCTTCCCATCTTTGTGTCCATATATACCCAAGGTTTAGTTCCCATCTATAAGTAAGAACATGAAACATTTGGTTTTCTGTTCCTGCGTTAATTTGCTTAGGATAATGGCCTCCAGCTGCATCCATGTTGCTGCAAAGGATGGGGTTGTGTTCTTTTTCATGGCTGAGTAGTATTTCACGGACTATGTTGTGGGGTAATTTGATGAGAGCCTTTGCCTTCTACCTCCTGTAAAATAATCTCAAACTGCATGCTGGGGCCTGGAAAGCGCTGAGAAACCTGGCCCTGCCTGCTTCCTCACGGCCCTGTCCTCCCAGGCCTTGCCCCGGCCACGTCCTCCAACCACAGCTCACCAACACACCAAGCTCCGGCTCCCTCCTGTGCCCCTGGGGCCTCTGCACTTGCTAAACCCGCTTCCCCTGCCTGAGATGCCGCAGCCCCAGCTTTCTGCGACTGACTCCTTTCTGACCTGTCAGCAGCAGCCACAGCTCTCTCCTTGGGAAAGGTCTTCTCTGACTATGTGAGGACAGTCCCCAGACCCCTTCATATCACTGTCATCACTTCATTTTCCGATCCCAGATAAAATCATCCCTGTAACTCACTGGTTGACATGTCTGTACCCTCCCTATAGCCCTCACAGACTAAAGCTCCAAATGACAAGACCTTGTCCATCTTGGCCATCACTTGGCCACATGCACCACGAGGCCTGGCACGGAGGGAGGCCAATAGATGCCTGTAAACAGCTCTGCAGAGGATGCAGGAGTTGTTCTAATGAAGAAACACACACGAAGAACAACAACAGGAAATCCTGGGTCTGGATGCAATCTGGAAACAACACAGGCACCCAGCAGCACAAGGAGAAGGAGAGAGCGCAGGAGCTAGTCCTGGCTGCAGATTCACCGCTGGTTTCCCCACTGAAAATCCCAAGGGCTCTCCCAGTTGGAATGTTCAAGAATGTAGGGGCTCGAATGTTCTAGAATGTAGGGGCTCCAATGTTCTAACCTCCTCTTCCAGCTGAGAAAAATGAACTTCATCATGGAGGTGGGGGATTGCCACAAAGATAACACCAGGCCCCAATCCAGGAACAAAACTTCCCACCACCACACAGGACACTGACGTCACCGAGTCCCTTGGTCAGTCACCCACAGAGCCTTCCCTCTGTAAGCAAAAGCCAAGTTCCTGAAGAACCAGGACTGACAATACCTGGGTCGGTAGAGCTGGGCACACAGCGGACACTTCGAAAAGCTTTCTGAATGATGACAGTTGTTCCTTATGAACCCGACTTCTCCGCCCCTCCCCATACCCAGCCCAGCACCAGCTGGGCACCTGCCAGGTACTAATTTGGGAAAGGTCTATGGGCTGCCGGCCAACGCGCAGACCCGGATCACACACTCTGTGTGCAGACATGTTCCCAGGGCTTGACCCTCCCTGTATCCAGGCCCTTTGCAATGACTTTGACACCTCCGCCAAGGGGTAAAGTTTATTTTCTTACCCCTTGAATGTTAGCTGGCCTTGGGTCTTGTTTTGGCCAACAAACTGTAGAGACACAAACGGGCCTCCAGAGGCCTTGGAAACATCCACTGTTAGTGTCAGGAACAAGCCCAGCAGCCTGAGGAAAGCCAAGAAGGAGGCCAGGTCATGCCCAGCGCCTTCGGTTAGCCAAAGGTCAAGCCCCAGGGCAGAGACCCCTTACCAGACTGCAAGCTGACCACACACACGCAAGGGATTCCTAGCAAGACCAGAGCTACGCAGCAAAGCCCACAGAACTGTGGGATGAAAAAATGCTTATTGCTTAAAGCCAGTAGTTTTTAGGATGGGTTGTTATGCATCAATAACTGATAAAAACTTTTACCTACACGTAACGGAATCAGAAAGGGAAGGAAGACATTTATATTCACAAAGATGCCCAATGCAGCTGTACCTACAACAGCAAGAAAATGGGAAAAATCGGCCAGGCACAGTGATTCATGCCTGTAATCCCAGCATTTTGGAAGGCCAAGGTGGGCGGATCACTTTGGGTCAGAGGTTAGAGAACAGCCTGGCCAACATGGTGAAACCCTGTCTCTACTACAAGTACAAAAATTAGCCAGGCATGGTGGCAGGTGCCTGTAATCCCAACTACTCAGGAGGCTGAGGCAGGAGAATCACTTGAACCTGGGAGGCAGAGGTTGCAGTGAGCCAAGATTGCCGCCAATGCACTCCAGCCTGGGCGACAAGAGCAAAACTCCATCTCAAAAAAAAGAAAATTAGCCAAGTGTGGGCTGGGCCAGGTGGCTCATGCATATAATCCCACCACTTTGGGAGGCCAAGGCAGGCAGATCACTTGAGGTCAGGAGTTTGAGACCAGCCTGACCAACATGGTGAAACCCTGTCTCTACTAAAAATGCAAAAATTAATGGCCGGGTGCGGTGGTTCATGCCTGTAATCCCAGCACTTTGGGAGGCCAAGACAGGCAGATCACGAGGTCAGGAGATCGAGACCATCCTGGCTAACACAGTGAAACCCCGTCTCTACTAAAACTACAAAAAAAGTAGCCGGGCATGGTGGCGGGCACCTGTAGTCCCAGCTACTCGGAAGGTTGAGGCAGGAGAATGGCGTGAACCCGGGAGGCGGAGCTTGTAGTGAGCCGAGATCACGCTGCCGCACTCCAACCTGGGCGACAGAGCGAGATTCCGTCTCAAAAAAAAAAAACACACAAAAATTAGCCGGGCGTGGTGGTGGGCGCCTGTAACCCCAGCTACTTGGGAGGCTAAGGCACAAGAATTGCTTGTCCAACCTGACAGGTCCACCAGCCCCACCAGCTAAACCAGAAGCAATGGGTCCCAAACTCATTTCCCAGAGCCTTTGAGCTGAGGGCCCTCAAATAGAGACCATGGTGCAGGGCCGCACAGCTCAGCGGCAAAGCAGGGGTCTGAGCGCTGGTCCCAGCTTCTGCCACCTTGTGCAGCACCGAAAGGCCCATGAAGCTACTTCAGGGCTGTCCACACGGCCGCAACCAAGGCAGGGCAGAACGGCTTCCCTTCCCGAGCTTCCCTCCAGCACTCCCATGCAGCCGCCTCTGAAAATTCTGGAACACCAAGCAGAGGCACCCACAGCAGTTAAGCAGGCCCGGGGCAAGGGGCTCTGAGCAGGCCTTGCCCTCACCTGCCCCACTCGTTTCAGAAAGGAACCATAAGGGACCCATACTCTAACCAGGGCCTGTCACCCTGCACTTCTCCCAACCTCCAGCCCAGCCCCTTTGCCCGGGGCCCTCGGAACTGGGGCCCTGATATATGGAACATCCTGGGTTTGTGGCCACCAGCCACTCACCGTTCATTTCCTCTCCCCTTCCGGGTGGAAATAGTCCAGCATGTCCTCCCCGCAGTTCCACCAGGCCTGCTCAGCTGTGGGGGGCCAGGGTCTGGCTTAGTATATCGGAGCGGAGTGTCCTGGACAGGAGTGGCCCTCCCCAGACCAACACTCCCCTCCAGCTCCGACAACCCCCAGCCACTAGTTCACAGCTGCTCCAGGCTCTCAGAATTCCCAGGATCCAGCAAAAAGACACCTTCTCAACCCTCCCCAAGCAGGACAGGGTCAAACAGCAACAGGCTAATTGTGTTTACATAACACGAGATTGTTTAGCTCCAGAACACATCAGTGTCAAAACACCAAGGTTCTGCACAGCGACAGCGACAGTGGGGCAGGAAAGATGTCATCCTTCTCCAGGAACTCAGGCAGCATTTCCCAAGGCCCGGAAAAACCCCAGCCCACAAATAGGACATCAGCCCTCCAGTATGTCCACCCACCCAGCTGGCTGCTGGGCGCAGCCAGGACTCTCAGAATCTGCCTGTGTCGGGCTGGCCGTGGGAATAAGCCAGATTCAGGTTTAACTGAGGCACAAGGTGGGGTCCAGGAAGCCGCTTCGGGGCTGCCCATGCAGCCACAGCCACAGGGAGGCCCCGAGCAGCCTCCCTTCCGGAGCTTCCCACCAGCACTCCCACCCAGCTGCCTCCGAGAATTCTGGAACCCCAAGCAGAGGTGCCCAGCACAGGGTAGGCCAGCCTGGGGCTCAGACTTGTGGGGGTAGGTACTCTCCACTCCCTTCTTGGGAACAACGTCCTAGCCCTGGACTCTGTGTGCGAACCCTCAGGCCCCCGTCCAAGTCTTTGCAAGCTGGGTCCAGAGCTGGAAGCTGAGGGAGAGCAGCCCCCAGCCTCACTCTGGCCAGCCACTGAAGCCCAGAAACAGGGAGCACGTCCACTCCCACCTCAGCTGCCAAACATCCCTCCCCTGCCTCTGGGAAACAGTGCCCCTGCAGCATCCTTTTGGGGATCCACCCTGCCCACACTCAGGCCATGTAGAAGGGAATGAGGCGCTGCATTCCCCAGCCCCAGAGACTGGTTCAGAGACAGGTATGTGGCCCAGGATGACAAATCAGAGGCCAACAGAAGGAATCCCTGTCCCTGTGGACCTGGAGCATGAGGGATGGGGGACCCTGGAGCCAACCCAACCAGCTCTGAATCCCAGCTCTGCCCCTACCAGCTGTGTGACCCCAGGCAAGTTACTTAGCCCTTCTATGAGAAACAGGAATGCTAAAACCACCACCCTCCCAGGGCTGTTAATGCGGATCAAATGAGATCACACACCTAAGGAACGCCACAGTGCCTGGCTGAGAATAAGGATTGAGGGTGAGGACTCACCTTGCACCACATGGGCCTGAGAATGAAGCCAATGTAAAAGAGACCAGGGAAGCAGGGAGGGGGCCGGGGGGAGAGAGGAGGGAGAGAGAGAGAGAGAGAGACAGAGAGAGAGAGAGACAGACAGACAGACAGACCAGGCCCTATTGGACTGTCGCCTGAGTCTACCTACACCTGAAGCCAGAATGCCCCAAGGATCTGACTCAGGAACCAATACATCCCCTTTATTACCGAACCCGCTCAGCACTGAGGCTCCTGTCAGAACCCATCCACCCCTGTGGCTCTAGGAATCAGCCATACAATCGACTTACTGCTCAGATCATTAGCTGACGAGACCCCAATGACTCATCACATCTGTTGGTTAATTGAGAGTGAGAGGACTGGAGCACACAGCAATGGAAACAGATTTGCAGCCATGTGGCCCACTCCATAGGTCTCACTGTCCAGGGGGTCCCAGCCTGAAGCACATGCAGAAGCACTCACAGAACTGCCCACGTCCCAGATGGCTGCGTCAGGGAAGGGGCACCCACTCACTCCCCCATCCTTCCCAGGAGAGCATCCCAAATCCAAAGAATTGGTTCCTGTCACATTCCCAGCAAGGTTAGGAGAGACCACAGGGCCCATCAACAAAAATAACTCATCCTGGCCGGGATGGGGTCCACCAATCATGGCCCAGAACAGAACACACCCTCGCCTCTTCACACTCCTAGAGGTTCCCTGGAGGCCACAGGTGTACTTCTGGGCTGCGAAGCTGTCAGCCCAAAGCTCTACATGTGTGACCCTGCAAGGCCAGCCACTCTGAGCTGCAAACCCTTACACGCAAAGGCCTCTTCTGGCTCAAAGGTTTTCAAAAGTTACTCCTCTAAGATCGTGAATCTCTGTACCTCTGGACTCTGTGGAGGTTTACTCTGATACCACCTGACACAGGTGAGTAAGGGGCCACTTTCCCCCTTCTTCCTTCCAGAGATGGCCTCTGCCCTGCACAGAAGGGAAGTTTGCATGTGCTGACCCCCTCCTATGCATGAGCACAAGGTCACCTCTTACTGACAAGGAAATTAAGGCCCAGAGAGGAGCTGAAACACACCCACAGTCATCCACCTAGTAAGAAGCCGAGGCCGGGCACGGTGGTTCACGCCTGTAATGCCAGCACTTTGGGAAGCCAAGCCAAGTGGATCATTTGAGGTCAGGAGTTCGAGACCAGCCTGGCCAATGTGGCAAAACCCCATCTCTACTAAAAATACAAAAAATTAGCTGGGCGTGGAGGCGTGCGCTTGTGACTCCAGCTACTCGGAAGGCTGAGGCAGGAGAATCGCTTGAATCCAGGAGGTGGAGGTTGCAGTGACCTGAGATCGCGGCACTGTGCAAACTGATGTTTGAACCCCACCCCCAGGGTGATCGGCTATGAAACCCCGGGAAAGTCACTTACCCTCTCTGAGCCTCAGTCTCCACATACGGACTGACAGCTTCAAAGAGCCACATGTTAGCGCTCAGCACCATGTCAGGCATGAAGCTAGAGCTCCAGAGACAGGAGCCACTGCTGTTTCTGGAGCTAACTGTCCTTATACCACTTAACAATGCAGGGCAGGGTGACTCTGCAAGCTTAAGTGCATTTCTGGAGGGACTCCCCTGCCCCTAACCCTCCACACTACAGGCACCTCGTCAGCTCCCCCAAAAGAACGAGGCACATTCCTCACCAGGAGGGCTCCTCCTGATATGTAGACAAAGGTCAGAAGCTGGGGCCTGGACTGGCCTCTCCACAGCTACAGGCTTCCCCAGAGCAGCGAGAGGATGGGGCACCCAAATCTCCGCAAGCACAGGCCACGGCTTGGCTGCGCCCAGGTCAAGGTGATAAAAAGGGTGCTTGGGAGCTGACTGTGCAGGAAGCAAAACCTTTCTCCAACACGATCCCAATGCCGCGGGACACACCTTCCTGCAGGGAGGCGGCAAAGGCCTCTAGTGGCAAGGCCATAATTCCTTTTCTTTTCAAGGATCCCATGACGAATGTTAGGACTTTAAAATCTTAAAGAAAATAGGCTGGGCTGGGCGTGGTGGCTCACACCTGTAATCCCAACTCTTTGGGAGGCTGAGGTGGAAGGATCACCTGAGGTCCGAGAATCACTTAAACCTGGGAGGTGGAGGTTGCAGTGAGCCAAGATCACACCACTGCACTCCAACCTGGATGACAGAGCAAGACTAACAAAAAAGAAAAAGAAAATAGGCTGGCTAGGCACAGTGGCTCAAGCCTATAATCCCAACACTTCGGGAGGCTGAGACGGGCGATCGATCAAGCTCAGGAGTTACAGCCAAACCTGGCCAACACAGTGAAACCCTGTCTCTACAACAACGGCAAAAAAGACAGAAACAAGTCTGGGAGTGGTGGCTCATGCCTGTCATCCCAGCACTTTGGGAGGCCGAGGTGGGCGGATCACGAGGTCAGGAGATCGAGACCATCCTGGCTAACACGGTGAAACCCTGTCTCTACTAAAAATACAAAAAATTAGCCGGGCATGGTGGCAGGCGCCTGTAGTCCCAGCTACTCGGGAGGCTGAGGCAGAAGAATGGCATGAACCTGGGAGGCGGAGCTTGCAGTGAGCCAAGATCGCGCCACTGCACTCCAGCCTGGGCGACAAAGCAAGACTCCATCTCAAAAAAAAAAAAAAAAAAGAAAGAAAGAAAGAAAAAAAGAAAAATAGGGCCGGGCATGGTGGCTTACGCCTGTAATCCCAGCACTTTGGGAGGCTGAGACGGGCAGATCACGAGTTCAAGACCAGCCTGACCAACACAGTGAAACCCCATCTCTACTAAAAATACAAAAATTAGCCGGGCGTGGTGGCGCGTGCTTGTAATCCCAGCTACTCAGGAGGCTGAGGCAGGAGAATCGCTTGAACCCGGGAGGCAGAGGTTGCAGTGAGATTGCACCACTGCACTCCAGCCTGGGCAATAGAGCAAGACTCCGTCTCCATCTCAAAAAAAAAATAAGAAGAAGAAGAAACTCACGAGCCCAGGACCCTGAGAGGTACGTGACCCAGCACACTGTGGGCAAGAGCTCCCAGTGGTGAGACAACTGCCCTGAAGCTCTCCCTAAGACTGACCCTGGGGCTCCAGGAGACTGTGGTGCTCACTGCTGTATCAATCCCCAGAACCCAGGAGTGCCCAGCATACAGCAGGCACTCAGTAAGTATGTGGCATGTAAGTGCATAAAGGAATGAATGGGGTGTTTTTTAAAAAGAAGATGCCACGGCCCACCCCAGATTCATTCCAGGGGAGGGGGAGGCCTGGGAACCTGCACTAGGACAAGTACCCCAGGGTGGAGACCGGATGTTTCCTCACCTCCGCAGCCCAGCCCTTGACTGTTGGATGGAAACAGGGTGTGAGGCAGAAATGAAAGTGAAACTGCCACAGGAGGGTTCTCTCTGCACCCATCTACCATGCCCCGCCCTGCCCAGGAAGCAGCAAGCTGACCACTGGAGGATCCCCCAGAAAAAGATGGGTGGCAGCTCCCAGCAGAGATGTGTCAGAGGCCCCAGGCCCTGCCTTGGGCGGGTAGGAGGGCAGGTGAGGTGGCCTCTTGGGTGGAGGGGGAATCCTATCATTTGGCCCTAGGGCGGGTGCACTGCACCCACCTTACAGTTGGGAGGGCAGAGGCTCAGGACAAGTCTCATGCTCCAACTTCACTGCCATCTCCACCATGCACTATCCTCCTGGGCCCAACAACTGCACACAAAGGATGCTCAGAAAAGAACCCCTTGAGGCAGGGCGCGGTCGCTCACACTTGTAATCCCAGCATTTTGTGAGGCCAAGTTGAGCAGATCACCTGAGGTCAGGAGTTTGAGACTAGCCTGGCCAACATGGTGAAACCCCATCTTCTCCACTAAAAATACAAAAATTTGCTGGGTGTGATGGCGGGTGCCTGTAATCCCAGCTACTGGGGAGGCTGAGGTGGAGGTTGCAGTGAACAAAGATCACACCTTGCACTCCGGCCTGGGTGACAATAGCGAAACTCCATCTCAAAAAAAAAAAGAACAGAACTCCTTGATTTTCCTGACATCGATCGACGGCAGCTGGATGCTGTGTTGAAGACAAAGGCAACCTGGCGGAGTGGAAACAGCATGGTTTCAGGAGTCACCCATCCCTGAGGGTGAATCCAAGCTGTGCTGCTCACAGCACCTGGCCTCTCCCTGAGTCTCAGGGCCCTCATCTAGCAAATGGAGACCCCTCAGCCATCCTGGAGGGTAGTTATCCCATCTGCAATAGTGCCTGACCCCCATGGTAGGTTCTCAGGATCCTCTGAGATCTGGCATGAGCCATGAATGTACAAGGGGGCAGAGAGGAAGCAACACAGCCCTGCCAAAGCACAGCAGGCCGCCTGAACAAACCCAGAGTCCCAGTTTCTGGCTTGGGCTCCAAGAGCGCCCAGAGTGACCCCAGGCTAATAAGAATGGTTGCTGAGGAGTCCATGGGTTTGCAGCGTAAACTGCTGAGGAAAACGCCACAAGTGTCTATCTGGCCAGATCGGTCCCAGGAATGTCTCTTGTGCAAAACTAGCTCCTTTCTATACACTCCGGGCAAACCAGCAGCCAGAGGCAAGAAATCTGAAAAGGCTTCTTTTGAGAAGGAATTTGGCAAAAGGTAGCAACAGCAGGTAGAACTGGGCTGGGCTGACGACCTGGTGCCCCTGCCATGTCTCCCTCCTGCATGAGGGGGCTCCAGTGAGGCCTCAGGTGAACGGTGCCAGACTGGAGATTCCCACAGTGAGCTCAGGGTACAGAGACCCAGGAGCCAGCCTGGGAACCTCTGGCTCCAGCAAACCTCCTGGAGGGGACCTGCCCCTGAGAAGTCTGAAACACACTGCTTCAGCCTTGGCTAACTCGGTGCTTCCCCACGCCTGACAGTTTTGGGGTAAGGTCTTCTGAGGCACTTCATGAAATGACAGTGAGTAGTTTCCCATAAAAATCATCAGGGTACTTCACAAGGAGCTCCCCAGCCCCCTTCCCAGGAGAATCTTCATCTCACAGGGAAGGGAGACTTCAGGATGTGTACTTCTCCCTTCTCCCCAGTGCCCCTGGAGCTTTTTTTTTTTTTTTTTGGAGACGGAGTCTTGCTCTGTCACCAGGCTGGACTGCAGTGACGCAATCTCGGCTCACCACAACCTCCGCCTCCTGAGTTCAAGCGATTCTCCCACCTCAGCCTGCCGAGTAGTAGCTGGGATTACAGGCACCCACCACCACGCCTGGCTAATTTTTGTGGGGTTTTTTTTTTTTTTTTTTGAGACAGAGTTTCACTCATGTCACCCAGGCTGGAGTACAGTGGCGCGATCTCGGCTCACTGCAACATCCACCTCCCGGGTTCAAGCGTTTCTCCTGCCTCAGCCTCCCGAGCAGCTGGGATTACAGGTGCCAGTCACCACACCCAGCTGATTTTTTGTATTTTTAGTAGAGACTGGGTTTCACCATGTTGGCCAAGCTGGTCTTGAACTCCTGACCTCAGGTGATCCGCCCGCCTCAGCCTCCCAAAGTGCTGGGATTATAGGCGTGAGCCACCACGCCCATCCCCTGGTGTCTCTTTTGTTGGGCAAGTTTGGCAAACAAGTAACTTGGAGGAAGATCGATGACTGCCAAAGAGCACACAGGTCAGGCGCGGCTTCCCTCGGCTCCCTTGGGCACCTGAGACCTAACCTGATTCTTGAGAAAGGTCAGCTGACCCACCCACTACCACCCCATCCACCCCACCACCCCACAGCCCAGAGCGGCTCATTTCCAGAACACAAAGGCTGGACTGAACCAGACCCACGGGGAGCATTTTGTCTTCCTATCCCTGGCCCCGAGGGCATAACTGCAGCCTCCCTCGGATGGGAGGAAGGTCACACTGTCAGGAAACAAGGCTCTAGAAGGACACCCCGACACCTCCTTGAACCACCCTGTCTAAGGTGGAAACCGGCCTCAGTTCTGCCCAGAGCTGCCTGCCCTCCAATCCACATGGAACCCAGGGCTTATGGCAGAGGCTTATAAGGCTTATGGTAGAGGCCAGGGTGTGTGGCCTCTACAAAGTGGACACCGTCCACCCTGTGGGTCCTTTAGCTCCTGGAGAGAGCTCTAGGCCCCTCTTGCTGAATGTCGCCTCCTTAGAGAGGCCTTCTCTGACCACAGAGTGCTAAAGTGGCTGCAGCCACTGCGCCATAGTTCTCTCCTGTTTGCAGGTTTCCTGGCTCTAGTCACACCTTGCAGCATTTCCAGTGCATCTGAGAGCTGGTTTGCCTTCACCTCCTGCAGGTGTACATGCCGGCAAGGACCAGCACCCAGCACAGGCCTGGCCAGGGCAGATGCTCAGGACTTGCCCACAAGCCCCTCCGGAACCTGGGACTTACCACCTAACTCTCTCCCCATCTCCCCCACCCCTGGGGTTTCCTTCCTGGCCCAGAGCATTCCAGAGTCACAAGTGGCTTTGGCTGAGCCATAGGGACATGAAAAAGGCTTCCAAAAACCACCAGGCAGTTATTGATCCACTAACATACTTTTTTTTTTTGAGACAGAGTCCAGCTCTGTCACCCAGGCTGGAGTGCAATGGTGCAATCTTGGCTCACTGCAATCTCCACCTCCCGAGCTCAAGCAATTCTCCTGCCTCAGCGTCCCAAGTAGCTGGGATAACAAGCACCTGCCACCATGCCCTGCTAATTTTTGTATTTTTAGTAGAGATAGGTATTCACCATGTTGCCCAGGCTGGTCTTGAACTCCTGACCTCAAGCAATCTGCCCGCCTCAGCCTCCCAAAGTGCTGGGATTACAGGTGTAAGCCATCACACCCAGCCACTAACAGATTCTTTTTTGAGCTCCTATGTGCACTGGTATAGGCACTGGGGTTTCAGCAGTAAATAAAGCTGCCAAAATCTCTACCTTCATAGAACCAACTACTTAAAAACAAGACAGACTTAAAATAAGCAGGACAATGAGCAAGTCAGAGAGGAAGAACAGGCCCAGTGGTGGGGGCCTAAGTATCAGTGAAGATTCTGACGGCGAGAGAGGTTTGGAACGAAGACATCTCCCTGAAGCTGTCTGGGAGGGCCTTTGGCCTGTGGGTCCCGATTCACCCTCTGGGGCAGCTGAGTCTGCAGGTGGCCTCTGCCACAGGTGTGCCCTGGAACATCATGAGCAATTAACAGGGTGGGGCACCCAGCACTCAAGGGCCTGGAGGGGTGGGGGGATGCGGAGCGGGGTCTGGAGTCTGGAGCTCCCTTGTGAGAGTGATTCTTGACGCTCCACGGCTCCACGGGATCTCTGACACGAATCTCAGATCCACCCCACCGAACCCTAAAAATGGCTGTGGGAGCACTCCCAGGGGCCATCCAGAGGATGGGCCTACAGAAACCAGCCCATGAGGCTCTGCTGGGGAGATGCAGGCCACAAGGGCAGCTGCTTTCTGAGCAGGCTCAGAGCAGCAAGACGAAGCCCCAGAAAGACTCAAAGGGCCCCACAGGTATGGCCTGGCCACTCTAATACACACCGTGGGCCGCAGCCGGGAGGAAAGGCCTGTTCACAAGGAGGCTTTGGCCAGTGGTGAGTGGGGAGCACTCGGCTTGGAGCGAGGCAAGTTCCCCTCCCACATTTCCACTGTGTGACCATGGGCCAGTTCTCGGGAGTCCCACACCCTCTCCAGAGCAAGGCCACACACACCCGGGCCGGCTCCCCAAGGGCCACCAGAGTGGGAGAGGCTGGGCTGGGCCCAATTCATGCAGGATGGGGAAGGTGTTTAAGACAGTGACTTTGCGAGGGAAAGAAGGAGGTGCACAGCTCTTGAATGCTTTGCTTCCTAAAATGAATGCTACTTTTTAAAAGGGAAGTGCCATAGTATTCTCTCAAATGTAGCTTTCCAGCTGAATTCAAAATGAGTGGGAACTGAAACCCTATTTACATCCAGCTGTTCAGGAACTGTGCTCATGGGGCACTTGACTTTAAGTATTTACTGAATGTCCCAAACCTGCTAAACCATGTGGGAGAAATAACCGGTAAAGGCAGGATGGCCCAGTGGTTAGAAACATTGATGCCCATCCTGCCATGCAGGTGCACCCAGCTCTTCCAGGTGCCTGCAGTCAGCCCCCAGCAACCTAAACTCCTCAATCTCACTATCTCACTAGGTGAAATATGAATCCAGAGGACCATCTCACCCACAGATTTGTCCCGGCCCTGAGCGCAGGAGGGTGCGCAGCACAGGCTCTCCCATTCACTGTCATTGGGACTGACATATTGAAATTTCTTTGTGAGCAGTTTCAGAACATGTATGAAAAAGCTGGGCGTAGTGGCTCACACCTGTAATCCCAGCACTTTGGGAGGCCGAGGTGGGCAGATCAATTGAGGCCAGGAGTTCGAAACCAACCTGGCCAAGATGGCGAAACCCAGTCTCTACTAAAAATAGAAAAATTAGCCAGGTGTGGTGGTGCATGACTGTAGTTCCAGCTACTCGGGAGGCTAAGACAGGAGAATCACTTGAACCCAGGAGGCGGAGGTTGCGGTGAGCCAAGATCGTGCCACTGCACTCCAGTCTAGGCGACAGAGGGAGACTCTGTCTCACACATACACACAAAAAGTATGAAAAAGTAAAATGCCTGTGCCCTCTGACCCAGCCCTCCTCATCTAGCAATGTACACCCAGGCAAGGGGACGGGGTATTGTCATGCTGCCCATACCAGCAGAAACCAACACCAGCGGAAGAAACATGTTCCATCCTTTTAAGAACTGGACCACACAGCTGTTTAAAAAAAAAGAGGTAATGATACAAAACTTTCTCCAAATGAAGCAGCGATGTGGAGTTTCTCCAAGACACACAGTCCCATGCAATGTGCAAGAGCACAACAGTAATACATATGGAGAGACCTACACGTGCACGCGCCCCTGAGTGTGCATAAACACCTATAGAGACAGACTGCCCCAGGGAACTGGAACTCAGCAATGAGAAGCGAACAGGGCTGACGTTTCATTGTATACTTTGAGTCCTCTGAATTTTTTTTAATATGTGCATGTCTTAAATATTCAAAAAGATACAGAAAACAATAAATGTTAGCTAGTAATAGTAACAAGATTACCAGTGGAGACTTGGCATTTTCAGGAAATCCAGAACAAACTCTTCTCAATCTCCAAACTTAAAAAAATACAAGTAGCATCTTAACATAAATTTCTCAGCTTCCCCATCCATAAAGTAGGTGGGGACAGCACCTCCACCTCCTGGGGGGCTGTAATATTCAGATGGGCCATGTGCTGAAGGAGAACAGAACCCCGCTGTGATGCTGAAAGGCCACCAGGCAAGCCTGGGCCCCCTCCTTAGCTATGCCCACTGAACAGTTTCAAATCCTCAAACCCACATCCCTGCAAGATGATCAGTTCAGCCATCGTGGCCTTCAGGGTGACTTGCAAACTGCCAAAACCAAGAACACTAAATCTACAAAGGCCAAAGGTCCCTGAATAGAGAGGCATCCATGGGCAGAGACCCACTCACTCACTCCACAGGGACGACGACAGCAGCGGCCGCCGCCACTGACAGAATTCCAGGCACTATCCTGGACCCTTTAGCAAATTCCCTCATTTGATGCTCGCAACCCTAAGCTAAATTATTACCCTCACAGATGAGGAAAGTGAGGCACAGAGGGGTAGGGAATGTGTCGAGGGTCATGGGGCACATAGGCAGTCAGTCGTGGAGTCAGGCCTGAAACTGAGGCAGTCCCTTCAATAGATCCATGTGCACACGGACGCTTCCTCCTATGTGAAGTTCTGTTTGCTCCCCAGGAGGCTGGTAGAAAGTGTTCATTTGCAAGGCTGGGTTATGAATACTCCCTGTGCACTGCTGCAAAGAAAACCTAAGTCAGCACCTCTTCCCACCTCTGCACCCCCGAAATGGTGGCAAATCCAGACATTAAAACAAATAAAAAAATACCCACCCACAGACCAGCATCACTTAATCCTGGAAAAGATCCTCCTTCCTCCCTGCAGAGAATCTCCCGAAAGAATTCCAGACCAGAATGCTAAGCCATCCCTGTAGAAAAGGACCTTGGAGATGGCCCTATTTTAAAGGAACAAATGTAGGGCCCAAGGGGAAGGGACAGGCCCGGTGGCATGCTACACTCTCACTGGCACGCCTCCCAAGCCAGTTTACTGTTGACACCAAACTCCCAGACCCATGAGAGCAGATGCAGGCCTGGGCTACCTACCAAGGGTGGTCATAAACGTGAACATTAATGAACTCCTCAGTCCCTTCTAAGGTATTGGGACAAAAGGGTCCCTGGTGGGATACCAAGGTCTGAGACTGCTCCAGAAACACGTTTCTTGCAAGCCAAGTCAGCCCAGCTGGCCTCCAAGTCTCTGGAGGATGAGAAACTCACAGACATTCTTGTGCTTCTGTAGCCTCCTGGAAGCCCCAGCCTAACCTGGGCAAATAAACAAGGGAAGCCACATTCTCAGCGCAAAGGCCTCAGGAGTGGACTCAAGAAAGCCCTCTAGCTGGCTGTGCAGGTCCTATAGACTCCCGGAGCCTCTGTTTCCTCATCCCTCCATCCCAACGAGGGATGTCCTCATCCCTCATCCCTCATCCCTCCATCCCTCATCCCTCCATCCCTCATCCCTCCATCCCTGGGCTGCTGGAAGGATTAAATGAGATGAGGTCCCTGGAAGCACTTCATTAAAAATCAGCAATTATTACAGTAAAGACAGATAAGGTTCACCCAAATTTTATATGGAAAGCTTCACCAAGTCATGTGCCTCTTCCGCCCCCACCTCCTGCAACGTAGGTTCAGCCACAGAAAGAATGGGACAGAGAGGAGGAGAGGAGGAGGCACAGAAAACATGAGCTGAGGAAACTGGGGCCAGCCAGTATTCCCCAGTGAGGCACTGTACAGAACTACAAAATTTAAAATTAAATTAATATCACCCAGTATTTCCAACTAACAGCTTTAATTTCTTCACTCCCCCTCTGAAGCCCCTTCTGAGCATCTAGAAAAAGCCACAAAGGCCAGGAATGCCTGTAATCCCAGCACTCTGGGAGGGCAAGGCAGGCGGATCACCTGAGGTCAGGAGTTCGAGACCAGCCTGGACAACATGGTAAAACTCCATCTCCACTAAAAATACAAAAATTAGCCAGGCGTGGTGGTGCGCACCTGTAATCCCAGCTACTCAGGAGGCTGAGGCAGGAGAATAGCTTGAACCTGGGAGGCGGAGGTTGCAGTGAGCCGAGATTGCGCCACTGCACTCCAGGCTGGGCGACAAAGCGAGACTCCACCTCAAAAAAAAAAAAAAAAAGCCACAAAGAGGGGGTGGTGTGGGAGACCTACAAGGTTGCTCCCAGGCTAGGGAAGGCAGGTGGGAGGGGTACAAGAGAACACAACCAGAGCCGTGTCCCCAGAGAAAGGGGAAGAAACAGGATGGCAACAGGAACAAACAGTACCACTGACAAACAAGTGGATTCAAAGGCCCATCTGCTGGCTAGCAGAGCCCCATCCTATCAGAGTGCACATCTGAAAAGGCTGGCGCCTGTCCCTACCTACGGCAGGTGGGGCACTTCATGGCCCATGAAGTGGCTCTAACCACCCACTGTTGCCATCAACGTGCACTACCCCCCAAACCCTCCCCCCAAGACAAGGATTACACTTGCAGAGGGGCTCAGCTTTGCAAGGAATGTGTCCTGGGGGCTAAATAGCAGCCACCAGACCCCTGGAAAGATAATGAGGGAGACTGCCTTATTGTCGGAGATGCCCAATCAGAAAGGCAATCTCAAGGTAGCCAGGTTGGACCCATTCTAGAAGTTAAAGGAAAAGACCAAGAGTCCGGAACCTGCCCCCTCTCTTGATGGGTTTCCCCATCTGTAAGACAAAGGGGCTAGATGAGATGATGGCCAACATCTCTTCCTGCTCTGAGATCAGATTTTTACAAGGCCGGACATTCAGCTAAACAACCCACCCCGGGCCGGACCATTCGGGTCATTCTTTGCCCAAACATTAAGAGCAGGGCCATTTTTTTTTTTTTTTTTTTTGAGATGGAGTCTCGCTCTGTCACCCAAGCTAGAGTGCAGTGGCACCATCTCGACTTACTGCAACCTCTGCCTCCCGGGTTCAAGTGATTCTCCTGCCTCAGCCTCCTGAGTAGCTGGGACTACAGGCGCCTGCCATCATGCCCGGCTAATTTTTGTATTTTTAGTAGAGATGGGGTTTCACCATGTTAGCCAGGATGGTCTCGATCTCCTGACCTCGTGACCCACCCACCTTGGACTCCCAAAGTGCTGGGATTACAGACAGAAGACACGGCACCCGGCCCAAAGCAGGGCCATTTTCAAATACCTTTAGACTTTTTCATTAGGGAATTCATAGACAATTCATCACCCGTCGTCAGTACAGAAGCCCTGCGCCCCCAGATTCTGAATGTGGAAAACATGATAATGTCCTTTGCACTGTCTCTCAGCCACTAAAGTCTCATTGGCCCTCACACCAAACAAAACAACCTCACGGGGCTCCCTGGTCACTGGCTCAACAGTTGCAGCATTTTGCAGCCAGTATAGAAATGTGGCCACCAGGGGGCACTGCCCTGAAAGTAATAAATAAGAAACGGAAAAACTCTTTGGTGTTTTCTTTTCCTTCTTAGGCTTAAGTGATAAAATATCTAAAGCTTCCCTAGTGAAAACACAAAGTGGGCTTCCTCGGGTTCTAGAATGGCCCTGATGACTTCTGCCTTCTTTGAAGCCAATATTTTGGCCAAAGGAAGGCAACTAGACTTTGAAGACAACAACTCTTTCAGAGAAAGTAATGCTCTACTCCCCAGAACGTTGATAGCATAGCTTGCTCTGAACCTCCCACCCCTTTAAAGGAAGAATGTCTACAAGGTCAAGCCAATCTGCAGGTCCAGCACGAGGACCTAGTTGTGAGTCTCGGCGAAGAATATTTTGCGAGAGCCTCCTAATTACCAAGCAAAACAAGCCAACCCAATGACAAGCCTCAAGCTTGAGTTGCAGACACAAGATGACATAAATACAGACAGCAGTACAAAGGGTGCGAGGTATTCGCTGGGATTTCCCAAGTCTTACATGACTGCAGGGGGAGCTCCGGTGCCTCACATCAGAACTGGACTTCGAGAACATGCCAAAGCAGCTGCTCCAAATTTCTTTAGTGTCTTAGAATGCCCTTCCCACAAGTGAGTGTATCCGCGGTACAACGTTCAAGTACCCTTTTGTAATGTTCCAAGGGTCCTAAGACTCATTTTCAAAGCTCTGGCTTCGAGCTCCTCCTGATTTCTTCATGAATTGCTGGGGCCACTCTGCATGCCCTATTGATCATGAAGAGCCTGTCTTCTAGGGAAACCGGCCTGGGAGAAGGCAGCCAACCCCATCCCCAGACCAAGGGATAAAGAACCAGGCACTATCCTGTACAAGCTGTGCCCCTCTGGCTGCAGGAAGAGCGCCTGCGGGGCTTGCACGGGGCAAAGGAGCAGCAGGCCCTTGGGAAAGGCATGAGGCACACAGAGGTGCTGCCAGGCTCACCTGCGCATGCCAGCTCAGACCAGCCACGGGCCCCCAGGAGCACCAGGGGTTACGGAAACCCAACTGTTCAATTCTCCAAGATGTGTGGGGCCCCCACAGGGACAAAAATGCAAGTAGAGCCCATTTTCAAAAATCAGTCTAACAAGCTGCATCACAAAAGGTTTCCACCTGGAGTTTGCAAAAGGCTTTCAGAGCTAGATTCTCTTAGGCTTGCATTGAGAAAAGGGCTTAACTGCTTCTCAGAGGCAAAGCTACAGTTGTGGAGCAAGGGAAGGCCTACCTGACCCAAGACTCAGTAGTTCTGTAATTTATTAAGAACGTGATCTGTTAAACACCGGAGACTCCGCCAAGGAGCACCAGCATGGTGGGAGCAGGGGCACACAGCCCAGATGGCAGAAGGCCACTCCACACCACGGGCATTTACCCAGCACTTTCTACGCACCAGCCACTCCCTAGCTGCGGGACCCCAAGCTAGGTACCCCGCTCCTCTGCCGATCGGTCCCCGTTCTCAGACAGGTGGCCCAGAATCACCACCCTGGCCAATTTGCAGGGCTGCTGCGAGGCTCTAATGAGACAGCAAATCACCACATACATGCCAAGAATTGCTACTCGCTTCAACTGGGCTTAACCTCATGATATGCAATGACAGCCTCAAGAGCCGAGCACACGCGGGGCACATAGTAGGTGGTCCACAAACGTGGGTGCCCTTTCTTCATGAAAGGGAAGGGGACGAAGGAAGAAAAACACTCCGGTCCAAAAGTACCCTCAAGCCCTTACCCCACAGCGTGGATGCCCCGATTTCCCAGGTCCCTCCGCAACCCTCAGTAGAACTCCCACCGCGCCCTGGGCTGCTGGGGGCCTCCCCAGCCGGGTCACAGTGCACCTGAACGCCCCGGTCCGTGCCACCTCGCCCGCACCGGCCACCGCTTCCCTGGAACGCGGCCGGCGGCCGCCACCGCCACCTGGCTGCTCGGACTCAGTCTCCCCGCGCGCCGCTTCTTCCCGTTTGGCTCCGATCTCCCAAAACAACTAATGAGGCTGCACCGGGCTCGGGCCGGGGGTCACCGGGCTCGGGCCGGGGGTCCCCGGGCGCCGGCGCCGCGTCCCTCCTTACCTGCACAGCTCGGCGAAGGCCTGGAAATTCAGCTTCTTGATTTTCTTCTCGCTCAGCCAGTAGCCAACTCTCTTCCCTTTCAGAAAGGTCTGCATCTTCCTCCTCGGGCGGGGAGCCTGGGTCCGGAGGAAATCGCCCACAGGCCGAGTCTGGCGGCCGGCGCGCGCCGCGAGCGAGTGGGCACCTCCTCCCGGCGGCGGGGACGCGGAACGGGGATCGGAGCTGGGGCGCGCAGTCCTGCCGCGCGGAGCGGAGCGGGGCGGGGCGCGGCGGGCGGCCGGGAGGAGGGAGCGGCGCTCAGCGCGGAAGGCCACTGGCTGGGCCAAGCTGCCACCGCCCACGCCCCCGCCGCCTGCGGGCTCGCCCGCCCGCCCACCGGCTCGCGAGCGCCGCGCCGCCCGGCCTGCCGGCTGAGGCTGGGGCACGGCTGAGCCTGAGTCTGAGTCGGAGCTGGGGCCAGGGCCCGCAGGAGGGGAAGCCGGGCCTCCGCAGACACCGCCCCCGCCCTGCCCGCCCTCCCGCCGCGCGGGCCCGAGCCACACGCCCTCAGGCGGCGGCAGAAGCGCGGCCTCCGAGCCCTTCCTCCCTCCTCCTCCCGCCCGGGTCCTCGCCCTCTGATGTTCCCAGCCGGGCCGTAACCCCTGGGCGCGCTTGGACCCCGGCGGGGCGCACGCGGCCACTCGGCCCGGCCAGAGATCCTCACCCGCCGCCGCCGCCGCCACTTCCTCCTCGGCCTGGTCCTCGCGCGCTGCCCGCCGAGAAGGGCGGCGGCGAGCGCCCGCGCACTCGCCGCCCCTGCCCGCCGCCGCCCCGCGCTGGCCCGGCCGCCCCGCTTGAGCCCGCGGCGGCGAGGAAGCGGCGGGGCGGCCGCCAGGGGGCAGCGCCGCCCGCCGCCTCTTAAAGGCGCCGCGCCGGCCCTCGCGGCTACCCGGCGCCTGTTTGTGTCCCCGGGTGTGGGGTGCGGGGCGCGGGGCTTCCTGGGGGCGGCCGTGGCCCGGCGGTCTTACTTCGGGAAGGGAGCCGCGGTGTGGGCGTGTGTTCCGCCTGGCCTTTGGGGGCGACCGAGCCGCTGAGTTTCGGAAACGTCTCTGTACCCCCAGCAGGGTTCAGCACCCCCAAGGCAATCCATTGCAACTGCGCCCGGAAGGAGACCTTCCAGGAATTCGCCCCTTCCCTCGAGGAAGCGGACCCTGGCCCAGGATGGGGCCCCCCGGGGGGGTGGGTGAACACCCAGGGGCCCTCCTAGGCGTAGGACGTGACCACCAGTTCTCACTCTAGGTCCCCTTCACTGAGGGGGGAAGGGGCGGGGACTGGAGGCGACAGCGACAACAGCGGCCGTCCCCGGAGACCCCTTCCTCAGGGGTGCGGGTCAGCGTCGGCGCCGGGGAGTCACTAAACCCCGCCTACCCTGCCCTGCCCTATGGGGCAGCCAGGGAGCTTTCCTGCCTCAATGGTCTCTGGGTTTGGGAAGGAGAAATGGACTTCTCTCCCCAGGCCCAGGCAGGAAAAATGGATTCCCGTGGAGGGAAGGCTCAGAAAAGTTTGAGAGGAGACACTGAAGCTGGCCTTGGAAATCAAGGAGATTTTGATGGAGCAGGGAAGGGGGATGAGCTTGAATTGAGGCTGGGAGACAAGAAAAAGCCAAGTTGCCAGCGGGTGACCAAGACTTCCCTTGATCACACTTGAGTCAGGCTCCTCCGAGACCTCTTTCTGACCAGGCCCCGACCTTGGGCTCTGTCCTTGGCCTTCTTAGTCCAGTTTTAGCCAGAATCCTGCTGTCAAGAATATCTCCACGCTTGGTATGTGATCACCCTGGCCGGCCTACATTAAGAAACTCCGTCTCAAAAAAAAAAGAAAGACAAGGATCTCTCTATGCTGCCCAGGCTGGAGTGCAATGGTGCAGTCATAGCTCACTGCAGCCTCGAACACCCCTGCTAAACTGATCCTCCCACCTCAGCCTCCCGAGCAGCTGGGACTACACTGTGTTGCCCAGGCAGGTCTCGAACTCCTGGCCTCAAGCTGTCCTCCCACCTGGGCCTCCCAAAGTGCTGGGATTGTAGACCTGAGCCACCCCGCCTGGCTTCCCTGCCATCTTTAACGAGAATCTGATTAGTTTTTTTCTTTAACAAGGTAGAGAAAACGGATGGATGGAGAGTGGAAAAGACGATGGGTGGGAAACAGGACTCCTCCAGGGGGCCAGCTAGGGACGGGCACTGCATGCCTTAGGCAAGGGTACTGCGAGTTTCATAGGCCATGGGAGCCTAGAAGGTAAGTGGTGACAGGTTCCAGGGTCAGCTCTGTGGCTTAGAATGCCTGGCTCCTGGGGGGGACATGGAAAGCTGGATAAAGGGAAGATCATAGCAAGGACCCCTAGGGCCGAGGCACAAGATGGATAAAAGAAGGCTAAGGGAGGCTGCGCATGGTGGCTCATGCCTGTAATCCCAGCACTTTGGGAGGCCGAGGTGGGCACATCATGAGGTCAGGAGATTGAGATCATCCTGGCTAACACGGTGAAACCCTGTCTCTACTAAAAATACAAAAAATTAGCCGGGCGTGGTGGCGGGCGCCTGTAGTCCCAGCTACTTGGGAGGCTAAGGCAGGAGAATGGCGTGAACCTGGGAGGCAGAGCTGGCAGTGAGCTGAGATCGTGCCACTGCACTCTAGCCTGGGCAACAGAGTGAGACTCCGTCTCAAAAAAAAAAAAAAAAAAAGAAGGCGGCTAAGGGAGTAAAAACGAAGGGGATGGGGGCAGCAACTATAAACTTGATACTTGAAGTCAGCAGTAGGGATTACAGGCATCGACTTTAAATGTCCTGCTGTTCTTAGGAACTGAAAGACCAGTTGAGGCTGGGTGGTTCAGGAGGGTTCCTGGAATTCCCTCACTCCTTTGGCAAACACACGAGAGCCCAGTGTGTGGCAGAGGAAAATGGACACAAGCCATTGATTAGAAACACGGGATGAGGCTGGGCGCTGGGAGGCCGAAGCAGGCGGATCACCTGAGATCAGGAGTTCGAGGCCAGCCTGACCAACATGGAGAAACCCCATCTCTACTAAAAATACAAAATTAGGTGGGCATGGTGGCGCATGCCTGTAATCCCAGCTACTTGGGAGGCTGAGGCAGGAGAATCGCTTGAACCAGAGAGGCGGAGGTTGCGGTCAGCCGAGGTCGCGCCATTGCACTCCAGCCTGGGCGGCAAGGGCAAAACTCCATCTCAAAAACAAAAAAAAGAAAGAAAAAAGGAAACGTGGGGTGAGAGCTGAGAGGGAAATGGGAAGGAAGATGGCAATCTGTCCCATTTTGCTGCATGACTGGGGAGACTGTGGCATAGGATCTTGAAGGATGAGTAGGAAGGAGTTCAGTGGGGGAAGGAGGCAACATTCCAGGCAAAGGCGAAAACAGGTGCGAAGTTTCAGAGGGTGAAAAGGGAAGAACACCGTAAATAAGGGCACGGTAAGATGGAGATGGGCAGGAAGATGAGGCCTGAGAAATGGACCAGGGGAACTTGGGAGGGATGCTGAAGACAGTGTGTGTGTGGTCACTTCTGAACAGGAGCTGGATGAAGTTCTTTTTTTTTCTTAATATTATTTTATTTTATCTTATTTTATTATTTTATTTTATTTTATTTTTTGAAATGGAGTCTTGTTGTGTCATCCAGGCTGGAGTCCAGTGCACCTCCCGGGTTCAAGCGATTCTCCTGCCTTGACCTCCCGGTAGCTGGGACTATTGGCACGTGTCACCACGCCCAGCTAATTTTTGTATTTTTTTTTTTTTTTGAGACGGAGTCTTGCTTTGTTGCCCAGACTGGAGTGCAGTGGCGCAATCTCGGCTCACTGCAAGCTCCACCTCCCGGGTTCATGCCATTCTCCTGCCTCAGCCTCCTGAGTAGCTGGGACTACAGGCGCCCGCCACCACGCCCGGCTAATTTTTTGTATTTTTAGTAGAGATGGGGTTTCACCGTGTTAACCAGGCTGGTCTCAAACTCCTGACCTCAAGTGATCTGCCTGCCTCGACCTCCCAAAGTGCTGGGATTACAGGCATGAGCCACCATGCCTGGCCTGGATGAAGTTCTTTTGGTATCTTCATCTGTAAAGTGGGGATAGATGCCCCACCCAGAGCTGTTGAGAAGATTTAAAGGGCCAGCAGAGAACTTGCCTGGAGGACAAAGTATATACAAGGGCATGGCCATCCTCAGGCTCACAGGAAGCCCCTTATTTAGGGCTCACCCCAGGGCCCTGCATCCTTCCCCTGATTACAGCCTCCCCCAAACCATTCTTCCTTCTGGCCTTCTGAGTTGGAGCTAGGTAAGGCTCGTCCTCACTGGGACTTCCAAGGTGAACACAAATGTCCTCTGTCTCTAGCTCTCAACTCGACCACTCACTTGCTATGTGACCTTGTAGGCCACTTAGCCTATCGAGGCCTCAGATCCTCTATCTTACTTCATAAGGTAAACCTTGCTCCATGACAGGAGTTGAAAATACAGCCAGGTGGGGTGGTGCACACCTGTAGTACCAACTACTTGGGAGGCTGAGATGGGACGATCGCTTGAGCCCAGGAGTTCGAGGCTGTAGTGCACGATTATCATACCTATGAATAGCCTCCACACTCCAGCCTGGGCAACATAGCGAGACCTCATGTCTAATAAATAAAAATTTAAAAGGCTGGGAATGGCGGCACACCTGTAGTCCCAGCTACTCAGGAGGCTGCAGCAGGAGGATTTCTTGAGCCCAGGAGTTTCAGGCCATCCTGGGCAATACTATGAGACCACATCTCAAATAAATAAATAAATAAACCTGCAACCCTCGTTTGCCTTCTTTGGGGTTAAAAAAATACAAAAAAGAGGGGGCTATGAGGTCTAAAATGTGTGGTATTATGGGGGCAGTGGCGGAATGGGGAAAGGGTAAGAGTAGTGATGTCTCCCTTTGGAACAGGGAGAACAGTCTTTAGCTTCACAAAGACCTGGCTTGGGGGTCCTGCTTCAGCTCTTCTCAGCTTGGGCAAGTCACTTAAGTGCTATCTCCGAGCTCCAAGTGGGAAAAGTAATGATTAAAGGACTGTGATGGCCGGGCGCAGTGGCTGACACCTATAATCCCAGCACTTTGGGAGGCCAAGGCAGGCGGATCACCTGAGATCAGGAGTTCGAGACCAGCCTGGCCAACATGGTGAAACCCCGTCTCTACTAAAACTACAAAAATTAGCCGGGCGTGGTGGCAGGCACCTGTACTCCCAGCTACTAGGGAGGCTGAGGCAGGAGACTTGCTTGAACCCAGGAGGCGGAGGTTGCAGTGAGTCGAGGTCATGCCATTACACTCCAGCCTGGCGGACAAGAGTGAGACTTCATCTGAAAAAAAAAAAAAAAAAAAAAAAGTTAAAGGATTGAGATGAGGACTAGAACAGAGTATGAGACTTGGTTCTTAGCAGGCCATCAGAAAAGGTGCCTGTTGATGTCTCATCCAAGGATTTTTCACTTGAGTCCCAGGTAAAGCCTGCTACCCAGCCCCACCCCAGGGCTACAGGAACCCCTGCAACTGCCAGAAATTATGTGTATAATGGTCATAGCTTTCAACAAACTCTCAAAGGGTCTGTGAACCACCCCAAAAGTTGAGTCACTGATTACTTCAACTTCCTCTTTTTCCAATAAAGAGACGGGCCCAGAGAGAGAAGGGGATTTATTCAAAGTCACAGAACAAGTAGGTGAGAAAGTAAGAACCAGGATCCTAGAGCCAAAGGTGTACACACACACACACACACAGAGCTCACCGTTCTTCTGGGGATCAGGAGGAGGAAGGAAGGGGCGGGTTCTAGGACTGGGACCCCTGCCTTGGGTGGAACAGGATCATCCCGCTGCTCAGGTGGAAGCAGGGTCCTCCTCACTCTTCTCTGAAATCCTGGGCCGATCATTCTACATGTTTATCTTTGTTTTAAGGTCTTGGTCATCCCACAGGGAGCTCAAGGACTAGGACCACCGTTCAGAGACATCCTGCCTTGACTAAGGGAGTGGGCCTTTTTGCCTACCCCACCCCTGCCCAATCAAAGAGTGTTTGAATATGGGTTGATTCCAGGAATGGACATGACCTTGAGCCAAGTATTTATCTGATTCACTACTTGTCAGTTTCTTTCATTTCCAGGAAACCCATCAACTCTTCCCCACTTGACTGTTCTGAGCCAGAACTATCTAAATCGGATCTGATCAGGCTATAGTTACCCTCTCCCTCTACGCTCCCAGCTTCAACGGCTTCCCACTGTACTTGGAATAAAGCCAAAACTCCTTGACAAGCACAAGGCCTCCTAGCTTCATCTCCCTCTCTATTCCCATCCCTCTCTGCCTGTCATGCTGGCCTCTTTTAGTCCCTGTGCTCCCTAGGGCCTTTAGACATGCGATTCCTTTTTCTGGAATGTTCTTCCCTCTCTTTGCTTGTTAGCCCATTCACCAGTTCTCAGCTCAGGGGTCCCTTCCCTGCTGTTTCAGCCATCTAGCTCTCTGTAACTCCAGGGGTGGTGATAATTACATTTGGCTTTTCACACTGCTTGAGTGCTTGATTAATATTTGTCCCTACCACTAGACTGTAAGCCCCTTGAGGGCAGGGGCTGGGTTATTTTCTGCTCAGCCCTGTATCCCATAGCATACAAGTAGGCTCACACCTGTAATCCCAGCACTTTGAGAGGCTGAGGTGGGAGGATCACTTGAGCTCAGGAACTCAAGACCAGCACTGGCAATACAGGAAGACCCATTTCTATTAAAATTTATTTATTTATTTATTTAAGATGAAGTCTCATTCTGTCACCCAGGCTGGAGTGCAGTGGTGCAAACTTGGCTCACTGCAACCTCTGCCTCCCGGGTTCAAGCAATTCTCCTGCCTCAGCCTTCCAAGTTTCATGGGACTATAGGTGTGCGCTACCACACCTGGGTAATTTTTGTATTTTTAGTAGAGATGAGTTTTCGCCATGTTGGCTAGGCTGGTCTGGAACTCCTGGCCTCAAGTGATCCACCTACCTCTGCCTCCCAAAGTTCTGGGGGATTACAGGCATGAGCCACTGCACCTGGCCAAAAAAAAAAATTTTTTTTTTTTTTTGAGATGGAGTCTTGGTCTTGTCACCCAGGCTGGAGTGCAATGGCATGATCTCGGCTCACTGCGACCTCCGCCTCTCGGGTTCAAGTGATTCTCCTGCCTCAGCCTCCCAAGTAGCTGGGATTACAGGCACCCGCCACCACACCCGGCTAATTTTTTGTATTTTTAGTAGAGACAGGGTTTCACCGTGTTGGCCAGGCTGGTCTCAAACTCCTGACCTCAGGTGATCTGCCCGCCTTGGCCTCCCAAAGTGCTGGGATTACAGGCATGAGCCACTGCGCCCCGCCAATTTTTTTTTTAATTAGCCAGGTGTGGTAGCACATGCCTGTAGCCCCTGCAACTCAGTAGGCTGAGGTGAGAGGATCACTTGAGCCCAGGAGGTTGAGGCTGCGGTGAGCCGTGATCGCAATACTGCACTCCAAGCCTGGGTTACAGAGCAAGGCCCTGTCTTAAAAAAAAATAAAAATAAAAATAAAAATAAACTAGATGATGCTAAGAATCTGGGTTCTCTCTGGATTCTAAATGAAGTCAAGCTGCCTCTAAGAGCCCTCTGCATGCAAGGGTGCTCAGGAAATATCAACTGAATGCAGGCTAGGTAAGTTCCTCTAGGTGGTCTCAGACCTCTCAGGGGAGAGGGACAATGATTGACACAGAAGTTAAATTTGCTAGTGCAAGACACAGTGGCTGGGTGTGGTGGTTCATACCTGTAATCCCAGCACTTTGGGAGGCCAACGTGGGCAGATCAATTGAGGTCAGGAGTTCGAGACCAGCCGGGCCAACATGGTGAAACCTGTCTCTACTAATAATACAAAAACTTGGCTGGGCACGGTGGCTCACTTGTAATCCCAGAACTTTGGAAGGCAGAGGAGGGCAGATCACCTGAGGTCAGGAGGCCTCGGCCTCCCAAAGTGCTGGGATTATAGGCATGAGCCACTGCAGCTGGCCATGACCGTGTATTATCTGTGATTTATTAACTGTGTGACTGTGGCAAGCTAGTAAATGTGTCCAAACCTTAGTCTTATCATTTATTAAATAGCAGTGATCATCAGACCTAGTTCATAAGACTGTTAAAAAGTTTAAATGAAAAACAAATTTTAATAAAATGTTTAAAAAGAAAAGGCTGGGTGCAGTGGTTCACACCTGTAATCCCAACAATTTGAGAGTCTGAGGCGGAAGGATAGCTTGAGGCCAGGAGTTCAAGACCAGGCTAGGCAACAGAGTGAAGCCCTGTCAAGGACGAAAGAGAGGGAGGGCTACCTCAGCCTCCTGAGTAACTGGAATTACAGGCGTGCGCCACCATGCCCAGCTAATTTTGTGTGTTTAGTAGAGACAGGGTTTCACCATGTGGGCCAGGCTGGTCTTGAACTCCTGACCTCAAGAGATCCACCCACTTCAGCCTCTTAAAGTGCTAGGATTATAGGCGTGAGCCACCATGCCCGGCTAATTTTGTGTGTTTAGTAGAGACAGGGTTTCACCATGTGGGACAGGCTGGTCTTGAACTCCTGACCTCAAGAGATCCACCCACTTCAGCCTCTTAAAGTGCTGGGATTACAGGCGTGAGCCACCATGCCCAGCTGACAAGGCCTTATTTTGTTGCCCAGTTTGGTCTCAAACTTGCGGCTTCAAGTGATCCTCCTGTCTCAGACGCCCAAAGTGCTGGGATTACAGATAAAAGCCACCATGGCTGGCCCTGCGTCTTTTTTAATATACATTTTTATTTTATTTTTATTATTTATTTATTTATTTGTTTATTTATTTTGGAGACGGAGTCTCGCTCTGTCACCCATGCTGGTGTGCTGTGGCACAATCTCAGCTCACTGCAAATTCCACCTCCCAGGCTCAAGCGATTCTCCTGCCTCAGACTCTGGAGTAGCTGAGATTACAGGTGCATGCCACCATGCCCAGCTAATTTTCATATTTTAGTAGAGATGGGGTTGTCCAGGCTGGTCTCGAACTCCTGACCTCAGGTGATCCATCTTCCTCAACCTCCCAAAGTGCTGGGATTACAGGCATGAGCCACCGTGCCCAGACTATTTTATTTTATTTATTTTTTATTTTTTTGAAACTGAGTTGCACTCTGCTGCCCAGGCTGGAGTGCAGTGGCGCGATCTTGGCTCACTGCAACCTCCACCTCCCAGATTCAAGTGATTCGCCTTCCTCAGCTCCCCCAAGTAGCTGGGATTACAGGTGCTCACCACCACGCCTGGCTAATTGTTGTATTTTTAGTAGAGACAGGGTTTCTCAATGTTGATCAGGCTGATCTCGAATCCCTGACCTCAGGTGATCTGCCGCCTCAGCCTCCCAAAGTGCTGAGATTACAGGCGTGAGCCACTGTGCCTGGCCACATTTTAATTTTTTTAAATTAATTTTACTTTAATACAGATAGGTCTCATTATGTTGCCCAGGTTGGTCTTGAACCTCTGGGCTCAAGTGATTCTCCCGCCTCAGCCTCCGAAAGTGCTCGGATTATAGGTATGAACCACCACACCCAGCCTACATTTTTATTTTTATTTATTTAGTATTATTATTATTATTATTATTACAGATGGGGTCTGCTATTTTGCCCAGGCTGGTCTAAAACTCCTGGGCTTAAGCAATTCACCTCAGTGTCCCAAGTAGCTGAGACCACAAGTATACACCATCATGCCTGGCCAGGTGGTGTAATGTGGTGTGTATGGTAACTGGTAACTGTGTAGTATAATGCAGCGTGTATATGTGGTGTGTTTTTAACTTGCTATATTAGTTCATTTTCACACTGCTAATAAAGACATAACCAAAACTGGGAATAAAAAGAGGTTTAATTGGACTTACAGTTCCACATGGCTGGGGAGGCCTCAGAATCATGGCAGGAGGGCAAAGTCACTTCTTACATGGTGGCAGCAAGAGAAAAATGAGGAAGAAGCAAAAGTGGAAACCCCTGATAAACCCATCAAATGTTGTGAGACTTATTCACTATCACGAGAATATCACAGGAAAGAATTTCCCCCATGATTCGATTATCTCCCCCTGGGTCCCTCCCACAACACGTGGGAATTCTGGGAGATACAATTCAAGTTGAGATTGGGGTGGGGACACCACCAAACCATATCACTTGGGTTTTTAACCCAAGTGTAGGGGGCTGGGCTCGGTGGCTCATACCCAGCACTTTGGGAGGCTGAGGCAGGCAGATCATCTGAGGGCGGGAGCTTGAGACCAGCCTGACCAACATGGAGAAACCCCATCTCTACTAAAAATTAGCCAGGCATGGTTGTGCACGTCTGTAATCTCAGTTACTCGGGAGGCGGAGGCAGGAGAATTGCTTGAATCCCCGAGGCGGAGGTTGCGGTGAGCCAAGATCGCACCATTGCATTCCAGCCTGGGCAACAAGAGCAAAACTCCGTCTCAAAAACAAAAAAACAAAACAAAAAAAACCCCAAGTATAATGCAATGTGTATGGTAGGCTGCTGCTAAGTAAAGAAAGTAAGGGACCACGTGCACATAGATGCGTTTGTGTGAATGGAGAACGTCTCAATCTGAAAAGATGCACGAGAAACCATTCATCTTTTAAAAATAACATTTTTTTTTTTGGAGATAGAGTTTTGCTCTTGTTGCCCAGGCTGGAGTGCAATGGTGTGATCTCGACTCACCACAACCTCGGCCTCCTGGATTCAAGTGATTCTCCTGCCTCAGCCTCCCAAGTAGCTGGGACTATAGGAATGTGCCACCACAAGTGGCTAATTTTTGTATTTTTAGTAGAGATGAGGCTTCACCATATCAGCTAGGCTGGTCTCAAACACCTGACCTCAAGTGATCCACCTGCCTCAGCCTCCCAAATTGCTAGGATAACAGGTGTGAGCCACTGCACCTGGCCTAGAAATTAGATCTAAAGTCTTGATTAGAGTCAAGTTAAAAGCTTTGGACTGAAATACATTATAGATGGTGTTATGTATGTCAGAAAATACAGAAGGTCTGGTTGTTCTAAGATTTTTACATATGTCCGCACCCATGGAACCAAAGCCCAAATCAATATAGAGAACATTCCTAGCTCCCCAGCTACCTCTGGTGCCCTCTTCTTGATAATATCAAGGCAATGCAATGCCTATAGTAATGCAAGAATTGCCTAATACAAGAAGTTTCCTCTGAATGTGTCCTTTGATTTGTCAACTCCCTTGCGTGGGGGCACACAAAACAAACTTCTTGTATTAGGCAGTTCTTGCATTGCTATAAAGAAATACCAGAAGACCAGGCGCGGCGGCTCATGCCTGTAATTCCAGCACTTTGGGAGGCTGACGCAGGTGGATCACGAGGTCAGGAGTTCAAGACCAGACTGGCCAACATGGTGAAACCCCCCCCCTCAGCTAAAAATACAAAAATTAGCCAGGTGCGGTGGCGGGTGCCTGTAGTCCCAGCTACTTGGGAGGCTGAGGCAGGAGAATCGTTTGAACCCAGGAGGCGGAGGTTGCGGTAAGCAGAGATTGCGCCACTGAACTCCAACCTGGGCGACAGAACAAGAATATGTCAAAAAAAAAAAAAAAAAAGAAAAGAAAAGAAAGAAAAGAGAAATACCAGGGACTGTTTTTGTTTGTTTGTTTTAGATGGAGTTTTGTTCTTGTTGCCCAGGCTGGAGTGCAGTGGCATGATTTCAGCTCACCGCAACCTCCGCCTCCCAGGTTCAAGCGATTCTCCTGCCTCAGCCTCCTGAGTAGCTGGGATTATAGTCATGTGCCACCACACTTGGCTAATTTTGTATTTTTTAGTAGAGACAGGGTTTCTCCATGTTGATCAGGCTGGTCTCGAACTCCCAATCTCAGATGATCCACCCACCTTGGCCTCCCAAAGTGCTGAGATTACAGGTGTGAGTCACTGCGCCCAGCTGGCCCTGGGTAATTTATAAAGAAAAGAGGGCCAGGCGCAGTGGCTCAGGCTTGTAATCGCAGCACTTTGGGGGGCCAAGGCGGGCAAATCACCTGAGGTCAGGAGTTAGAGACCAGCCTGGCCAACTTGGTGAAACCCCATCTCTACTAAAAATACAAAACTTAGCTGGGCTTGGTGGCAGGAGCCTGTAATCTCAGCTACTCGGGAGGCTGAGGCAGGAGAGTTGCTTGAACCCGGGAGTTGGAGGTTGTGGTGAGCCGAGTTGGCACCACTGCACTCCAGCCTGGGTGACAGAGCTAGACTCTGTCTCAAAAAAAAAAAAAAAGAGGTTTAATTGGCTCAGTGTTCTGCAAGCTCCACAGTAAGCATAGTGCTGGAATCACTGGCCTTCTGGGGAGGCCTCAGAGAGCTCATACTCATGGCAAAAGGCAAAGCAGGAACTTGGGCATCACATGGCAAAAGCAGGAGCAAGAGAGGCAGAGAGTAGAGTGGAGGTGCCATGCACTTCTTCTTTTTTTTTTTTTTTTTTTTGAGACAGAGTCTTACCCTATCACACATACTGGAGTGCAGTGGTGCAATCTCGGCTCACTGCAACCTCCACCTCCCAGGTTCAAGCAATTCTCCTGCCTCAGCCTCCTGAGTAGCTGAGACTACAGGCATGTGCCACCATGCCCAGCTAATTTTTGTATTTTTAGTAAAGACGGGGTTTCACCGTGTTGGCCAGGCTGGTCTCGAACCTCAAGTGATCCGCCTGCCTCGGCCTCCCAGAGTGCTGGGATTACAGGCATGAGCTACCGCACTCTGCCGCCGTGTACTTTTAAAGGACCAGATCTCTCATGAAATCAGTGAGAACTCACTTATCTGGTCCTTTAAAAGTGGATAGCCCCAGCCATTCATGAGGGATCCGTCCCCATGATCCAGACACCTTCCACCGGCCCCCACCTCCAACACTGGGGATTACATTTCAACATGAGATTTGGGCGGAGACAAATATCCAAACTACCTCACTTCTATTCTGACTTTTATCACACAGATGAGTTTTGCCTGTTTCTGTAATTCATACACACAGAATCTTACAATAGGAACTCTTTCAGTCAGCATTATCTATGAGATACATTCACATTGTTGTGTGTATCACATTTGGCCCCCATTATTGACTGATTTCTTTGAATGAATCTGCCACGGTTTTATTGTTCGTTCCCTTGCTGATAGACCTCCTAATGGTTTTAACGCCAACTGATACTCTTAACTAAATCCATGATTTCCAGCCAGGTGCGGTGGCTCACGCCTGTAATCCCAGCACTTTGGGAGGCTGAGGCGGGCGGATCACGAGGTCAAGAGATCGAGGCCAGCCTGGCCAACATGCCGAAACCCCCGTCTCTACTAAAAATACAAAAATTAGCTGGGCGTGGTGGCACACGCCTGTAGTCCAGAGGTTGCAGTGAGCCGAGATCGCGCCACTGCAGTCCAGCCTGGAGACAAAGAGAGACTCCATCTCAAAAAAATAATAAATAAATAAATCAATAAATCCATGATTTCCTTGGAGGTGACAAAACTGATCAGACACTAAAGTCAGCTGTTATTCCTGAAAAAGTGAGATAGGAGAGATTTAAACTGACTTTGCAGGTCTGGTGGGAGGGAAGTGATTCTATTCAAGAGGTGCTCATTTAGTGTATACACAGCTACCCTGAATCTGGTTTCTAAAGAACTCTTAAATACCTGGCTTCATGGCTTTCTATAGCCACCCTGCAGAGAGGGGCATGCTCTCCCCATCTGCTGGAATGAGGGTCCTGACGGGTGAAGTGCCCCCTGGAAGTCACAGAGCAATGGCAGGGTGGGGCTTTCCCCCTCATATTGGGCTTTCCCCACCATCCTTCTTACTGTGAGGTCAAGGACAGGAGTCTTCTCAAGACCTCCAGAGGAAAGAAGGAAGGAAATACTCAGAGAGCAAGGCAGTACCCTGGAGTTTTGAAATCTTGCTGGCCGTAGCAACATGCCCTTTGTACAGACTGATAAATGGAGGCAGACAGAGAAAGCCAGCAGCAGCCAGCCCTGCCTGCTGCCTGGGCAAGGCCAAGCCCCAAGATCACAGCCTCCCTGGGCAATGCTGGCTCTCTGCTCACACCATTGTTTCATGCCCAAAACCAAAGTGGTGAAAAAGCAGTGGCCAGGCTCAAGTGTGGGGTTTGTCTCCATGACACTCCCCTTCTATGACAGCTGTTCTCCTACCAAAGCCTGGGAAATGTTCCTCTCAAAGCCATTAGCTCCTTCTATGCCAAACATTTAGTGACATTCCTTTAGTCCTCTGTGGCACTTAGAAAACATAACTATTGAGTAACTATATTAAGAAATGCCATCTACAGCCCATCCTTGGCCAGCCTCACAAGCCCCAGTGACGTCCACCCTCCAGGGTCATGGGGAAGGAGGCCCCTGGTGGGCCTCTAGGGTCCTAAATTGCTTTTCCTGGCACAGTCCCACCCTCTGGGCTCTGCTAGACAGACTACTGCAACGGCACCTCATTTTACAAGAACCCTAGATTAAAACACACACACACACACACACACACACCCCAAAAGTTCACAGCACACGTGTCTCAGCAGTCAATGCTTCACCAGCCCCCTCCTGGGTCTAAAACAGGATTCCATCTACAGTCCTGTGTCTCAAACACTGCTTTCAAACTCCTGTCAATCGTAGAAAGGGAAGCATCACACCCACCACCAAGAATTGCACTTCTCCAACTTCAGTGAACACGCGAATCACCTGGGAATTTTATTTATTTATTTATTTATTTTTGAGATAGGGTCTTGCTCTGTCACCCAGGCTGGAGTGCAGTGGCATGATCATGGCTCACTGCAGCCCCAACCTCCCGGCTTCAAGTGATCCTCCTGCCTCAGCCTCCCAAGCAGCTGGGACCATACCCAGCTATTATTTTTTTTTATTTTTTTGTACAGACAGGGTCCACTATGTTGCCCAGGCTGGCCTTGAACTTGTGGGCTCAAGCAATCCTCCTGCCTCTGCCTCCCAAAGTGCTGAGATTACAGGTGTGAGCCATGATGCCCGGCCAGGGAAACTTGTTAACATGCATATTCTGATTCAGTGGGTCTGGGGCGGGGCCTGAGACTCTGCATGTCTAGCAGGTGATGCTGATGCCTTGGGTTCACTGGTCACTCTGAGCAGAAGATACTAAAAATGAGAACAAAACACAAGTTCCAGGGTTCCCTGGCTGCATTTTAGAATCACTGAGGAGCTTTAAAAACAGATACCCCTGTCTGGATCCCACCTCAGACCAACTGAATCAAAATTATTGGGGGAGGGCTGGGCACAGGGGCTCACGCCTGTAATCCCAAGACTTTGGGAGGCTGAGGTGCAAATCGCCTGAGGTCAGGAGTTTGAGACCAGCCTGACCAATATGGTGAAACCCTGTCTCTACTAAAAATACAAAAATTAGCCGGGCATGGTAGTGTAGTCCCAGCTACGCAGGAGGCTGAAACAGGAGAACTGCTTGAGCCCTAGGGGCAGAGGTTGCAGTGAGCTGAGATTGCACCACTGCATTCCAGCCTGGGTGACAGAGCGAGACTTGGTCTCAAAAAAAGAAAAAAAAAGGAATTATTAGGGGAGAAGGGGCTTGGAGGGAAAGTTGGACCCCCAAAATAAACAAGAGCTGCACCTCACATGTGCCAGTGATAATGATATGCAGTGAAATGAAGCAAACTCTCTGCATCCAAGATTAGCATCAGGAAATGCAAAAGACAAGTCTGCCCCGAGGCGCTTAGGTGCCCATGGAGATTGAGAACTATTACACTACACCAAAATATGGGAGAAATAAAGCATAAAATTGTCATCATCATTTATAATCAGGTTCTCAATATTCTCTCTCTCTCTCTCTGTGTATATATATATATATGTTTTTTCTTTTTTTTGAGACAGAGTCTTGCCCTGTGGCCTGGATTCAAACAATTCTCCTGCCTCAGCTACCCAAGCAGCTGGGATTACAGGCACCTGCCAACACACCTGACTAATTTTTGTATTTTTAGTAGAGATGGGGTTTCACCATGTTGGTCGGGCTGGTCTCAAACTCCTGACCTCAAGTGATCTGCCTGCCTCAGCCTCCCAAAGTGCTGGGATTACAGGTGTGAGCCTTGGCACCCAGACTTCTATATCTATATCTATATCTATATCTATATCTATATCTATATCTATATCTATATCTATCTATATCTATATCTATATATATATTTTTTTTTTCTGGGAGAGTCTTTTTCTGTTGCCCAGGCTGAAGTGCAGTGGTGCAATCACTGCAGCCTCAACCTCCCAGACTTACATGAGCCTCCCACCTCCCACCTCAGCTTCTGGAGTAGCTGAGACCACAGGTGTGCACCACCATGCCTGCCAATTTTTTTTTTTTTTTTTTGAGATGGAGTCTTGCTCTGTCACCCATGCTGGACAGCAATAACACAATCTCGGCTCACTGCAACCTCCGCCTCCCGGGTTCAAGCAATTCTGCTGCCTCAGCCTCCAGAGTACCTGGGATTACAGGCACTTGCCACCATGCCCAGCTAATTTTTTGTTTGTATTTTTAGTAGAGATGTGGTTTCACCATGCTGATCAGGCTAGTCTTGAACTCCTGACCTCAGGTGACTCACCCACCTCAGGCTCCCAAATTGCTGGGATTACAGGCATGAGCCACCGTGCCCAGCTGTTTTTTTTTATTTTTTGTAGAGATGGGGTCTTACCATGTTGCCCAGGCTGATCTCAAACTCCTGGGCTCAAGCAATCCTTCCATCTCGGCCTTCCACAGCACTGAGATTACAGGTGTGAGCCACCACTCCCAGTCTGCTTTTTGTTTTGTTTTGTTTTGAGACAGTGTCTCTCTATTGTCCAGGCTAGAGTGCAGTGGCACAATCGTAGCTCCCTGCAGCTTTCAACTCCTGGGCTCAAGCCATCCTCCCGACTCAGCCTCCTAAGTAGCTGGGACTACAGGTGTGTACCACCACACGGCTAATTTTTTAATATTTTTGTAGAGACAGGATCTCACTATGTTGCCCAGGTTGGTTAGGGCAACTCCTTGAACTCCTGGCCTCTAGTGATCCTCCTGCCTCAGCTTCCCTAGTAGTTGAGATTACAGGTAGCTATTATTTATTTAGTTATTTATTTTGAGACAGAGTCTCTGCTGCCTAGCCTGGAATGCAGTGGTGTGATCTCGACTCACTACCACCTCTGCCTCCCCGGTTCAAGCAATTCTCCTGCCTCAGCCTCCTGAGTAGCTGGGATTACAGGCATGCACCATCTCGCCAGGCTAATGTTTGTATTTTTGTAGAGGTGGAGTTTCACCATGTTGGCCAGGCTGGTCTTGAACTCCTGACCTCAGGTGCTCCGCCTGCCTCGGCCTCCCAAAGTGCTGAGATTACAGGCGTGAGCCACCGTGCCCGGCCAGGTAGCTATTTTTTTTTTTTTAACTGTAAAGAATATTGAACTTTGGGAGCCTGAGGTAGGAGGATCACTTGAGGCCAAGTTCAAGACCAGTCCGAGCAACATAGCAAGACCTGTCTCAAAATAATAATAATAATAATAGCTACCGTGCATGCATTTATAAGCCTTCGACATTGTGCAGGCAGCATCACATACAGTCCTCATAACAGCCCCATCTGTCGGCCAGTTATTTCCTACCACTTCCCAGCTGAGAAAACTGAAGGGCTGAGAGGGTAAGGCACTCTTCCAAGGTCACAGTCAGTGAATGTTGAGGTCAGAGCTGAAAGCAGGGCCAGCTGAAACCACAGCCCATGGGTTCAACAACCTACAGCCAGACCAAACCCTACTCATCACCCTTTTGTTTTTTTGGTGTGTCTTTGTTTGTTTTTTGATATGGGGGCTTGGGTGGGGAAGAGGAGAGAGAAGCAACCACCCATTTTTATACTGCCCTTGAGCTAAGAATGGTTTTAATATCTTTAAGTAGTTAGGGGAAAAAAAATCAAAAGGGCCTGGCGTGGTGGCTCACACCTATAATCCCAGCACTTCGGGAGTTCGAGGCGGGTGGATCACTTGAGCTCAGGGGCCTGTCCAACATGGCAAAACCTCATCTCTACTGAAAATACAAAAATTAGGCCAGGCGCAGTGGCTCACACCTGTAATCCCAGCACTTCGGGAGGCCGAGGCGTGTAGATCATGAGGTTAGGAGTTCAGGACAAGCCTGGCCAAGATGGTGAAACCCTGTCTCTACTAAAACTACAAAAATTAGCCAGGCGCGATGGCAGGCACCTGTAATCCCAGCTACTCAGGAGGCTGAGGCAGGAGAATCGCTTGAACCCGGGGGATGGAGGTTGCAGCGAGCCGAGATCGCGCCACTGCACTCCAGCCTGGGCCACAGAGTGAGACTCTGTCTCAAAAAAATAAAATAAAATAAAATACAAAAATTAGCTGCGTGTGGTGGCGTGCGCCTGTAATCCCAGCTACTCGGGAAGCTAAGGCAGGAGAATCACTTGAACCTGGGAGGCAGAGGTTGCAGTGAGCCAAGATCGTGCCACTGCATTCCAGCCCAGGCGACAGAGCAAGACAATGTCCCGAAAGAAGATAATAGTTCATGACAAGTGAAAGGAAATTCAGATTTCAACATCCATGAATCAAGTTGTGTTGGAACACAGCCACACCCATTCCTTTAAATCTTGCCCGTGGCTCCTTTCCTGCAGCAAAGGCAGAGCTGAATAGTTGCGACAGAGACCATACGGCCTGTAAAGCCTAAAATACTTACATCTGGCCCTTGCCAGAAAAGGTTTTGCTGAACCCTGCTCGAAATGGTTTCACTGTTTATAAATTCTCCACTTTTCTTTTTTTTACACTCAAATGAGTATTCTTCTTACCCCAACGCTCTGCTAAATTTGAACATGTATGTAGTTGCTTTTATAGGGTCGGTTAACATAAACCAATTGGTTGCTTCGCTAAGACTTTTTTTTTTTTTTTTTTTTTGAGAAGGAGTCTGGCTCTGTCCCCCAGGCTGGAGTGCAGTGGCGCAATCTCAGCTCACTGCAAGCTCCGCCTTCCGGGTTCACGCCATTCTCCTGCCTCAGCCTCCTGAGTAGCTCGGACTACAGGCACCCGCCACCACGTCCGGCTAATTTTTTTGTATTTTTAGTAGAGACGGGGTTTCACCAGGTTGGCCAGGATTGTCTCGAACTCCTGACCTCGTGATCCGCCCACCTCGGCCTCCCAAGGTGCTGGGATTACAGGCTTGAGCCACCGCACCCGGCCGACTTTTTTTTTTTTTTTAACTGTAGTTTTGTTTTGTTTTGTTTGATACAAAGTCTCACTCTGTTGTCCAGGCTGCAGTGCAGTGGCACAATCTCAGCTCACTGCAACCTCCGCCTCCTGGGTTCAAGTGATTCTCCTGCCTCAGTCTCCTGAGTAGCTGGGGTTACAATTACAGGCGTGCACCACCACGCCTGGTTAAGCTTGTCTAAGATTTCTTATACTGGTAGATGGATTCAAATCTATAGATGCAAACCTATGAGCATTCGGGTGTGTGAAGCCATAAAGACATTTACAACAGAAGGAGGTCTTAGAGGCTTAGTTTTCTCACACATGTAGGGACTGCTAGTTTTCCTTCCTGGAGTCCGGGCCAGGCCTGAAAAAGGCAAACTAAGAAAATCAAAATGACAAACTGAAGACAGTGAGGTAGCACCTCCCCGAAGTTATTCCATGTGTTTGTAGCATAGATTAAGCATTTATTTAGCAAACATCTGTTAAGGCCAGTTACACACTCTGCAGAGTCAGAGAGGAAAGAGGCAGCGAGGCATGTGGGTTCACACCTGAAGTCTCAGCTACTTGAGATGGCAGTAATGCCATCATAGCTCACTTCAGCCTCATCTGACTAATTTTGTATTTTTTTAGAGACAGGGTCTTGCTTTGCTGCTCAGACTAGTCTGGAACTCCTGACCTCAAGAGATCCCTCTGCCTCAGTCTCCCAAAGTGCTGGGATTAGAGGTATGATCCACCATGCCCAGCCAACAATGAATAATTTTTATAGTATGTCCCAAATGGGCTGTGGGATATACTTTTTTAAATTATTATTATTATTTTTTTAAGCAATGTCACTCAGGCTGGAGTGCAGTGGTGTGGTCATAACTGCCACCCCAGCCATCCAGGCTCAAGTGATTCTCCCACCTCAGCCTCCTGAGTGGCTGAGACCACAGGCAGGCGCCACCATGCTCGGCTAACTTTTTAAATTTTTTGTAGAGACAAGGTCTCGCCATGTTGCCCAGGTTGGTCTCAAACTCTTGGGCTCAAACGTTCCTCCCACCTCAGCCTCCCAAAGTACTGGGATTACAGGTGTGCACCACCACGCCTAGCCTATTTTTTAAAAATAGTCACTTTTTATGGGGGATTACAGTTTAACTGGGCCTTCTGTATTTTATCTGGCAACACTACCCATGAAGAGCACTGTCCAACTTTGAAGCCACCTCAATGTGAATGTGACTTTTATCTGCACCTGTAGTCTGTTTCTCCTCTTCTCCTGGGAGCGGGACTACTCATGTTGATTGGGTGCCAAGGGTACCAACCCGATGCCATATTAGGAAAGCCGGGCATGACCTCCAGGAGCTGGTTTGTTTGTTTTGTTGGGTAAAGATTTTGCCTGCTTACATTAGTGGGTAAAGGTTTGTTTTCTTTTGAGAGAGCCAGAAATATCCAGGCAGGCCTGGCCCCAGCAGGGTTGGTGGAATAGATCACAGCAGCTTCCTCCATGTCGTGCCTAGGAAAGCCCGCAAAGGATTTTTAAGGTCTAGTGGGAAGAGGAGGGAAAGGCATCTTGGTCTTTTGTGTGTGTGTATGTGGAGGGGGCATAGGTTATATGCAAATAGCATCTTCATGTTGGAAAGCCTGGCTTGAAGCTTCTGGACAACTTTCCTGACATGCCTCTACTCACCCCAGCACTCTCTCCACCATGGCCCCCCATTCTGTATCCATACCCCTGGCTTACAGAAAGTTCTTCCTCCCTTTGTGCCTAGCCTTCGATTCCCTCAGGGTGGCATCAGATCTTTTTATCTTCTAACCTAAGACGGAGGCCGCCCTGAGGAGTGTTAACATTGCCCTCCATCCCTGTCTCTGGCTGTTGTTCAGGAGTGCCGGGTCATGTCAGGACACGTGGAAAACCGGCGAACTTTCCTCCCTTGGAAGGTCCTTCTCACCCACCCACCCGCTGGTCCTCTCTCTTCAGGCCGGAACAGTCCCCTGTCCCTCCAGTGGAAGCCCCTCCCCCATGTGGATGTTGTCCTCAGGGCCTTCTCCAGGACATCCTGGGCATGCCTGGCCCCCTGGCTGGCTCAGAGCAGAGCTGAATTCCCTCCTGAGGAGGTATACAGCAGTCCATGCAGCCTTGGGTCCAGTTTGTCTTTTTGGCTGGTTCTTCCTTTTTTTTTTTTTTTTTTGAGACAGAGTCTTGCTCTGTCACCCAGGCTAGAGTGCAGTGGCACAATCTCAGCTCACTGCAACCTCCACCTCCTGGGTTAAAGAGATCCTCCCACCTCAGCCTCCTGAGAAGTTGGGATTACAGGCATGCACCACCATGCCCCGTTAATTTTTGTATTTTTAGTAGAGATGGGGCTTCACCATGTTGGCCAGGCTGGTCTCAAACTCCTGACCTCAGGTGATCCACCCGCCTTGGCCTCCCAAAGTGCTGGAATTACAGGCGTGAGCCACTGTGCCCAGCCTTGGCCGGTTCTTCCTTATTCACTTGGTCGATGAGGAAGCTAGGAAGCTGAGGTTAAGGGGCCGCCCGAAGTCACACAGCCAGCCAGTGGCCGACTTAATACCTTGAACCCAGGTCTTCTGGCTCCTAGACTAGACTTCTCTCGACTGTAACACACTGATCTGCCTAAAGTGCGTCCAGAGGGGTATATAGCCCGGTGGTTCTGCGCATGGACAGCGAGGGCCTGGTATTCAAAACCCAGGCCTTGCGCTCAGTGGGTGTGACATTGATAAAGTTGCCCAGCCTCTCTATTGAGCCTCAGTTTCCTTATTTGTCAAGTGAGGATAATGACAGTGCCTAACCGAAGGGAGTTCCTGGAGGATCAAATGAGAGGACGCTTATGCAGTACTGGTGCAGTGCCTGGCTGGCAGGAACCATTGTCAGAGTAAAATCGAACCAATGTGAGCCCAGGCACGGTGGCTCACACCTGTACTCTCAGCACTTTGGGAGTCTGAGGCGGGCAGATCACTTGAGGTCAGGAGTTTGAGGCCAACCTCGCCAACATGGTAAACACCCTGTCTCTGCTAAAAATACAAAAATTAGCCAGGCATGGTGGTGCACACCTGTAATCCCAGCTACCTGAGAGGCTGAGGAAGGAGAATTGCTTGAACCTGGGAGGTGGAGGTTGCAGTGAGCCGAGATCATGGTGGGACAACAGAGTGAGACTCCATCTCAAAAAAACAAAATAAAACAAAAACACAATGTGAGCAAAGAAAGAGATTCAAAAATCTCTATGTTGTCCAAAATTGGGAGTTGGATTTAAAAGTGACTGAAGGTAGGTCACTTTGAGTAATCTCAGCTACTCAGGAGGCTGAGGCAGGAGAATCACTTGAACCCAGGAGGCAGAGGTTGCAGTGAGCCGAGATCGCACCATTGCACTCCAGCCTGGGCGACAGAGCAAGACTCCATCTCAAAAAAGAAAAAGAACTGATTCCGAACACTCTTTAACGTAGAGTTCTAAGGATGGAAACTAGGGAGGGCTTGGATACCACTCATTTATCCACTCCCCCTTGGCGAGCCCAGTCATTGCCAGGCACTGTTGTTGGCATTGGGGGTACACCAGCGGAAGAAACAAAACCTTGGCCAGGCACAGTGGCTCACGCCTGTAATCCTGAGACTTTGGGAGGCCGAGGCAGGAGGGTCACTGGGGCCCGGGAGTTCAAGACCAACCTGGGAACATAGTAAGACCCTGTTTCTAAAATATATATATACATATGTGCTTCTACGTCGCCCCGCCCCTGAGCCGGCCGCCCAGCCCCTGGTGTGGTGCCTGGCGAGGGGAATGTCCCAGGTGGAGCTGGCGGAGTCACAAGCTCTACTCCACCCGACGAGGCTGTGTGTGCTGGGCCTGGCTCGCAGCCAACCGAGACGGCCGAGCAGCTGGACGAGGCCGTGAAGTACTACACCCTAGAGGAGATTCAGAAGCACAACGACAGCAAGAGCACCTGACTGATTCTGCACCACAAGTGTACTATTTGACCAAATTTCTGGAAGAGCATTCTGGTGGGGAAGAAGTCTTAAGGGAACAAGCTGGAGGTGACGCTACTGAGAATTTTGAGGATGTCGGGCATCTTTGAGATGCCATGGAATTGTCCAAAACATATATCATTCAGGAGCCCCATCCAGACGACAGACCAAAGTTAAACAAGCTTCGGAAACTCTTATCACTGCTGTTGATTCTAGCTCCAGTTGGTGGACCAACTGAGTGATCCCTGCCATGTCAGCAGTGGCCGTCGCCTATCAAGGCACACATGGCAGAAGGCTGAACCTCCTCAGAAGCCAGTGCAGGAAAATCCTGCTTTAGACACAGGCAAAAAGAAGCCAATGCTAATTACTCCAACTGACAGAAAACTTCTCTTGAAAAAAATAATTTTAACATATCTCTTTTTCTTTCTGCCTACATTAGAAATAAAACAAAAAGAACTGTCTTTTCTGCTCTCGGATTTTTCGAGTGTGCCTTTTATTCATCTACTTTATTTTGATGTTTCTTTACTACGTAATTTACTGATTGTAAGCATGATCTTTTACAAATATATCCGGCTTTTAAAATACAAAAATATAGGCTGGGCGCCGTGGCTCATGCCTATAATCCCAGCACTTTGGGAGGCTGAAGGGGTTGGATCACAAGGTCAGGAGTTCGAAACCAACCTGGCCAATATGGTGAAACCCCGTGTCCACTAAAAACACAAAAAGAAATTAGCCTAGCGTGGTGACACATGCCTGTAATCCCAGCTACTTGGGAGGCTGAGGCAGAAGAATCGCTTGAACCCGGGAGTCAGAGGTTGCAGTGAGCCGAGATGGCACCACTGCACTCCAGCCTGGGTGACAAGCAAGACTCCGTCTCACCAAAAAAAAAAAAAAAAGTATATGTATATATATATATATACACACACACACACACACACACACAAATATATAAACACACATACACACATACACACACACATCATTTTTAAACAGAAAGAAACAAAGCCTTGCCCTCCTGCAGCCCACACTCTAGTCGTGGAAACAAGCCATACACAAACAAAAAATGCAGACTGCAATCTCACGTGGTCAGTGATGGGTGAGGAGAAACAGAATAAAACGAGGGCCTAGATATGGTTCTCGCCCAGGGTGGCAGCGCCGCCTAGTGTACATTTTTTAAATTTCTATAGGTTTTTTTCTAGTTGTCCCATTGACTGGGGGCACAGCAGGCACTCAGCTGGCTGGAGTCAGACAAGCCAGACATGCTGCGATGCACAAGATAGTTGGAGAGGTGAGGAGATGAAAACTGATCTCCTCACGTGACTTTAGAATGTCTCAGCAGACATCCATGCATGTGAAAATTCTGTTTGTAAGTATTTGAGCCTAGAACCTCACTTGGTTTTTGTTTTTTTGGTTTTTTGGTTTTTTTTGAGACAGTCTCGCTGTCTCCCAGACTGGAGTGCAGTGGCGCGATCTCGGCTCACTGCAAGCTCCGCCTCCCTGGTTCACGCCATTCTCCTGCCTCAGCCTCCCGGGTAGCTGGGACTACAGGCGCCCGCCACCACGCCTGGCTACTTTTTTGTATTTTTAGTAGAGACGGGGTTTCACCATGCTAGCCAGGATGGTCTCGATTTCCTGACCTCATGATCCACCCACCCTGGCCTCCCAAAGTGCTGGGATTACAGGCGTGAGCCACCGCGCCCTGCCCCTCACTTGGTTTTATAATCAAGCACGAAGTATTTTGTACACAGATTTATCACTCAGTGAATTTCCAGGAATTCAAGAACTTTGTATATGGAGGGAAGGCTGTACTTCGTTTTGTTTGGGACTCCACCGAGAGTTTTTTATTGTTTTAGGAAATCACGTCTCTGCCGATTTCAAGTCAACATCTCACAATCTCTATCAGTCTACGCATATTTGCAGATAGCCACCAGGGCATTCATTTACTGAAGTTATGTATTCAATTATTAAAAGTTAATTTCCGCCAGGCGCAGTGGCTCATGTCTGTAATCCCAGCACTTCGGGAGGCCAAGGCGGGCAGATTGCCTGAGGTCAGGAGTTTGAGAACAGCCTGGCCAACATGGCGAAACCCTGTCTCTACTAAAAATACAAAACTTAGCCGGGTGTAGTGGCGCATGCCTGTAATTCCAGCTATTCAGGAGGCTGAGGCAGAATTGCTTGAACCTGGGAGGCAGAGGTTGCAGTGAGCTGAAATCATGCCACTGCACTCCAGCCTGGACAACAGAGTGAGATTCCATCTCAAAAAAAAAAAAAAAAAGTTAATTTCCTGACTGGGCTCAGTGGCTCATGCCTGTAATCCCAGCACTTTGGGAGGCCGAGGCAGGTGGATCACCTGAGGTCAGGCGTTGGAGACCAGCCTGACCAATATGGTGAAACCCCATCTCTACTAAAAATACAAAAATTAGCTGGGCGTGGTGGCATGTGTCTGTAGTCCCAGCTATTCGGGAGGCTGAGACAGGAGAATTGCTTGAACCGGGGAGGTGGAAGTTGCAGTGAGCTGAGATCATGCCACTGCACTCCAGCCTGCGCAACAGAGCAAGACTCTGTCTCAAATAAATAAATAAATAAAATTTTAAAACTTAATTTCCTTTTCTTTCTTCCATAAATTACACTACATCCTATTGATTTTTTAAAGTGTATGCTTAGGTAGATTTTATTGCCTGTGAATTTATTTCATGCTTTTAAAGGGGAGGGCACATTACTATGTGTTATAAAAAGGGCGTATTTGATCTCACCGGTGGTGGGCTGAGAACCAGGGGAGTGGAAAGGGGTCGAGCAGGTCAGAGGTCAGGGCAGATGTGCCAATGAGCAGAGGCAAATGGAGGAAGGCATGAGCCATGAGCATGTCTGGGAAAGGCTTCTGGAAAAAGGGAACAGTGAGTGTCAGCTCATCTCCTGCAGGGAAAGAGGGAAGCACCATAAGGCCTTGTCAACTGTGGCCAGACCAGGAACTCTCTTCCCATCTCCTTGGTCAGTGCTGAGGATTCAGTGTTGAACTAGCAGGACAGGTGTGTCCCAGGGTCAGGACCAAGCAGGGAGAAACATCATCTGATTTCCTTTTTTTGAAACAGAGTCTCGCTCTGTCGCCCTGGCTGGAGTGCCGTGGCGCAATCACAGCTCACTGCAGCCTCGATCTCCTGGGTTCAAGCAATTCTCCCACCTCAGCCTCCTGAGTAGCTGGAATCACAGGCAGTTGTCACCATGCCTGGCTAATTTTATTTTTTTGGCAAAGATGAAGTCTCGCTGTGCTGCCCAGGTAGATCTCAAACTCCCGGGCTCAACCGATCCTCCCACCTTGGCCTCCCAAAGTGCTGGAATTACAGGTGTGAGCCACCATACCCGGCCCTTGATTTCCTTTTTTGTTTATTTTTTTATTTTTTGAGACAGAGTTTTGCTCTTGCCCAGGCTGGAGTACAATGGCGCCATCTGGGCTCACCGCAACCTCCACCTCCTGGGTTCATGCAATTCTTCTGCCTCAGCCTCTGGAGGAGCTGGGATGATGCCTGGATACCTTTTTGTATTTTTAGTAGAGACCGGGTTTCACCATGTTGGCCAGGCTGGTCTCAAACTCCTGACCTTGGGTGATCCACCCACCTTGGCCTCCCAAAGTGCTGGGATTACAGGTGTGAGCCACTACACCCGGCCCATTTCTTTTTTTTTTTTTTCTTTTTTGTGACAGAGTCTTGCTGTGTTGCTCAGGCTGGAGTGCAGTGGCACAATCTCAGCTCACCACAACCTCTGCCTCCCGGGTTCAAGCGATTCTCCTGCCTCAGCCTCCTGAGTAGCTGGGACTACAGGTGTGCACCACCATACCCAGCTAATTTTTATATTTTTAGTAGACACGGAGTTTCACTATGTTGGCCAGGCTGGTCTTGAACTCCTGACCTGGTGATCCACCTGCCTCGGCCTCCCAAAGTCCTGGGATTACAGGTGTGAGCCACTGAGCCTGGACCAATTTCCTTTTTTTCTTTTTAAAAAACAAAACAAAACAAAAAAACCTCACCACAGCTGCCTGATGGAGAATGCCTGGGAGATTACTGCAGGAGTCCAGCCATATTGTGACTTAGATCAGGGCAGAAGAGACGGTTGGATTTGTGATATATTTTCAAGGTCAGACCCACAGAATTTGCTGACAGAAGTGTGATTAAAAAAAAAAAATGCATGGTGGCACATACCTATAGTCCCAGCTACTTGAAAGACTGAGGCAGGAGGATGGCCTGAGCCCAGGACCTTGAGACTAGCTTGGACAACACAGTAAGACCCCCATCTCTTTAAAAAATAATTAAATTTAATAAGACTCCATCTCTTTAAAAAATAATTAAATTTAGTAAGACCCCCATCTCTTTAAAAAATAATTAAATTTGGTAAGACCCTCATCTCTTTAAAAAAAAATTAAATTTTAAAGTTAAAAAAAATTTTTAAAAAAATACTGCAGTCAAGCACCTACCCCTCCAGGAAAAGATGGTAGAGGGAGACAGCTGGCTAACCCACAGGGGATATTCAGGTTTCCAGTTAGAAGGTTATATTGAGAAAGGTTTCACATTTTGAAAACACAACAGATCTCTAAAAACACAAAAGATGAAAGGTTTTTTGAAAACTTACTAGTATATTTTTAAGTTGGGAGGTAGGTTTGAGGGGCAGGGGAACTGTTGTTATTGTTATGTTTTTTGAATTACATATATGTGACATATTTTCTCTTGTATGTGTTAAATATTACATAATAATACCTTTTGAAAAAGCTTGGCACTGACATCATTTGTGAACCTGGGGCTTTATTTCCTGGACAAAGCCAGAACTAGCCAGAGCATGGGCAGCCTCAGACAGGCAGCGGGAGGTCAAAGGAGCACCGCAGTGGGGAACAGGGCAGTAGCGCTGGACTTGGAGAATTCCCAAATTAATGTTTGCCCTGTGACCTCGGGCAGGTTCCTCCACTTCTCTAGACTCAGTATCCTCATCTAGAAAACAGGGACAATAATAGTGCCTCCTCCTACTAGTGCTGTGAGGACTCAGAAGAGGTAACAGGCCGGGCACGGTGGCTTACACCTGGAATCCCAGCAATTTGGGAGGCAGAGGCAGGAGGATTGGTTGAGCCCAGGAGTTCGAGACCAGCCTGGACAACATGGCAAAACCCTATCTCTTCTAAAAATATTAAAATTAGCTGGGCATGGTGGTACGTGCCTGTAGTCCCAGCTACTCGGGAGGCTGAGGCGGGAGAATCCCTTGAACGCAGGAGTTCAAGGCTGTGGGATTACACCATTGCACTCCAGCCTGAGCGACATAGTGAGACCTTGTCTCTATGTTAAATAAACAAAATTAGCCAGGCATGGTGGTGCACACCTGTGGTATCAACTACTAGAGGGGCTAAAGGGGGAGGATCACTTGAGCCCAGGGATTCAAGACTAGCCTGAGTAACATGGTGAAACTCCGTCTCCACAAAAAATACAAAAATTAATCAGGTGTGGTGGCACACACCTGTGGTCCCAGCCACTTGGGAGGCTGGGGTGGGGGAATCACTTGAGCCTGAGTGGCTGAGGCTGCAATGAACCATGATCATGCCACTGCACTCCAGCCTGGGTGACAGAGTGAGACCCTGTCTCAAAAAAAAAAAAAAAAGAGAGATCATATACACAAAACCTCTCACACAATGCCTGGCACATCGAGTCATGCTAACACAAGGTGATAGACGTTGCTTTAGTCATTGCAGTGGTACTTGAGGATAGAGTTAAAAGAAGGGGGTTGCCAGGCACGGTGGCTCAAACCTGTAATCCCAACACTTTGGGAGGCTGAGGCGGGTGGATCACCTGAGGTCAGGAGTTCGAGACCTTCCTGGCCAACATGGTGAAACTCCGTCTCTACTAAAAAGACAAAAATTAGCCAGGCATGGTGGGGGTGCCTGTAGTCCCAGCTACTCTGGAGGCTGAGGCAGGAGAATCACTTGAACCCAGGAGGCAGAGGTTGCAGTGAGCTGAGATCATGCCATTGCACTCCAGCCTGGGCGACAAGAGCAAGACTCTGTCTCAAACAAAACAAAACAAAAAGAAGGGGGTTGGTTGGTTGCTCTCGAAGAGCAGCTACCTTAGCATCAGGCACCCTAGAAGCGGTTGGACGCCCACCCTGGGGGTGTTGGAGAAGCTTCAGGTTTCGTACCTTCAGCCTTCTTCAAAGGTGTACGGCAGTTCAGCCCCTTCCATTACCTTCTTTCTACAGGCAGGACACAAATTCAATATTCCATCCTCCCCGAGGCCCCATGTTTTCTCCAGGAGGTCGGTTCATGTTGCACCTATAAGCAGGCTAAATGGGAAGCCATATTGTAAGGAGGAGGCTATTTGATGGGCAAGGGGAGCAGAGGGGTTGAGACTATTTCATTTAAAAATTGTTTGAGACAGCGTCCCGCTCTGTGACCCAGACTGGAGTGCAGTGGCGCGATTATGGCTTATGCACCCTCGACCTCCCAGTCTCAAGTGATCCTCCCACCTCAGCCTCCTGAGTAGCTGGGACCACAGGTACATGCTATCAGGCCCAGCTAATTTTTTTATTTTTTGTAGAGATGGGTCTCACTTTGTTGCCCAGGCTGGTCTCAAATTCCTGGGCTCAAGCGATCCTTCCGCCTAGGCCTTCCACAGTGCTGGGATTATAGGCGTGAACCATGGTGCCCGGCCAGATTGATACTATTTTAACTTGCGACTTTGGTCTCTTTCCCTTTCCCCTGGTCACGTCTGAGGACTCGGCCAGCTTATCTGGGGAGTCAGGCAGGAGGAAGAGACCTGTGTGGGCAGAGGATGGGTTCATACAGGGGACTGAGCAAACATGGTCCTCAAATTCTTCTGCAGCCTCAAACTCCTGGGCTCAAGAGATCCTCCCACCTCAGCCTCCCAAGTAGCTGGTACTACAGGCGTGTGCCACCATGCCTGGCAATAAAGTATGTTTTGACGGGCGAGAAAACTAAATCTCAGAAAGACAAAGTGACTTGCTCACAGTTATAAGCCATAAGGGATGGAGCAAGAATGGGAACCTAGATCTCTGAGACCCCAAAGTACAGGTTCTTCCCCTGGTACCATATTTGAGGTGCTCCTCTTCCTTCGCCCAAGGCACTTCCCCACACCCTGAGCCCCCTCATCCCACGGATGCTGGGAATATACTGGCCATGGTGACTCCTCCTCCCCCACTTCTGCGTGTGCCAGGCCTATCTTTGGTTGGAATCTTCGTCCCTTACCAATGCTAATGCCATCCTCAATGGCACCTTTGTGCTTAGACAGCTGGGCTGTGGCTGTAGCTACACTGTGATCTCTTTTTTTTTTTTTTTTTTTTTTGAGACAGAGTCTCGTTCTATCACCCAGGCTGGAGTCCAGTGGCGTGATCTCGGCTCACCGCAACCTCCACCTCCTGGGTTCAAGCAATTCTCCTGCCTCAGCCTCCTGAGTAGCTGGGATTACAGGCATGCACCACCATGCTCAGCTAATTTTTGTATTTTTAGTAGAGATGATGGGGTTTCACCATGTTGGCCAGGCTGGTCTCGAACTCCTGACCTCAAGTGATCCGCCCACCTCGGCCCCCGAAAGTGCTGGGATTACAGGCGTGAACCACTGCGCCCGGCCACCATGAGCTCATGATTAGAAATTAGATGTTGGTACACACCTCAATCACACCTCAGTCATCCTTGTACTCATAACTAACACAATAATAGGTGCTTCCCCTGAGAAGCTCCAGTGTAGTAAAGGACTTGAAAATCAACATAAATTTGAAAATGCTAAATCCTGAGATAGAAGCATGCTTGGGGTAGAGTGGGACACACAGGATGCAGGAAAGACTTCTGAGTAAAGAAGATATTTGGTCCATGAATATCTTGAAACAACATGCATATGATTTTGTGTCTGTGTGTTTCTTGCGCGAGAAAGTCCATGATCTTTATCAGATTCTGCAAACGATCGACAGCTCATTAAGCAGAGTCTGGGCCAGAGATTGAGAAGGCTAAGGGGCCAGGGCATGGAGATGGGGTAGCATGAAAGAGTCTGGACGTACAAGAAGGACAAGGGCCACCACTCGGAGGAGCACGGACGTCACTCTTAGGGCAATAGACAGTTATTGCCTAGGTGGGTCTCGGTTTTACTCATGGCCTGTGTCATGTAACCCTCAGAGTTCTGGTAAGTCTCATCATATCTAAGGGACACAATGAATAGCCGAGAACAAGCTTCCTACAAACATCAGGGGAGGCCTCTCACAGGCAATCTACTGGGTCTCAAAGCATGAAGAGGAATTTGCCCGGCAAATGTTTTAATCAGAAAGACTCTAAGCTGTAAGTTACAGAAATTCCTCAGAATGGCCTTAAATCCTGTGGCATGCCTGTAAATGTTTAATAACCAGCTCTTAAGGAGGGATACCTGATTGGTAGTAATTACCAATTTCTGTGGTGTAAATACTGCCCCCATGGCCTCTTTCTTTCTTTCTTTCCTTCCTTCCTTCCTTCCTTCCTTCCTTCCTTCCTTCCTTCCTTCCTTCCTTCCTTCCTTCCTTCCTTCCTTCCTTCTTTCTTTCTTTCTTTCTTTCTTTCTTTCTTTCTTTCTTTCTTTCTTTCTTTCTTTCTTTCTTTCTTTCTTTTCTTTTTCTATTGAGACAGAGTCTGGCTCTGTCACCCAGGCTGAAGTGCAGTGGTGCGATCTCGGCTCACTGCAACCTCTGCCTTCTGAGTTCAAGTGTTTCTCCTGCCTCAGCCTCCTGAGTAGCTGGGATTACAGGCACCCACCACCATGCCCAGCTAATTTTTGTATTTTTAGTAGAGACGGGGTTTCGCCATGTTGGCCAGGCTGGTCTCTAACTCCTGACCTCAGGTGATCCACCCACCTCCCGAAGTGCTGGGATTACAGGTGTGAGCCACCGTGCCCAGTCCCCCCCATGGCCAATTTCAAGCTACCAATGTGAGGTCACTGAAGAAGTATGCCCAATTGGCTCACATGGGCATGGTGAGTGGCTCTAGCACACCACCACTTCAATCCCATTGACTGTAAGAATCTTGGTCTCAGCCAGGCATGGTGGCTCACACCTGTAATCCCAAAACTTTGGGAGGTCGAGGCGGAAGGATTGCCTGAGCCCAGGAGTTGGAGACCAGCCTGGGCAACATAGTGAAATCACTGTCTCTACAAAATTTTTTAAAAAATTAGCCAGGTGTGGTGGCACGTGCCTGTAGTCCCAGCTACTCAGGAGGCTGAGGTGGGAGGATCACTTGAGCCTGGGAGGTGGAGATTGCAGTGAGGTATGATCATGCCACTATACTCTAGCCCGGGTGACAGAGTGAGACCCTATCTCGAAAAAAAAAAAAAAAACCAAAAAACAAAAACGAAGAATCTTGGTTTCATAGGGACCAAGACTAGAGATGCTGCTGGGATCTCAGGACTGGACTGGAAGCAGGAACTGGTGTGTTTCAGTAGCCCTAGGCCACCCTTCTCTCTCTCTTTATTCGCATTCCTATGGGGTCATTCTGTCTCCTGTTCTGGCAGATTGACTTTCTCTGCTCCCCAGTCCACAGAACAAAGAATTGCTATTGCTAACACTATCCAGGTTTTCATGTCCCTCCTGAGAAAAAAGAAGCCAGACCAAAGCTTGGCCTCTTTTAGTCCCAACTTCAAACTCCCTAAGAAGGAGCCCATTGGTGCCTCCTGGTAAGTGTCCAACCAGCTGTGACTAGAGGGCTGGATGTTATTCCAATTTGGCGACCAAGACCTTGGGTTCTATAACCATAGGGTGTGGGGGCGGGGAAGTGGGAAGTAGTAATCAGAGAAAAAAGAAGCGAGATCTGAGTAACCAACTCATTAGGGATCTGGCCTGCAGAAAATGGGGGAAATTAATAATATAATATTTCACAGTATCTACTCTAGTCTTTTGAACTATCCATCCAGGTAGTCACTAATTCATTCATTTATATTCATTCAAGAATGCATTCAGCCTTAATTTGACATTTTTTTAAAACTTTTTTTTTTGAGACAGGGTCTCACTTTGTCACTCAGGCTGGAGTGCAGTGGCATGAGCATAGCTCAGAGCAGCCTCAATCTCAACCTCCTGGGCTCAAGCGATCCTCCTGCCTCAGCCTCCTGTGTAGCTGGGACCACAGACACACGCTACTATGCTCCGCTAATTTTTTAATCTTTTGTGGAGATAAGGTCTCACTTTGTTGCCCAGGCTGGTCTCAAACTCCTCAACTCAAGCGATCCTCCCACCTCGGCCTCCCAAAGTGCTGGGATTATAGGTGTGAGCCACTGCACCCAGCCTATTTTGACATTTATTAAATATATATTCTATATTAGAAATTTTGGCCCAGGCGTGGTGGCTTACGCCTGTAATTCCAGCACTTTGGAAGACCGAGGCGGGCGGATCACCTGAGGTCAGGAGTTCGAGACCAGACTGACCAACATGGAGAAATCCTGTCTCTACTAAAAATAAAAAATTAGCCGGGCGTGATGGCACATGCCTGTAATCCCAGCTACTCGGGTGACTGAGGCAGGAGAATCGCTTGAACCTGGGAGGAGGAGGTTGCGGTGAGCCGAGATCACGCCATTGCACTCCAGCCAGAGTGAGACTCTGTCTTAAAAAAAAAAAAAAGAAAAAGAAAGAAATTCTAGGGGCTAAAAACGAAAGGAAAGATGAACAAGATTTAGTCGCTGCCCTCAAAGAGTTTGCAATCTGGAAATAAGGCAAAGCATCAATAATACAACATGGAAAAAGTTTTGCAGGAAGTAGGTAGATAGGGCTGATCCCCAGAGGACTCAACGGGGAGCTGTGGAAGGCAGCCTCCAAGATGGCCCCAGGGATCCTTATCTTCTGTGTTGGTCCTTTCTCCCATACCACACCCTGTTTGCAATTCCTGGGCCTCATCTGCTCCCTATTCCTGGTACCACTGCTCCTGACGCTTGAAAAATGCATACCTGGAGATCAAGGTCGGTGTCCACCCCCCACAGCGATTGGGTCCAAGGAGAACACATGTCCCTCTATGGACCAATCAGAGTCTGCGAGGCAGAGCCCAGGACTTAGGCTGAAACTATGGGAAAGGAACATCATTTGCACTTAGGAAAAAGCCGGAGCTGCTGGTGGCAAACTGCTTCCGTGGAGGGAGAGGCTGCCTAATGTGGAGGAAAGCAAAGCCCAGAGGTGGGCAGAGGGGCCTCCTCACGCATCGCTTCAGCACTGTGCTTCGTACACGGAAGTTTCTACTTAACGCCAGCCAGAGTTGGTAACTTGGCTTGGGTTCCCAGAAACCTTGAGGTAAAGGCCTGTTTGATCCTACTCTATAAGTGAGGGCCATCGCAGAGAGCACCGAGGAGAGACCATGGGAGAGAGGAGAGAAGGAACCATAGTGGCTATGAGGCTCCTCCTCTTGAAAGTCCATTGAGGATGAAAAGGGCCAGAATGTATCCACTTTCCCCATCTCCCATCAGTCAAAGGTTTGCTTCATGGCGCATTAACTCCCCGCCACCCTCACCCCGGCAGGTTGCCGGCTAATTCCTTTGCAGGGACTGCTGGCAGCCCTGGAACTGACAGGCAGGAATTAAACAAGTAACTGCAAGGTGGTGAGGGTTTTGAAGAAATAGCACAGGGTGGCCAGAAGCACTGGCTCATGCCTGTAATCCCAGCACTTTGGGAGGCCAAGGGTGGCAGATCATTTAAGGTCAGAAGTTCGAGACCTGCCCTGGCCAACAAGGTAAAACCCTGTCTCTACTAAAAATACAAAAATTAACCGGGCATGGTGGTGCGCCAACAAGGTGAAACCCCATCTCTACTAAAAAATATAAAAACTTAGCCGGGCGTGGTGGTGCATGCCTGTAGTTCCAGCTACTTGGGAGGCTGAGGCAGGAGAATCGCTTGAACCCGGGAGACGGAGGTTGCAGTGAGCTGAGATGGTGCCACTGCACTCCAGCAAGGCAGATCACAGTAAGCCAAAGTGAGACTGAAAAAAAGAAAAGAAAGAAAGAAGGAGGGAAGGAAGGAGAGAGAGAGAGAAAGAAAGAAAAAGAGAGAAAGAAAGCGAGTACAGGGTATTCTGGGCACAGGTCAGGAAAGGCCTTCTAAAGAGGTGGCAAGTCCAGATGCTAACCCAAAGGAAGAGTAGACATCAGCCAGGCCAAGGGGTGCAGACAGGGAAGAGCCATCGGGAAGTGAAAACCACACATGGGAACCCTTGAGGCCAGAAAGAGCACGTGTGTTTGCGGAACTAAAAGAAGGCGGGCATTGCAGCAGCATTCAGAGCAAGGCAGATCACAGTGAGCATTTATAGAGCACCAAGTATATACACACGGACGTAGCCACTTATTGTTTGAGCTGCCCTGCCCCTTCTCCCTTTTTTTCTGGGAACTGTGCCTTCTTCCTTCCTGCCCGGGCACATGGTTACCATAGGAACAGCCCTCTGGCCGTTGAATGGACTAGAGGTGAACACCTCACTGAGGCGGAACAATCAGAGCCTAGGCCTGAGGAGACTGGGGAGGTCGGGGCCCAGACGGTGATTGAGGCTGTCAATGCAGGGCTGGGCAAGTTGCACGTTAACTCAGGATATGTTGGCAGCCAGGTTTTCAGTGGACCAGGAAGCAATGAAAGACACTTCTGCAGAGGTGTTAATGAGGCAGGCAGGGAGATGAGGAAATGTGAGAGAGCCTGGTACCCAGTCATCCTAGACGTGGCTGCATCCCTGCCCTGGAGCTGCTTGAAACAAAGCTCGCTTGTTGCTTAAACTGCATCCAGTGGGTTTCTGTCAGTTTCCTAACAAAACAAGTCCTAACTCATACCTTACCAAGTGCTAGGGCTTTATAGATGCATAAATACGGCAGGGTCTCTGCCCTGAAGAAGGTTATAAACCAATGGGAAGACAGACATGTACACTAAACATTAACTACAGGGTGATAAGTGCTATAATAAAAGTTTGTCCAAAGTAGGGAGGTTGTGCAGAGATAAGATAACAAATGTAAAAGGATTTCGAAAAGAAAAATGTGTTATGTAAGTCCCCTAGAATTATGCTTATGCAATTCAATTGATTTCTACTTTCAATTTAATCGAGAACACAGCTACTTCACTTTCAGAATTACGCTGTTTTATAAGGTAGTGCTGGCCTGTAATCTGGCAATGGGTAAATTATCCAGGGTCTCATGCTTTTATTTCGTCATTTGTGTTTGGCGAGTGGATAGATAAATAACCTTGCAGTTTCCCAGAGAATCAGGAAACATTTGACAGTTTGCCCTTGCAGCCTGTGTTGCAATTTTCGTTTTTGTTTTTGTTTTTCCCTGAAACAGAGTCTCACGCTGTCGCCCAGGCTGGGGTGCAGTGGCACAATCTTGGCTCACTACAACCTCCGCCTCCTGGGTTCAAGCGATTCTCATGTCTCAGCCTCCCAAATAGCTGGGATTACAAGCATGCACCATCATGCCTGGCTAATTTTTGTATTTTTAGTAGAGATGGGGTTTTGCCATGTTGGCCAGGCTGGTCTCGAACTCCTGTCCTCAAGTGATCTGCCTGCCTCAGCCTTTCGAAGTGGTGGGATTACAGGCGTGAGCCACCGCGCCTGGCCCCTGTGTTGCAATTTCCTGCCCTGCCTGCATCAACCTCTCCTTGACTCCATGAAATGAAACGTCTGCTGACGCACTAAAATAAAATCTTGCAAGTGAATCACTGATTGAGTTTGCTGATTGACATACATACCATTGCCATGTTAACCACATGATGGTAACATTATGTCTGGAGAGAAGGTGTGACCGTTTCCACCTATACAATCTTCAAAATCATCCCATTCAAGGGTGCTTCCTAATGTTCGAATAATTTATGAAAGAATAATGATATCTTATTGAGAAATACCTTCCCTGTACCCTCATCACAGGGAGACACCTGTTTATTCCTGTTGGGTTTTTTTTTTCTTTTTTTTTTTTTTAGATTTAGAGAGGGTCTTGTTCTGTTACACAGGCTGGAGTGTAGTGGTATAATCACAGCTCACTGCAACCTCAACCTCCTGGACCCAAGTGATCCTCCCATCTCAGCCTCCCAAGTAGCTGGGACTACAGGCAGGCACCACCACTTCCAGCTCCTTTTTTCTTGTAGAGATGGGGTCTCGCTATGTTGCCCAGACTGGTCTCCAACTCCTGGCTTGGAGTGATCCTCCCACCCCAGCCTCCCAAAGTGCTGTAATTACAGGCATGAGCCACGGTGCTTGACCCTCCTGCCAAGTTTTTGATGGTGGAAATGACAACACAGGGTGTGCTTTGGTGTCAAGATGACCTAGGTTCAAATCCCAGTTGTACTGATGGCCAGCTGTGTGGTCTTGGGCAACTTAACCTACCAGAGCTTCAGTCTCCTCATCTGTTGAAGAAAAAAAAAAAAACACTTGACAAAGGATGAGTGGTAGGTGGAGAAGATGATGGAATCAGGTAGCGCTCCAAGGGTTAGATGGGAGAAGGTGAGGCTGGGCGTGGTGGCTCATGCCTGCAATCCCAGCACTTTGGGAGGCCGAGGCGGGCGGATCACCTGAGGTCAGGAGTTCGAGACCAGCCTGGCCAACATGGCGAAACCCCACCTCTACTAAAAATACAAAACTTAGGGGGTCATGGTGGCGCACGCTGGTGATCCCAGCTACTCGGGAGGCTGAAGCAGGAGAATCGCTTAAACCCGGGAGGCAAAGGTTGCCGTGAGCCAAGATCTTGCCACGCTACTCTAGCCTGGGCAACAGAGCAAGACTCCGTCTCAAAAAAAAAATTGAGAAGATGAGTAAGCATAAAAAAGTTGTTAGTTTCTTCTCCTGTATCCTGGAGTCCCAGATTATATGGGAAAGGCTGGGAGGGCAGTACTTCCTTTCCAGCCGAGGTCATCTCCTAGGGATCAGAATCTGATCGAGTCAATTACATTTCATGAGAATGGCAGGTTTCTGAAGACTTTATCATTTACAACTCAAAAACTCAGGAATAATTTCTCATAAGAATAACTCTACAGTTGGGGGCATGATCCTTAGAACACAAATTCTACTGCCATTGTAGTATTGTTTTGCTTTCGTTGAGCCTTTGCTCTCTGCATCACTGCTAGTATTTTGCAAAATGCTCACACATAAATTACAACAAGTGCTCTCACAGGGATCGGAGCACTTCCTCGCAGCACTTTGTCTCAGCTAACCATTCTGCAGAAGTGATTACAACACTGATGATGCGCTTGTTAGCTGGAGCATGTCCGGGACCACTCAATGAAGCTCCACATGCCTGAGTCCCAGCACACCTGGACGCTGCTGTTCCCAGTGGCTGACTTGGGATAGGATGTATATTTCTGTTTACCTGCTAGAGTGGTACCACCCCGTGGGACCATCATAAACAGTGTACAATTCAGAGTTCCACCAATTTTGAAATGAAGGGATTCTTTTTTTCTTCTTCTTTTTTTTTTTTTTTTTGAGATGGAGTCTCACTCTTGTCACCCAGGCTGGAGTGCAATGGTGCCATTGTGGCTCACTGCGACCTCTGCTTCGCAGGTTCAAGCGATTCTCCTGCCTCAGCCTCCCAAGTAGCTGAGACTACAGGTGTGCACCACCATGCCTGGCTAATATTTGTATTTTTAGTAGAGACAGGGTTTCACCATTTTGGCCAGGCTGGTCTCGAACTCCTGACCTCAAGTGATCTGCCCACCTAGGCCTCCCAAAGTGCTGGGATTACAGGCATGAGTCACTGTGCCTAGCCAAGGAAAGGAAATTTATACCTCAAAAAAGAAGTGGAGTGCCACTGAGTTATGCTTTCTAGAAAAAAAAAAGTGAAGGCCGGGTGCAGTGGCTCACACCTGTAATCCCAGCACTTTGGGAGACCGAGGCAGGCGGATCACAATGTCGAGACCATCCTGGCCAACATGGTGAAACCCCATCTCTACTAAAAATACAAAAATTAGCTGGGCGTGGTGGTGCTCACCTCTAGTCCCAGCTACTTGGGAGGCTGAGGCAGAAGAATCGCTTGAACCCAGAAGGCGGAGGCAGCAGTGAGTTGAGATTGTGCTACTGCAAAATTTGCTGGGATTACAGTCGTGAGCCACCATGCCCGGCCTCATTTTAGCCTTTTTAAAGAAGTTTGCAGCTCATGCTTCAAGGAGGAGCAGTGGAAAGGCAATCATACAGGCCGGGTGTGGTGGCTCACTCCTGTAATCCCAACACTTTGGGAGGCTGAGGCGGGAGGATCACTTGAGCCCATGAGTTCCAGACCAGCCTGAGCAACATACCAGGACCCAATCTTTACTTTAAAAAAAAAAAAAAAAAAAAAAAAAAAGGAATGCTGGGTGTGGTGGCGCACGCCTGTAGTCCCAGCACTTTGGGAGGCCGGTGCGGGTGGATCACCTGAGGTCGGGAGTTCGAGACCAGCCTGACCAACATGGTGAAACCCCGTCTCTCTTAAATACATAAAATTAGCCAGGTGTGGTGGCACATGCCTGTAATCCCAGCTACTTGGGAGGCTGAGGCAGGAGAATCACTTGAATCCAGGAGGTGGAGGTTGCAGTGAGCTGAGATCGTGCCACTGCACTCTAGCCTGGGCAACAGAGTGAGACTCCATCTCAAAAATAATAATAAAATAAACAAAAAATAAATTTAAAAATGTTTTTAAAAAAGGAGCCAGGTGTGGTGGTGCACACCTGTAGTTCCAGCTACCCAGGACACTAAGATGGGAGGAACACTTGAGCCCAGGAGTTCAAGGCTGCAGTAAGCCAAGATTGTGCCCCTGCACTCCAGCCTAGGCAACAGAGCGAGACTCCATCTCAAAAATAAATAAAAACTTTTTTAAAAAAGAAAGGCAATCGTACATCTTATGGGGTTTGCTTCCAGAAGGAGCCCCACTCTGGCCAGGTTTGCCCCAGGCTTCCTAAAGGAGGCCCACTTCCTCACATATAAATGAGGGGCCTACACTTGTCCTTGGAAACTCACCCCCAATTTCTTTCATCAACTAGGGTCTTCCCAAGCTGCTTCTGCAGCTCAGCAGTGGGTACTTCCAAGGCCCGTGCACATGGCCCCTGAGCAATCTCTCTTTTCATCCTAATTCCCCTCCCCAGGTAACTCAGGGTGGTGCTTTTTCAAGTGGGATCAGCAGCCATATTCCTGGGGATTTATAAGCTGTGCCAGAAGTTTTGAATGTTGTGTTTTCATTTTTGGGTTATCTGGGTTACTACCCCAGAACTCTTGTGCCTTGCACGGTTTTGGGTTTTTTTGTTTGTTTGTTTGTTTGTTTTGAGACCTATTCTTCCTTTGTTGCCCAGGCTGGATTGCAGTGGCATGATCTCGGGTCACTGCCACCTTTGCCTCCTGGATTCAAGCAATCCTTCCGCCTCAGCCTCCTAAGTAGCTGGGATTACAGGCACGCTCCCAGCTAATTTTGGTATTTTTAGTAGAGACGGGGTTTCACCATGTTAGCCAGGCTGATCTCAAACTCCTCACTTCAAGTTCGAGCCTCCCAAAGTGCCTCAGCCTCCCAAAGTGCTGGGATTACAGGCATGAGCCACTGCACCCAGCCTGCAGGATTTTATTTTATTTTATTTTATTTTATTTTATTTTATTTTATTTTATTTTATTTTATCCTTCCCATGAGTGCTCAGGATTTTAAAACCTGCTTTTCCATTTGGGTTAAGATCCTGTTCGCGGCACATGAGTCAGTGTGCAGTATCACTAAAGGCAAACATTTCACCAGAGTTCAAATGCAAAAAAATGGCAAGAGAGTTGTGTGGTCCTGTGAGATGAATTTTGCAACTTCCACCTTCTTCCCATCCAAACTACAATCTGCATTAGCAGTCAGTGTGTTAGTAAATAAACAGTAAAGAAATTTCATTTAATATTTTCTGTATTATATTTTGGGAGTATATGATTAAATTGATTGGCTCATTAAAATAACGGATAGGTGGTTGAAAGAGTTTATTGTTCACATCCAGAAAAAAAATCAATAGTGATTATGTCAGTGACTCAAATAAAGATCCATTATCGAAAAAAAAACAAAAAACTGAGAAAAATCAAGTTGAAAATACATCTTTCTTCCATTAAACCACACATCAGTGATTCGCTTCGATTCCATTTCAGTAAAACATCATCCATCCATCAGGTTGATTTAATGTTGTTAACTTTAGTTCATGAGTTTTTGTTTGTATTTTTAAGTTTATTCTAGTTTAAAAAGCTGAGGCAGAATGGGAGCTTTTTTTTTTTTTTTTTTTTTGAGACAGAGTCTCACTTTGTCGCCCAGGCTGGAGTACAGTGATGTGATCTCAGTTCACTGCAACCTCTGCCTCCCAGGTGCCTCAGCCTTGCGAGTAGCTGGGGCTACATGTGCACACTACCACATCTGGCTAACTTTTTGTATTTTTAGTAGAGATGGTGTTTCACCATGTTGGCCAGGTTGGTCTCGAACTCCTGGGCTCAAGTGATCCACCTACTTCAGACTTCCAAAGTGCTGGCATTACAGGTGTGAGTCATTGCACCTGGCCAGAATATGAACTTTTAAAATATGGAAGTTTAAGTTTTATTTTTCTTCCTTCTCTTCACTGCCTTGGTGTAGGATTCAACCTGATCCGGGAAGGGAATCCCCCACACCCTCGCTGCCTCCCATCCCAATCACACACTGGTGTAAATAGTTCCTTTCCTTTCCAGTAGCATGTGAAGAATTAGTCCCTCCAGCCCTAGGGGAAGGGAAACCAGTTTCCAATGGGCAATGACTTAGCAGTCAGTTTTATTGGGCCATCAGGATCTCCCAGGAAAGAAAGGAGAGTCAGGCCTTTGTGTGAAGCGAGGAAGAGGGGAAGAGGGAGGGACTTTGAGAGGCACTGTTGAGAGCCACATCAGCTTCCAGAGACCCTGGGAGCAGCTCCTGTTGGTCTGCACACAGGATGGAGTCAGGTTTTCACCAGGGACTGCCTAGCTGGGGTAACAGCCAGCCACGCCACAAGACTGTCCTGTCCCATCTGGCTCCAAAGTGTGGACTCTTCTTTGAAATACTCCAGGACCCCTGAGAGCCCCGAGGCTATGTCTGGTTAGCCAGTGGTGGGGACAGGAGGAGGCCCCTTGCACTCCCGCAAGCTGGGATGATATGCTCAATCTGGAGGCCCCCAGTCTGGGACAGTGACTGGGGAGGACCCCGTCAGGAAAACCATGAGTAGTGTGTGATGGAGCAGGGTGTGAGGTGCTAAGGGAATCTGGAGGCCGGGACTGTCTGCTGTTGCTAAGAAAGCGAGGACAGGGGTGTGAGCATCAGGGAGGCTGCCCCTTCTCTATTCCTCCTGCCAGTCTCTTTCTCTAGATGGGCTGACCACGCCAGAAAGCCAGCAGGCCAAGTAGTCTGGAATGCGGTTTTCAGAGTCCCAGCCCCAGAGCAAGTGGACAGGTGAACTTGGGGATGACAGACACTAGGTCAGTGACCACCTGGCTACTCCAATTCTGGCTGATTGAAGCTGAAAAGCAATGTACCAAAGGCTACTGGGCATCTCACAGAACTAGTTTAAGAACCCAGATCAGAGGCTGGGCGCAGTGGCTCACGCCTGTAATCCCAGCACTTTGGGAGGCCGAGGCAGATGGATCACCTGAGGTCAGGAGCTCAAGACCAGCCTGGCCAACATGGTGAAACCACATCTCTACTAAAAATACAAAAATTGCTGGGCGTAGTGGCTCATACTTGCATTCCCAGCACTTTGGGAGACCAAGGTGAGCAGATCACTTAAGGTCAGGAGTTGGAGACCAGCCTGGCCAACATGGTGAAACCCCGTCTCTACCAAAAATATAAAAAATTGACTGGGTGCTGGGCACGGTGTTTCACGCCTGTAATCCCAGCACTTTGGGAGGCCAAGGCAGGCGGATCATTTGAGGTTGGGAGTTCAAGACCAGCCTGACCAACATAGAGAAACCACGTCTCTACTAAAAATACAAAATTAGCTGGGCATGGTGGCCCTTGCCTGTAATCCCAGCCACTTCGGAGGCTGAGGCAGAAGAATCGCTTGAACCCGGGAGGCGGAGGTTGCGGTGAGCCGAGATCAAGCCATTGCACTCCAGCCTGGCCAACAAGAGCAAAACTCCATCTCAAAAAAAAAAAAAAATGACCGGGCATGGTGGCTCACGCCTGTAATCCCAGCACTTTGGGAGGCCAAGGAGGGTGGATCATGAGGTCAGAAGTTCAATACCAGCCTGGCCAAGATGGTGAAACCCTGTCTCTACTAAAAGTACAAAAATTAGCCGGGCATGGTGGCAGTCGCCTGTAATCCCAGCTACTCAGGAGGCTGAGGCAGAAGAATTGCTTGAACCCGGGGGGTAGACGTTGCAGTGAGCCGAGATCGTGCCTCTGCAGTCCAGCCTGGGCAACAGATTGAGACTCTGTCTCGAAAATATATGTGTGTATATACATACACACATATATATGTGTGTATATATATGTGTGTGTATATATACACAGATGTGTATATACACAAATATGTGTGTGTATATATATACACAGATGTGTATATACACAAATGTGTGTGTATATATACACACAGATGTGTATATACACAAATATGTGTGTGTATATATACACACAGATGTGTATATATACACACAGATGTGTATATACACAAATATGTGTGTATATATAATATATATAAATATAAATATAATATATAATATATAAATATATAATATATGTGAATATATATAATATATGTAAATATATATTATATATAAATATATAATATATAATATATACATATTATATAAAAATATATATTATATAAAATATATATTATATATATTATATAAAATATATATTATATAATATAGAAATATATATTATATATAAATATATATAATATAGAAATATATATAGTATATAAAAATATATATAATATATAAATATATAAATATAATATATAATATATAAATATATAATATATAAATGTATAATATATAATATATAAATATATAATATATAAATATATATAATATATAATATATAAACATATAATATATAAATATATATAATATATAAATATATATAATATATAAATATATAATATATAAATATATAATATATAAATATATATAATATATATAATATATAAATATATAATATATATAATATATAATATATAAATATATAATATATATAATTAATATATAAATATATAATATATATAATATATAATATATAAATATATAATATATATTATATATATATAAATAAATAATATATATAATATATATAAATATATAATATATAATATATAAATATATAATATATAAATATATAATATATAAATATATTATATATTTATATAATATATAATATATAAATATATTATATATTTATATAATATATAATATATTTATATATTATATAATATATAATTTATAATATATTTATATATTATATAATATATAATATATAATATATAAATATATAATATATAAAAATATATATTATATATTATATATCATATATTAATATAATATATCATATATTAATATATATTATATATCATATATTATATATAATATATAATATATTCTATATATAATATATATAGAATATATTATATATTATATGTAATTATAAATATATTATCATAAATATATATGATATATAATATATATAATATAATATATAATATAATATATATATATAAATATATTTAGCTGGGTGTGGTGGCAGGTGCCTGTAATCCCAGCTGCTCGGGATGCTGAGGCAGAAGAATTGCTTGAACCCAGGAGGTGGAGTTTGCAGTGAGCTGAGATAATGCCACTGCACTCCAGCCTGGGCAACAGAGCCAGACTCCATCTAAAATAAATAAATAAATAAATAGATAAAATTAAATAAAAAATTAGCCTGGACTGGTGGCACGTGCCTGTAGTCCCAGCTGCTTGGGAGGCTGAGGCAGGAGAATCACTTGAACCTGGGAGGTGGAGGTTGCAGTGAGCCGAGATCACACCACTCCACTCCAGCGTGGCAGCCTGTGAGACAGACAGAACAAGACTAGGTATCAAAAAAAAAAAAAAGAAAGAAAAAGGAAAGAAACCAGATCAGAAATTAGATGGCTGGGCACACTGGCTCTTGCCTGTAATCCCAACACTATGGGAGGCCAAGATGGGAGGATTGCTTGAGGCTAGGAGTTCAAGGCCAGCCTGGGCAACATAACAAGAACCCCCACCCCACCCCCCACCGCCTACCGCCCCAGCACCACCTGTTTCTACAAAAATAAGATAAATTGGGTGGGAACCACAGCCCAGATCCAGACCAGTAAGGACACCACTGCCATCTAGCTGTTGCTGCCATGGTGTGGTGGATTCTATTATTATTTTCCAGAAAGGATTCCTTCTCTCTCCCCATTTTGTGTTTCCCTGTGGGCAGAGTATATTGCCCTGCCCCCACTGACTTTGGGTTGGCTGTGTGACTTGCACATACTGATGGGGGATGGGCAAAGTGACCTTGTACCTGTTCTGAGCAGAGAGCTCGGGAGACATCCTGGGTTCCTGCCCCTGCTCTTGCACTCCTGCCGTCTTGGATGAGAAGGGCATACCCCAGGTAGCTGGCTGCTCCTTCAGCCTGGGGTCTGCAATAAGACACGTGGATCACACCTGAACCCAATCTACAGTCTGGAGCCCTGCCCATCAGATTCCAGCAGAAGCCACCAATCAGCCGACCACCCACAACTGATGCCCAGAACTGTGAGAAACGCATGCTTGTTGTTGGAAGCCCCTGAGATTTGGGGGTGTTTGTTATCACAACAAAAGCTGACAGAAAATACAAAAAATACATGTGACCAGCTTTAAGAATCTCTCCAGGCCAGGTGTGGTGTCTCATGCCTGTAATCCCAGCACTTTAGGAGGCCGAGACGGGTGGATCACTTGAACCCAGGAGTTCAAGACCAGCCTGGCCAACATGGTGAAACCCCATCTCTATAAAAATACCAAAATTAGCCAGGCATGGTGGCACGCACCTGTAATCCCAGCTACTCAGAAGACAGGCAGGAGAATCACTTGAACCCAGATGGAGGTTGTAGGGAGCCGAGATCGCGTCACTGCACTCCAGCCTAGGGGATAGTGCGAGACTGTGTCTCCAAAAATAAAAATAAAAAATAAATACAAAAATTAGCCAGGTGTGGTGGCACACGCCTGTAATCCCAGCTACACGGGAGGCCAAGGCAGGAGAATTGCTTAAACCTGGGAGGTGGAGGTTGCAGTAAGCCGAGATCGCGCCACTGCACTCCAGCATAGGTGACAGAGCAAGACTCCATCTTGAAGAAAAGAAAGAAAAAAGAATCTCTCCTACTCCTGCTGCTTTGCATCCCTGGCTCCAGATGCAAAATCCTATGTGGCTGTACCCCATTGGCCAAGCCCAGGTCATGCATCTGTGCAGCACCTGCCAGGGAGACTGAGAAAGTGTGTATTGGGTGTTTTCATTTTCTGTAGAAGGGGGTGGGCTGCATCCCTCCCTGGCCCAGTGAGACTCATGGGGTGGGTGGACGGTGCTGAATGGTGTCCTCCAGGAATTCATGTCTGCCCAGAACCTCAGAATGTGACCTTATTTGGAAGCAGGGCCTTTGCAGATGTAATTAGTTAAGTTAAAATGAGGTCATACTGAATTAGGGTAGGCCCTAATCCAATAACTGATGTCCTTATAAGAAGAGAAAACAGAGACACAGAGAGATACACAGGGAGAAGGCCACGTGATGACAGAGGCAGAGACTGGAGTGATGTCTCCCAGCCAAGGGATGCCGAGGATTGCTGGCACCCACCAGAAGCGGGGAGAAGCATGGGATAGATCCTTCCTACAGCCTTCAGCGAGTGCATGGCCCTGCTGACACCTGGAGTTGAGACTTTTAGCCTCCAGAACTGTGAGCGAGCTGAATTCTATTGCTTCACGCCACCCAGTTCGGGGCGCTTTGTGACAGCAGCCCTGGGAAATGAATACAGTGGGCAGATCCTCAAGTATAGGAAGGAGGTGACAAGGGAAGTCATCCCTTGACCCCCATAGAAAAAGATATGTTGGCCGGGCACAGTGGCTCACCCCTATAATCCCAACACTTTGGGAGGCCGAAGCGGGCAGATCACGAGGTCAGGAGATTGAGACCATCCTGGCTAATATGGTGAAACCCCATCTTTACTAAAAATACAAAAAATTAGCCAGGTGTGGTGGCAGGTGCCTGTAGTCCCAGCTACTTGGGAGGCAGAGGCAGGAGAATCGCTTGAACCCGGGAGGTGGGGGTTGCAGTGAGCCGAGATTGCACCATTGCACTGCAGCCTGGCGACACAGCAAGACTGTCTCAAAAAAAAAAAAAAAAAGTTACATTTTGTTTTCCTATACATATTTCAGTAATATTCTGAAACAGTAATTCAAGGGAAGGACTCTTGGATGTTTCTTCTTTTAAAGCAGTCTGTTTCTTCCTTTAAAGCAGGTGGTGGCATGCCCCTCTAATCCCAGCACTCTGGGAGGCTGAGGCAGGAGGATCACTTGAGCCCAGGAGTTTAAGGCTGCAGGGAGCGATGATCACACCACTGCACTCTAGCCTGGATGACAGGGAGACCCTGTCTCTAAAAAAATTAAAAATTGGGCCACGTGTGGTGGCTCACGCCTGTAATGCCAGCACTCTGGGAGGCCAAGGTGGGCGGATCATGAGGTCAAGAGATGGAGACCATCCTGGCCAACATGGTGAAACCCCGTCTCTACTAAAACTACAACACAAATTAGCTGGGTGTGGTAGCGCACACCTATAGTCCCAACTACTTGGGAGGCTGAGGCAGGAGCATCACTTGGACCCAGGAGGCAGAGGTTGCAGTGAGCCAAGATCGTGCCACTGCACTCCAACCTGGCGATAGAGCCAGACTCTGTCTCAAATAAATAAATTAATTAATTGGCCGGGCACAGTGGCTTATGCCTGTAATCCCAGCACTTTGGGAGGCTGAGGCAGGCGGATCACTTGAGGTCAGGAGTTCGAGACCAGCCTGGCCAACATGGCAAAACCCTGTCTCTACTCAAAATACAAAAAAAAATTAGCTTGGTGTGGTGGTGCATGCTTGTAGTCCCAGCTACTTGGCAGTCTGAGGCATGAGAATTGCTTGAACCTGGGGCAGAGGTTGCAGTGAGCCAAGATTGCACCACTGCACTCCAGCCTGGGTGACAGAGCAAGACTCCATCTCAATAAAAAATTAAAAAAGTAATAAAAATAAAAATAAAAATTTGATGCTGTCTGTACATGAACTTGAGGAAATGTAGGCACAGCATCCCCTGGGCACGATAGCCTCTGTGGAAGGAATTTGGTATTTGGGGTCTCTGCCTTTTCCTAGATCCCACCTGATCCAAAGGTAATTTTACCTGGATATGGAGTTCAAGACCTTCGGGTGAAAAACAGGTGCCTTCTGAAAAAGTTTGAATTTCAGAGTACAGGGGCTGCTCTGGGGACAGAATGCCTAGGGCTGGAGTTTGACATCCGAGCAAGACCTAAGCTAATTCATTAGCCCCAAGTCACATCACAAGTCTTAATGTAATGAAACAGTGCACTCTATTGGACTATCTCAAAACGATTTTGGAACAATGTGGGAAATAGAAATACAGTAGTCCTGTCTTATCTGCAGTTTCACTTGCTGTGGTTTCAGTTACCTGCGGTCAACTGGGGCCTAAAATATTACACGCAATAAGATATTTTGACAGACAGAGGAGAGAGAGAGACCACATTTACATAACTTTTATTACCGTATATTGTTATAATTGTTCTATTTTATGTTATTGTTGTCAATCTCTTGCTGCTTCTAATTTATAAATTAAACTTTATCATAGTAGCTGGGCCTGGTGGCACATGCCTGTAGTCTTAGCTACTCGGGAAGCTAACATGGGAGGATCATTTGAGCTTAGGAGTTTGAGGCTACAGTAAGCCATGATCATACCACTGTACTCCAGCCTGGGCGACAGAGCATGACCCCATCTCTACAAAAAAAAAAAATTTCTTTTTTTTTTTGAGATGGAGTCTTGCTGTGTCGCCCAGGCTGGAGTGCAGGGGCGCGATCTTGCCTCACTGCAAGCTCCACCTCCCGGGTTCATGCCATTCTCCTGCCTCAGCCTCCCGAGTAGCTGGGACTATAGGCGCCCGCCACCATGCCCAGGTATTTATTTATTTATTTATTTATTTATTTATTTATTTGTATTTTTAGTAGAGATGGGTTTCATCGTGTTAGCCAGGATGGTCTTGATCTCCTGACCTCATGATCCACCCGCCTTGGCCTCCCAAAGTGCTGGGATTACAGGTGTGAGCCACTGCGCCCGGCTACAAAATTTTTTTTAAAAATTAACTGAGTTTAGTGATGCATGCCTATAATCCCAGCAACTGGACCGGATGAGACCGGAGGATTGCTTGAGACCGGGAGTTTGGGGGTTACAGAGAGCTATGATTATACCACTGCACTCCAGCCTGGGCAACAGTGTGAGACCCCATCTCTTAAAAAAAAAAAAAAAAATATGGCCGGGCGCGGTGGCTCACTCCTATAATCCCAGCACTTTGGGAGGCCGAGATGCGTGGATCACAAGGTCAGGAGATCCAGACCATCCTGGCTAACATGGTGAAACCCCGTCTCTACTAAAAATACAAAAAATTAGCCAGGTTTGGTGGCAGGCGCCTGTAGTCCCAGCTACTCAGGAGGCTGAGGCAGGAGAATGGCATGAACATGGGAGGCGGAGCTTGCAGTGAGCCGAGATCTCACCACTGCACTCCAGCCTGGGCGACAGAGTGAGACTCCGTCTCAAAAAAAAAAAAAAAAAAAAAAAAAAAAGCCAGGTGTGATGGTTCACATCTATAATCCCAGCACTTTGGGAAGCCGAGGCAGGAGGATCATTTGAGCCCAAGAGTTCGAGACCAGCCTGGGCAATATAGTGAGACCTCATCTCTTAAAAACAAACAAACAAACAAACAAACAGGCCCGGCGCAGTGGCTCATGCTTGTAATCCTGAGGGAAGAGAGAGACCCTCTCATATTGTTTTATACTCAGTACCTGTTTCAAGAAAAAACAACAAGGAAGTAAAACCAAAGACAGGCAGCCCAGCCGCCAGGCCCAAAACCAGGCCATGGCCTGCCTGGCCTAAACCCAGTAGTTAAAAATCAACTCATAACTTAGAAACCGATGTTATTCATAGATTCCAGACATTGTATAGAAGAACATTGTGAAACTCCCTGCCGTGTTCTGTTTCTCTCTGACCACCGGTGCATGCAGCCCCTGTCACGTACCGCCTGCTTGCTCAAATCAATCACGATCCTTTCATGCGAAATCTTTAGTGTTGTGAGCCCTTAAAAGGGACAGAAATTGTGCACTTGGGGAGCTCGGATTTTAAGGCAGTAGCTTGCCGATACTCCCAGCTGAATAAAGCCCTTCCTTCTACAACTCGGTGTCTGAGAGGTTTTGTCTGCGGCTCGTCCTGCTACAATCCCAGCACTTTGGGAGGCCAAGCCAGGCGGATCAAGAGGTCAGGAGTTCGAGATAGCCTGACCAGCATGGTGAAACACTGTCTCTACTAAAAATACAACAATTAACTGGGCATAGTGTCACGCATCTGTAATCCCACCTACTCGGGAGGTTGAGGCAGGAGAATCACTTGACCCTGGGAGGTGAAGGTTGCAATGAGCCGAGATTGCGTCACTGCACTCTAGCCTGGGCGACAGAGCGAGACTCCGTTTCAAAAACAACAGCAATAACAACAACAAAACATAGATATGTATGTATGTATAGGAAAAGGCATGGCTTATATGGGTTCTATACTAGCCACAGTTTCAGGCATCCGCTGGGGATCTTGGAACGTATCCCCTGTGGATAAAAGGGGAATATCGTATGTTTCTTATGTGTCTTTTTAAAATTGAAATTCAACCAGGCAATGGCATGGAGACAAGGCAAGGGACTGCTTTAATTAAGACACTTGGGAGGCATAGCAACCAAGTATCACGCATGGCTCTTGTTTTGAATCCAGATTCCCATAAATCAACTGTAAGAAGATACTTTTTTACCTTGGTGAGTAGATATTCTTGACGTAATTGGGGAAATTTTAATATGAACTGGATGTTAGATGATACTAAGTCATTACTGGCAATTTTGTCAGGTGTGCTATAGGTATTATAAGAAAAGGTCTATATTTTAAGAAGTACATGCTGAAACATGTAGGGGCAAAATGCCATCGTGTTTGGGATATGCTTTACAAATATTAGGAGCTAGGCATGGTGGTTCACACCTGTAATCCCAGCACTTTGGGAGGCCGAGGCGGGCAGATGCCTGAGGTCAGGAGTTCGAGACCAGCCTGGCCAACGTGGTGAAACCCTGTCTCTACTAAAAATACAAAAAAATTAACCGGGCTTGGTGGTGCGCACCTGTAGTGCCAGCTACTCAAGAGTCTGAGGCAGGAGAATCGGTTGAACCCAGGAGGCGGAGGTTGTAGAAAGCTGAGATTGCACCACTGTACTCCAGCCTGGGCGATAGAGTAAGATTCTGTCTCAAAAATATATAATGGTAGACCCAAATTTTAACCATTGCTTTTGGGTAAGAGGTGTGATTTCTCTTTTGAAATTTTATTTATTTTCATTATTTTTTATAAAGACTGGGTCTCACTATGTTGCCCAGGCTGGTCTCAGACTCTTGGGCACCAAGATTGGGAGATTACTTGAGGAGCTGGAAGACCCTCTCCCTCCCTCCTTCCTTCCTTCTTCCTTCCTTGTGTTTTTTTTTTTTTTTTTTTTTTTTGAGACGGGGTATTGCTTAGTCACCCAGGCACTGGGATGTGGTGGTGTGATCATAGCTCACTGTAGCCTTGAACTCTTGGGCTCAAGTGATCCTCCCACTACAGCCTCCCAAGTAGCTAGAACTACAGGCCTGCGCCACCTCCCCTAATTTTTATTTTTGTATAGATGAGCTCTCCCTGTGTTGGACAGGCTGGTCTCGAACTCCTGGCCTCAAGCAATTCTCATCCTCCACCCTGCCTCGGCCTCCCAAAGGGTTGGGATTATAGGCGTGAACCACCATGCCCGGCCCAAAGACCTTGGCCTCCCACCTTGGCCTCTCAAAGTGCTGGGATTACAGGCATGAGCCACCACACCTGACCAAGAGATGTGATTTCTAGCAGCCTATTTGTCCTTGGTATGAGAATATTTCGAAAACAAGCACATAATATTTTAACAAATGGAAGGATAAAGCTAGTCACAAAAATATTTAAAGCCTGTAGAGAAACATTTGGTTAAACACTGTATATTGAATGCACATGTTATCTCTGTTTCCACCTGAAACTCATCCAAAATGACAGTCAAGGATGAAAACAAATATAAACCTACAAGAACAAGAAGTGGGTGCGTTGACTGCCGAGGAGCGATGTCAATATGTTTTGGAATATGGACAACTGTTTTTTGTTTTTGTTTTTTTTTGATACGGAGTCTCACTGTGTTGCCCAGGCTGGGGTGCAATGGCACAATCTTGGCTCACTGCAACCTCCACCTCCTGGGTTCAAGCAATTCTCCTGCCTCAGCCTCTTGAGTAGCTGGGATTACAGGCACCCACCACCACGCCCAGTTAATTTTCTTTTTTTTTTTTAGATGGAGTTTCACTCTTGTTCTCCAGGCTGGAGTGCAATGGTGCACTCTCAGCTCACTGCAACCTCCACCTCCCCAGTTCAAGCGATTCTCCTGCCTCAGCCTCCTGAGTAGCTGAGATTACAGGCATGCGCCACCACACCTGGGTTATTTCATATTTTTAGTAGAGACACGGTTTCTCCTGTGGGTGAGGCTGGTCTTGAACTCCCGACCTCGGGTGATCCGCCTCCCGAGTCGGATTACAGGTGTAATCCCGAGTGCTGGGATTACAGGTGTGAGCCACCGCGCAAGCTTTTTTTTTTTTCTTTTCAGTATTTTTAGTAGATACAGGGTTTCACCATGTTGGTCAGGCTGGTCTTGAACTCCTGACTTCAAGCAATCCACCCACCTTGGCCTCCCAAAGTGCTGGGATTACAGGCGTGAGCTACCGCACCCAGACTGGACAACTGTTGAAGGAACAGTCCCTGCAGAGGGGGCTACCAAGTGAAAACACATCTCTCCCCTGGAACTTCCACAACACTAGGGCAGCAGGAATGGACACAGGATAGGACACAGCCACACACCATGGTCTGAAAGCAGGAGTAACAACAGGTTGAAGAATGGCCCCCAAAGATAACAGGGCCTAATCTCTGGACACTGTGAACGCTACTGTGATTGGAAAAAGTGTCTTTGGGCCGGGCACGCTGGTTCACACCTATAATCCCAACCCTTTGGGAGGCTGAGGTAGGGTGGAGGATGAGAATTGCTTGAGGCCAGGAGTTCGAGACCAGCCTGTCCAACACAGGGAGAGCTCATCTATACAAAAATAAAAATTAGTCAGGGGAGGTGGTGCAGGCCTGTAGTTCTAGCTACTTGGGAGGCTGTAGTGGGAGGATCACTTGAGCCCAAGAGTTCAAGGCTACAGTGAGCTATGATCACACCACCACATCCCAGTGCCTGGGTGACTAAGCAAGACCCCGTCTCAAAAAAAAAAAAAAAAAAACCACAAGGAAGGAAGAAGGAAGGGAGGAGGAAAGGAGGGAGGGAGAAGGTCTTCCAGCTACTCGCCAGGCTGAGGTGGGAGAATTGCTTGAGCCTGGGAGGTCAAGGCTGCAGTGAGCTATGATTGCATCACTGCACTTCAGCCTGGGAGACAGAGCAAGGCCCTGTCTCAAACAAACAAGTAAATTTTTTAAAAATTTAAAAAGAAAAATTTGGCCGGAAGCGCTAGCTCACGCCTGTAATCCCAGCAATTTGGGAAGCCGAGGCGGGCAAATCACGAGGTCAGGAGATCGAGACCATCTGGGCAACACGGTGAAACCCCGTCTCTACTAAAAATACAAAAAATTAGCCGGGCATGCTGGCAGACGCCTGTAGTACCAGCTACTTTCGAGGTTGAGGAAGGAGAATGGTGTGAACCCAGGAGGTGGAGCTTGCAGTGAGCGGAGCTTGCGCCACTGTACTCCAGCCTGGGCGACAGGGCAACACTCCATCTCAAAAAAAAGAAAAAAGAAAGAAAGAAAGAAAGAAAAAGGTCCCAGAAGAAGGTGTAGGGGTGAAAGAAAAAAAAAAAGCTGAGTGCAATGCCTCATGTTGTGCCTGAAATTGGTGGGTTCTTGGTCTCACTGACTTCAAGAATGAAGCCGCGGACCCTCGCACTGAGTGTTACAGCTCTTAAGGTGGCACGTCGGGAGTTTGTTCCTTCTGATGTTCGAATGTGCTCGGAGTTTCTTCCTTCTGGTGGGTTCGTGGTCTTGCTGGCTTTAGGAGTGAAGCTGCAGACCTTTCGGTGAGTGTGACAGCTCTTAAGGCAGCACGTCTAGAGTTACTCATTCCTCCTGGTGGGCTCGTGGGCTCGCTGGCTTCAGGAGTGAAGCTGCGGACTTTCGCGGTGAGTGTTACAGCTCATAAAAGGAGTGTGGACCCAAAAAGTGGGCAGTGGCAAGATTTATTTCAAAGAACAAAGCTTCCACAGTGGGGAAGGAGACCCGAGCGGATTGCCACTGCTAGCTCCGGCAGCCTGCTTTTATTCTCTTATCTGGCCCCACCCACATCCTGCTGATTGGTAGAGCCGAGTGGCCTGTTTTGACAGGGCGCTGATTGGTGTATTTACAATCCCTGAGCTAGACATAAAGGTTCTCCAAGGCCCCACCAGAGCAGCTAGATACAGAGTGTTGATTCGTGCACTCACAAACCCTGAGCTAGACATAGGGTGCTGATTGGTGTGTTTACAAACCTTGAGTTAGATACAGAGTGCCCATTGGAGTATTTACAATCCCTGAGCTAGGCATAAAGATTCTCCACATCCCCACCAGACTCAGGAGCCCAGCTGGCTTCACCCAGCGGAACTGGCACCAGGGCTGCAGGTGGAGCTGCCTGCCAGTCCCTCGCTGCCGTGCGCTCGCACTCCTCAGCCCTTGGGTGGTCGATGGGACTGGGCGCCGTGGAGCAGGGGGTGGCACTCGTCGGGGAGGCTGGGGCTGCACAGGAGTCCATGGAGGGGGTGGGAGGCTCAGGCATGGCGGGCTGCAGGTCCCGAGCCCTGCCCGGCGGGGAGGCAGCTAATGCCCCGTGAGAAATCGAGCACAGTGCCGGTGGGCTGGCACTGCTGGGGGACCCAGTACACCCTCCGCAGCCGCTGGCCTGGGTGCTAAGTCCCTCATTGCCCAGGGCCTGCCAAGCCCACGCCCACCCGGAACTCCAGCTGGCCCACAAGCACCGCAGGCAGCCCAGGTTCCGGCTCGGGCCTCTCCCTCCACACCTCCCTGCAAGCGGAGGGAGTGGGCTTCGGCCTTGGCCAGCCCAGAAAGGGGCTCCCACAGTGCAGCAGTGGGCTGAAGGGCTCCTCAAGTGCCGCCAAAGTGGGAGTCCAGGCAGAGGAGGCGCCGAGAGCGAGCGAGGGCTGTGAGGACTGCCAGCATGCTGTCACATCTCAATGTCTGTAATCCCAGCACTTTGGGAGGCTGAGACAGGTGGATCACTTGAGGTCAGGAGTTCGAGACCAGCCTGGCCAACTTGGTGAAACCCCATCTTTACTAAAAATACAAAAATTAGCCAGAAGTGGTGGCTCTCGCCTATAATCCCAGCTACTCGGGAGGCTGAGGCAGGAGAATCACTTGAGCCCAGGAGGCGGAGGTTGCAGTGAGCTGAGACTGCACCACTGCATTACAGCCTGGGCAACAGAGTGAGACTCCGTCTCAAAAAAAAAAAAAAAGAAAAGAAAAGAAAGAGAAAGAAAGAAGAGAGAGAAAGAGAGAAAGAAAGAAAGAAAAAGGGTCTTTGCAGATTTTTTTTCCCCATAAGATCAACAAGAATTAATCGCAGATTTTTTTTTTTTTTTGACGGAGTCGCTCTGTTGCCCAGGCTGAAGTGCAGTGGCGTGATCTCGGCTCACTACAAGCTCCGCCTCCCGGGTTCACGCCATTCTCCTGCCTCAGCCTCCCGAGTAGCTGGGACTACAGGCGTCCGCCACCGCACCCGGCTAATTTTTTGTATTTTTAGTAGAGACGGGGTTTCACCTTGTTAGCCAGGATGGTCTCGATCTCCTGACCTCATGATCCACCCGCCTCGGCCTCCCAAAGTGCTGGGATTACAGGCGTGAGCCACCGCGCCCGGCCAATTTTTTGTATTTTCAGTAGAGACGGGGTTTCACCGTGCTAGCCAGGATGGTCTCGATCTGCTAACCTTGTGATCCGCCCATCTCGGCCTCCCAAAATCCTGGGATTACAGGCATGAGCCACCGTACCTGGCCAACCACAGATATTTTTAAGTGAAGGATTTTTTTATTTTTATTTTTTGCTTTGTCACCCAGGCTGAAGTGCAAGTGGCATGATCACAGCTCACTGCAGCCTTGACCTCCCAGACTCAAGCTCACAATTTATCTCTTGTGGTTTCTTTTATTTCATTTATTCAAGAATCTGTAAACATTACACAAATAGGAAGTATTCATTGGAGAAAAGCCAAAACTTCATTTTAAAAAAGGTTAAAATTGCTCATAATTCTGCTACCCACAGATAACTGCTGTTAACATTTTGGCATATGCCTCTCCAAGACTTTTTTTGTTAACAAATAATTTATATGTATTTGCCAATATAAAAATGAGATTGTTCCATAAATACTGTTGTACTCTGCTTTTTTCTTTTTTTCTTTTCTTTTTTTCTTTCTTTCTTTCTTTTTTTTTTTTTTTTTTGAGATGGAGTTTCGCTTTTGTCGCCCAGGCTGGAATGCAATGGCACAACCTCGGCTCACTGCAACCTCTGCCTCCCAGATTCAAGCGATTCTCCTGCCTCAGCCTTGAGCTGGGATTACAGGTGCCTGCCACCACGCCCAGCTAATTTTTGTATTTTTAGTAGAGACGGGTTTCACCGTGTTAGCCAGGCTGGTCTCAAACTCCTGACCTCAGGTGATCCACCCACCTCAGTCTTCCAAAGTGCTGGGATTACAGGTGTGAGACACTGCACCTGGCCTTTTTTCACTACATGGTAGGTTGTGAACCTATTTGTATGCAAAAAAAAAAAAAATCCTTCTATTAGGTTGAAACATGAAATTACCCAAATTCAAATAGTTTTGACCTACGAAAACAGCAACTGCAATACTTACAACTCAATGCAAGTTTTTTGTTTTTTAATATAGATAGGATCTTGCTATATTGACCAGGCTGGAGTGCAGTGCCTTGATCGCAGTAACCTTGACCTCCTAGGCTAAAGTGATCCTTCTGTCTCAGCTTCCCAAATAGCAGGGACCACAGGTGCACACCACCACGCCTGGCTAATTTTTTTTTTCATGGAGACAGGGGTCTCACTATGTTGCCCAGGCTAGTCTCCAACTCTTGGGCTCAAGCAATCCTTCCACTCCAGCTTCCCAAACTGCTGGATTACAGGTATAAGCCACCATGCCCAGCCCTCAGTACAAAATTTGTAATGGCTACTGAGTTTATAGTCCTTTGGACATTGCATAATTTACTTAATCTATCAGTTATGATTGGACATTTATATGGTTTCTGATTTTTTCACAATTATAAAAAATATTGCAATGAAAAACATTTTAGCCCATTCTTTGTAGACATCCTTATTTAGTTTCTTGGGATACATTTCTATAGAATATGTTAGATGAAAGGAATGCACACTTTAATAGCTTTTGTTGCTGGGTGTGGTGGCTCACACTTGTAAGCCTGAGGGAGGCTGAGGCAGGAGGATTGCTTTGAGCCCAGGAGTTCCAGACAAGCCTGGGCAACATGGCAAGACTCCATCGCTATAGAAATAAAAATAAAATAAAATGGCCTAGTGTGATGGCATGCACCTGTAGTCCCAGCTACTCAGGCACCTGAGGTGGGAGGATCGCTTGAGCCTGGGAGGTCAATGTTGCAGTGAGCTGTGATCGTGCCACTGTACACCAGCCTGTGCAAAAGAGTGAGACAAAAGTAAAAAAATAAAAGCTTTTGTTAAATATTTAGGGTACAGTTGCTTAGAAACCAGAAGCTGGTTGGTACAAGGTAAGTCTTCTCCCCACTCCGAAAGAGGTGTGAGAGTGTCAGAGGCCAAGCAGGTTATTGCTTCTTCTTTTTTTTTTTTTTTGAGACAGAGTCCCCTCTCTTACCCAGGCTGGAGTGCAGTGGCGCAATCTTGGCTCACTGCAACCTCTGCCTCCTGGGTTCAAGTGATTCTCCTGCCTCAGCCTCCCAAGTAGCTGGGATTACAGGCATGCGCCACCACCCCTGACTAGTTTTTGTATTTTTAGTAGAGACGGGGTTTCACCATATTGGCCAAGCTGGTCTCGAACTCCTGACCTCAGGTGATCCGCCTGCCTTGGCATCCCAAAGTGCTGGGATTACAGGTGTGAGCCACCGCACCCGGCTTATTGCTTATTCTTAAAGTACACTCAGAAGGGAGGGAAGTGAGATCAGGAGGGAATCGGGGAAGCCGAGAAGCAGCTGGACATTTACAGCTTGGAATAGGGAAGATTTAGGAGACACTTATGCTTGTACGCTAAAAAAGTGAACATATGCTGGCTGTTCACTAGTGAACCTCAAATGGCCTCTAGCACCCTTTAGAATGGACACAGGGCAATTCTGTGCTTACTACTCGGATACATGAAGGAATGGATGGAGGATTTTTTTCTCTTTTAATCTAGTTCTAATAGAGGAATTTTGTCATTTGTAGGTAAAATATAAAGTTAGAAGTAACAAAAATATAGGCTTTTTCTCTGCATAGGTAAAACTAACAGCTGTCAGCAGCAGCCTCTAAGACAGCCGCAGTGATTCCCTCCTCCTGGAATCCACACCCATGTTTCTCTCCTCCCCTTGAGCATGGGCTGGATTACCGACTTGCTTCTAATGAATAGAATATGACACAGCAATGGGATGTCACTTTTGAGATAAGATGGTTAAAAGACGGTGGCTTCCGTGTGGGTGTTCTCTCTCACTCTCTCCTGGATCACTTGTTTCCAGGGGAAATCAGCCCTGTGTCATGAGGCAGCCCCGGTGGACAGGCCCACGTGGGTGAGTGTGAAAGATGATCATGTAAGACACAGCCGCAGCCCCGGCTGGCTGCTCTGCTGCAGTCTCTGAGAGTGAGAACCACCCAGGTAAGCTGCTGCCAGATTCCTGATCCACGGAAACTGTGAGATAACAGCTATTAAACCATTGCTGCTTTCAGACACTAAGTTCCGGGTTAGTTGATGATGCAGCAGTGGTGAACAGAGACAAGAGCTATCTCTGAGTATTCACTGTGCAGTGGCTGACAGCACTTTACAGGTACAGGTTTACTAGGTCCTCACAATGACCCCTGGGAATGAGTTTCATTACTATCCCCATTTTCAGTTGAGGAAACTGAGGCCCCAGGCAGGGTTAATCAACTTGCCCAAGGTCACAGAGTTAGAAAATGGTGAAGCTGGAATATTTTTGTTTTTGGAGACGGAGTCTCGCTCTGTCGCCCCGGCTGGAGTGCAGTGGCATGATCTTGGCTCACTGCAACCTCTGCCTCCCAGGTTCAAGCAGTTCTGCCTCAGCCTCCCGAGTAGCTGGGATTATAGGCATGCGCCACCACACCTGGCTAATGTTTTTGTATTTTTAGTAGAGATAGGGTTTCACCATGTTGACCAGGCTGGTCTCGAACTCCTGACATCAAGTGATCCACCTGCCTCAGCCTCCCAAAGTGCTGGGATTACAGGTGTGAACCACTGTGCCCGGCCTGAAGCTGGAATCTGACCTGGGGCAATCTGGCACCAGAGTCTATGCTCCTATGAAGACAGGTTAAAAAATAGCTGCTCATATTTCACTGGCTAGACCTGAATTATCTGCCCACGCCTATAGCAAGCAGTTTGGCAAAGGATACCAAGTCATTTAAACTTATCAGATTTACCACTCTCTCAGGAGGCTGAGGCAGGAGGATCACTTGAGCCCAGGAGTTCGAGGCTGCAGTGACCTATGATTGCACCACTGCATTCCAGCATGGGCTAGAGAGTGAGACCCAATCTCTAAAATAAACAAACAAAAACAACAACAACAAAAGATTTACCACCCACTCTTTCTATTAGGACTAGAGAGAGGCTGAGCTTCCTCTGATATTAACGGTTCTGTAAAGTGGGTGAACAAATCTTAATTACAAAAGAGGAAAAGGGTTAATAGTTGCTGTGCTGGGTGGTAGCGAACAGTGTTGTCTCTTCTGTAGCATAAGTTACGCTGTATTATTATTATTGTTATTGGAGAGAGACAGAGAAGAGACGTAATGGATTGGGTTTAGGTTACAAGGTTAGAAACAGGTTCACCAATGATTATATTCATTTCCTCATGCCTACTCTCGCTGAGGCGGGTGGATCTCTTGAACTCAAGAGTTTGAGACCAGCCTGGGAAACATGGTGAAACCCTGTCCCTACAAACAATGACAAAAAATTAGCTGGGCATGGTGGTGCATGCCTGTGGTCCCAGCTACTCCGGAGGCTAAGGTGGTGGGAGGATTGTTTGGGCCCGGGAGGTCAAGGCTGCAGTGAAACATGATCGTGGCACTGCACTCCACCCTGGGTGACAGAGTGAGACCCCATATAAAAAAACAAAAAAACAAAAAAAAACAAGAAATATTGATCGGCTGGACATAGTGGTGTGTGTGTGTGGTCCCAGCTACTCAGGAGGCTGAAGTCAGAGGATTCCTTGAACCTAGGAGTTTGAGGTTTCAGTGGGCTGTGTTTGCACCATTGCACTCCAGCTTGGGGAACAGAGTAAAACCATGTCTCAAAAAAGAAAAGAAATATTGATTACCTTCCAAGTGTATTGGGCTTATCTAGGGATATGATACTCCTTGAAGAGGAGTATAGAATCTAGTGGGAGAGTTAAAAGGCACACTCATCAAAAGATATGCTGATAATATTTGGAAACACATATTAAATGACAAATATTAAGAACTTAGTGTCAGTTTATAGCTTACTTATTTATTTATGTTTTTGAGACAGAGTCTCACTCTGTCGCCTAGGCTGGAGTGCAGTAGTGTAATCTCGGTTCCCTGCAACCTCCGCCTCCTGGGTTCAAGTGATTCTCCTGCCTCAGCCTCCTAAGTAGCTGGGATTACAGGCATGCACGACCACGCCCAACTAATTTTTTGTATTTTTGGTAGAGATGGGGTTTCACCATGTTGGCCTGGCTGGTCTCAAACTCATGAGCTCAAGCGATCTGCCCACCTCAGCCTCCTAAAGTGCTGGGATTACAGGCGTGAGCCACTGCACCCGGCCCAGTTTATAGTTTAGAGATACTCAAAAGAATCCTCTGAGTACCAGAGTTTTAGAGCTAAAAGAGAGCACAGATTTTGTAGGTAAATAAACTGAAGTCGAAGAGGAATTAAGCATCTCAGCTCAGGTCACAGAGCAAGACAGAAGCAGCCTCAGATTCAGGTTCCCAGTTGGGCCCCACCACTACTTAGCTTCGTGTCCTGGAGCAAAGCCTCTCACCCTCTCTGAACCTCACATGCCTCATCTGTAGAATTCTACTATTGTAGACTCAACCTCTGACTCCCAAACCACCTTTTAGGGTGGTGACTTACAAGCCTACTTTACAGTGAATTAATGACTAATTATCAGTAAATCAGTGTAATAAATGACACTAATTTATTTAACATACTTACCCAGTTTATATGGTAATATAAGAATAGGCCAGGTGCAGCTGCTCACGCCTGTAATCTCAACACTTTGGGAGGCCAAGGCAAGCAGATCACCTGTTGGAAATTTGAGACCAGCCTGACCAACATGGAGAAACTTCGTCTCTACTAAAAATACAAAATTAGCCAGGTGTGGTGGCGCATGCCTGTTATCCCAGACACTCGGGAGGCTGAGGCAGGAGAATCGCTTGAACCCGGGAGGTGGAGGTTGCAGTGAGCCGAGATCGTGCCATTGCACTCCAGCCTGGGCAATAAGAGCAAGACTCCAGTTCAAAAAAAAAAAAAAAAAAGAAAAAGAAAACTAGGCCTGGTGTGGTGGCTCACGCCTGTAATCCCAGCACTTTGGGAGGCCGAGGCAGGCAGATCACCTGAGATCAGGAGTTCAAGACCAGCCTGGCCAACGTGGTGAAACCCTGTCTCTACAAAAATACAAAAATTAGCCAGGAATGATGGCAGGTGCCTGTAATCCCAGCTATTTGGGAGGCTGAGGGGGAAGAATCGCTTGAACCCAGCAGGCGGAGGTTGCAGTGAGCCAAGATCGCGTCACTGCATTCCAGCCTGGGTGACAGAGTGAGACTCAGGCTCAAAAAAAAAAAAAACAAGACAAAACAAAAAACCAACATCTCTAAAAGCAGAGTGAGGCTGGCTGGCAGCAGCAGAAGGAGAGCATGTGGGAACCCACCATAGCTCCATAGTGCTTTGAACCTCAATTTCTTTCTTTCTTTTTTTTTTTTTTGAGGCAGAGTTTCACTCTTGTTGCCCAGGCTGGAGTGCAGTGGTGCGACCTCAGCTCACCGCAACCTCTGCCTCCCGGGTTCAAGTGATTCTCCTGCCTCAGCCTCCCAAGTAGCTGGTATTACAGGCACACGCCACCACGCCCGGCTAATGTTTGTATTTTTAGTAGAGACAAGGTTTCTCCATGTTGGTCAGGCTGGTCTCGAACTCCCGACCTCAGGTGATCCACCTGCCTCTGCCTCCCAAAGTGCTGGGATTACAGGTGGGAGCCACCACGCCCAGCCTGAACTTCAATTTCATTCTCTTTAAAATAAGTAACTTTCAGAAGTTGATCTGGTTTCCAATGTTGAGAGACGCTCTAGCTGGGAGTGAAGTGGAATCACGAAGAATGTTCTCATTTAAATAGACTGAGATCAATCCATTTGGTGAGGCCAGGCCTCTCTGAACAGTGAATTAGAAGATTCTAGAATGTCATGGACTTAGAGAGAAGTCATTGTCCTAGACTGAGCACTCAAAAATATTTTCCTCCATAAAAGCTTGAGAAATGTTTTAGTTTTCCAGGGTTAGATATGACCCTGTTTACATAAGAATCCCTTTCCCTGCTTTGGCTTGGCTGGGGCCTGCCTTTCGTGGTAACCGCCACCTAGTGGTGTTTCAGTGAATGAAATGACTTGTTTTACTGGTTGGCATCTCAGGTCATTTGTTATTACCATGCATATGGTGTATATATCTTCATAGTTTTTTTTGTTTTGTTTTGTTTTGTTTTGTTTTTGAGACAGGGTCTTGCTCTGTTGCCCAGGCTGGAGTGCAGTGGCGCGATCTCGGCTCACTGCAGCCTCGACTTCCCCAGGCTCAAGAGATCCTCCCACCTCAGCCTCCCAAGTAGCTGGGACCACAGGCATGTGCCATCACGTGTGGTTTTGTAGAGACAGGGTTTCACTATGTTGGTCAGGTCAGTCATAAACTCCTGGGCTCAAACGATCAGCCTTCCCTGGCCTCCCAAAGTGCTGGGATTACAGGCGTGAGCCACCTCACCCAGCCCTTCTTTTTTTATTTTTTACTTTTTGCTGAAACATCTAGGAACCCAAGATATGTGTGTGTTTCAATGGACATTTTTTTATAGTAGTTTTAGGCTTACAGATAAGTTACAAAGAGTGCAGAGAGCTCCTGTATTCTCACCTACTTCCCCTATTGTTAACACTTTACATTTCCATGATACATTTGGCACTTCCAGGAAACTCACATTGGCACATTACTGTGACCTCTAACCTCCTAACTGTACTTGGATCCCACTTTTCCACTCATGCCCTTTATCTGTTCCAAGATCCCTTCCAGGACACATTACATTTAGTTCACCACCTCTCTCCTTAGTCTCTAGTCTGTGATCTGTGATGGTTTCTTTTTTTTTTTTATTTTTTGAGGTGGAGCTCACTCTGTCGCCTAGGCCAGAGTGCGGTAGCACAAGCTCAGCTCACTGCAACCTCTACCTCTTGGGTTCAAGCAATTCTCCTGCCTCGGCCTCCCCAGTAGCTGGGATTACAGGCGCCCGCCACCACGCCCAGCTAATTTTTCTATTTTTAGTAGAGACAGGGTTTCACCATGTTGGCCAGGCTGGTCTCGAACTCCTGACCTCAGGTGATCCGTCTGCCTTGGCCTCCCAAAGTGCTGGGATTACAGGCATGAGCCACCATGCCCAGTTGAAACATGGCTATTTAAGGGGAGCATATTTTATTTTACATGATTCCATAAACATAACTTAAACAAAAATTATGTAATGTTTACCAGATACATGTCAGAACACCTTAAGAACAGCTTTCTGGAATCAGGCTATGAGCCCTTGCCCCTGGCATTGAATCTCTCTGATCCTCAAGCTTCTCATCTGTCAAATGGGGAAATAGTAGGTTTCTGAATAAGGCAGCATAGAATACATTAAGATGGAGAACTCTGGAAACGTCTGAGCCTGCCACTCACTAGCTATGAAACCCTGGGCAAGTTACTTAGCTTCTCAGTCTCATCCGTAAAATGGGGAAAATCAAGGACTGAGCTCGTTGTGGGATCAAACGTGTTCACTGGTGCTCGGTATCTGCTGTTCAACGCCAGCTATCATCACTGACCCTGAATAGACCTCCAGGGCAGGGATTGTAGTCTAAATCTAACGACAATCTTAAGCCCTCAGCTCAGTGCCTCACATATGGAGAGGAGCAACCTGTATTAACACCCAAGGGTGCACACACTAACCATGTCTGCTTCCCACTACTGAGGGGGCAAGTGAGTGGCCCGTGTCACAATGCCTTGTACACTCCAAATGACTACTCAAATATAAACAAGATCAGAATTACACCTTCTAATCTCTTCAGAGTCCATATGTCATCTAATATTTCTCTTTCCATCGTAGAAGAACTTACGGGAACTTAATCATGACATTTAGTCATAACACAAACATTATACTATGCCTTTGAATCTAAAACCAGGGTGTACATCCCAAATTTGGGTACTTTTATGAAAGGCTTTATCCTACCTTTCAGCAATTGTCAACCATGCTTCATTTTTTTTTTTTTTTTTTTTTTAGGTAAAAGATAACCCATGCCACCTGCCCAGGTCTTATAGAGTCTCATATTCTCCACTGCTAAGTGTTTAATTTGCAGTAGGACTCTGATTCAGAATAACGTGCAGCTGACTCTTGAGCAACAGGAGCTTGAACTACACAGGTCCACTTATCCACAGATTTTCTTCCGTCTCTGCCACCACTGAGACAGCAAGACCAACCCTCCCTTTCCCCCTCAGCCTGCTCAATGTGAAGATGACAACCAGGATGAAGGCCTTTATGATGATCCACTTCTTTAATGAATTGTAAATATAGTTTATCTTATGATTTGCTTCCTTTTTTTTGAGACACAGTCTCGCTCTGTTGCCCAGGCTGGAGTGCAGTGGTGCCATCTCAGCTCACTGCAACCTCCGCCTCCCAGGTTCAAGCGTTTCTCCTGCCTCAGCCTCCCAAGTAGCTGGGATTACAGGTGCATGCCACCATACCCAGCTAATTTTTGTATTTTTAGTACAGATGGGGTTTCACCATGTTGGCCAGGTTGGTCTCAAACTGCTGAACTCAAGTGATCCACCCGCCTTGACCTCCCAAAGTGCTGGGATTGCAGGTGTGAACCACTGCATATGGCCATATAATTTTCTTAAGAACATTTTTTCTTTAGCTTACTTTAATATAGTATATAATACAAATAACATACAAAATATGTTAACCAACTTTCTGTTATTGGTAAGGCCTCCTGTCAGTAATAGTAAAGTTTTTGAGGAATCAAAAGTTATGTGCAGATTGTGCAGTGGGCTGGCTCCCCTAAGCCCCAAGTTGTTCAAGGGTCAACTGTACTCCCCTCCAATGCACATAAGATGGACACTTATGAAATGGAGCCAATGCCTGCCCTGCCTCCCTTGTGAGGCTATTCGGTATAGATACCCTGATGATTGTTTCTCTTTCTTGGCAGTAGAAAGAACATGGGCCTTGCAGAAAGACAAGAATTCTGGCCTAATCGCTCACTACACTTACTACAGAGGATAGAATTCTGGCCCAAGGATGTTTCACCTTGACCAAATTTCTTTTTTTTTTTTTTTTTTGAGACGGAGTCTCGCTTTGCCCAGGCTGGAGTGCAGTGGCACTATCTTGGCTCACTGTAACCTCCGCCTCCTGGGTTCAAGTGATTCTTTTGCCTCAGCCTCCTGAGTAGCTGGGACTACAGGCACCCGCCACCACGCCCAGCTAATTTTTTGTGTTTTCAGTAGAGACGGGGTTTCACCGTTAGCCAGGATGGTCTCTATCTCCTGACCTCGTGATCCGCCCGCCTCGGCCTCCCAAAGTGCAGGGATTACAGGCATGAGCCACTGCGCCCAGCCCTTGACCAAATTTCTAACCTTTTGTGCCCATTTCCACAAGTGTGAAACTGAGTTTTCCTATACCGCAGGAATTTTTTAAATTAATTATTATTTTTTTTTAGACAGGGTCTTGCTCTGTCACCCGGTTGGAGTGCAGTGGTATGATCATGGCTTGCTGCAGCCTTGACTTCCTGGCCTCAGGCAGTCCTCCAGCTTCAGCCTCCTGAGTAGCAGGGTCTGCAGGCGCACACCACCATGCCTGGCTAGTTTTTAAAAATGTTTTGTACTTACTATGTTGCCCAGGCTGGTCTCGAACTCCTGGGTTCAAGCGATCTTCCTGCCTCAGCCTCTCAAAGTGCTAAGATTATACTGCTCAACCTTTTTTCAAGAGGATTAAATGGGAAAGTACATGGAGAAACTTTTAGTCCAATCTTCCAAGCAGCAGCATGCAATGTTCATTTCTTTCCTTCTCCTTCCAAATTTGACACACTGATACATCTGCACTACTCGCACTAATTTGTGCACTGTCTTGTTTCATCCCATTGTTTTACTGCTTCGGTAGAAGGTCCCTTCACTTAGAAAACAATTTCCTACCCCTGAGCACCAAGAGGAAAGAGTCCAAGGAACTAAGTCTGTGTAGGTTCAGTGGTTTGCAGATTCATGCTTTGGGAACTCTTTATTCAAATGAAATCTCTCTTGGAACCGTGATATAAACAAAACAGACAAAGTCATTTTATTAGCATTCCTTTATTTTAGAAGTTCACACCTATAATTTTATAACAATCGTGAAAATGTTACTCAGAACTAGATGTTTTGATGACACATAGCAGAAATCTGTGGTTCAAGATGGTCATTGCAAACTTAACCAATCTCAGCATTCTATTCTGCCTTTTGTTTTGATTGCACAGAATCAATATAATTCTGATTCATATGGAAAATAACTTAATATCTTAACCTCCGCTCAGGATCTTCATCATAAATGTAGGTCAGTACATACCTAAAAATTGTCAATGATCCAACATGGTCACATGTGACATGCTACACTTGCACCTAGTACCAAACAAGCTGATACTTCAATGAGATCTGGTTGGCATATACACCCAAGCCTTGTCTGTCCCCTCAGAGCACTGCACACAGATAGTGAAAGAACTTGTGTACAATAAGAAATTCACAGGGATGAGGCTGGGCGCAGTGTCTCACGCCTGTAATCCCAGCACTTTCAGAGGCCGAAGCAGGTGGATCACTTGAGGTCAGGAGTTCGAAACTAGCCTGGCCAACATGGTGAAACCCCGTCTCTACTGATAATGCAAAACTTAGCTGGGCGTGGTGGCACATGCCTGTAGTCCCAGCTACTCGGGCAACTGAGGCAGGAGAATAGCTTAAACCTGGAAGGCGGAGGATGCAGTGAGCCAAGATCACGCCACTGCACTCCAGCCTGGGTGACAGAGCGAGACTCTGTCTCAACAACAACAACAAAGATATTCACAAGGATGAATTTAAATAGGTAAATGGCAGTGTAGAACTACATCCTTCCTAGTCAATTACACCTTTAGGAGACTTTAAATAGGCACAGAAACGACAAAGGGCTTATACTGAGAATTGCACAAAAATGAGTTACTTGGCAGCACAAGGTAGGGATTGTATGTGTCACAAGAGTATATAGACTGTTCTACCTTCATGCTCTACTCATTGCCATATCCCTTCGTGGTTCCCTGAGACTCAGGTGAAATTACCTTCCAATATTGCCTGGAGAAGGGCCTCCTCCTCCTCAGCTGCCTCATAATCCTTTATTAGTACCAATAACTGCAAGAAACCAGGGGCTGGGCCATCCTCTGGCAGATTAAGCTCTCTGCGAATTGTTTTGTGGACTGCCCCAGCAATGACTTGGTCTAGGCGGGCCTGATTCACAGCATCTCTCTCAATTGCTCCTCTCTGTACCAGCTTCTGTAACAAAGGCTCCAGCCTTAGTACATAAGCCGACAACTTTTCCTCATCCTTCTGGTAAGTGGTTAGATATTTGACCTGCAACTCCCTAGGATTATCTGTAACCCCAAATACCTCCTCAAGAGCCTGCAGACATTCATCGACAGTAATTAAAGGATTGTTTATCTTGAGGACACGAATAACATCAAGTGCTGGGCCTCGAAGGCTCTCTAGCAATCGCCTTCTCTTCTCTACATCTGGCACCTGCCACGCCTTTATCATCTGAGTAGTATGAAACATCCAGCGTCCAAATTCTTCTTCTCCTGGTTCTGGAGACTCCCTGCCCGAGAACACTCTCAGCTTTTTATACTTCAAGCATTGCAGGGCAGGCTGAAGAGCCTCTAATGCCTGTGCCAACATAGGGGCCCACATTTCCGGGATCATGCCCTGCTCTGGGTCTAAGGAGCCATTTTCATGTCCAAGAGCTCTGCTCAACTCACCCACTGTCATGCCCTCTCCCGCTAAAAATTCATTTAATCTGCTTAAAAATGTATTATCTGGGTCAGGGGGCTTAAAGATCACTCTCCAGATACCCCCTTTTCCCGGTATCTCCTTAGGGACCAGGGCGTGACTAGTCTCCGCAGTAAGCCCTACTAAGGCTACTTTCCTGTTCTCATCCCTCCTGAACATCCTTCCAAGCAGTCTGTACTCCCCCAAGGGAGCTAAACCAGCCTGCAGAGCCTCCTCGATTTCTGCCACACTGCAGCTCTGGGAGATGCCGGCAATCAATAGCGCTTTCCGAGGGTTCATGTCCATCCCCCTGCACCAGTCTTCTAAAAGCCTCAAAGTCATGGTGCCCGAAATAATAGACTTAAGTTCTAAATATGCCAGACCACAGGCGACCACCGAAATTCAAAGTAATCCTCCGCGGTACCCCAGAGAAATCTTGTCAACGTGCCGAGGTCCAGCAGCCTGCAAGACAGAGCAGACAGGTTAGCTAAAGGTGCCAACGTCCAGGGCAAGCGTGCAGGCCCCAAGCCCCGCGCGCCCTGCCCCCAGCGGCGACGCCAGGGCAGCCGCACTGCGGCGCGCGCCCCTCACCCCTCCCAGCCCTGGTGCCTGGCGGATGTCGGGCCTGCAGGGCCGCGTCGGGCCCGCTTCCACTCACCGTGATCTAGTGCTCGTGCCCGCGTCCGTGCGCCGGCGGCCAAGGTGCCTGGCCGGGCCCCGACGAGGCGCGGGAGGGCAGGCTCCCCTAGGCTCTGACGGACACTCGGGGGCCACAGCGACCGATGCCGGTACTCCAGGTGCCTGTGGTACTGTCTGCAACGAGAAGTGATGGGGCGATGACAGTCGCGAGCGGGCACCAGGGGGCAAGGCTGAGGAGCGCTGAGTCGCCAGACCCAGAGAGCCACCCACCTGGAGGGACGTGCCGCCACCCGCGCCGCCGGAGCTCCGGCTCCAGCCCGGATTCCACCTGTTTTGGTCTCGCTCGGGGAAGCTGCGCGGCGGGCGGGGGCGATCTGACGTCATGAGGGGCGGGCCTCGGGGGCGGGGCGCGCGCGCTTCCGGCCCGAGCCGGAAGCTCCGACTGCGGCGGCATCCGGGACGGCGGGCGGGCTGGCCACCACGGGACAGGAAGGTGAGATCCGGGACCTCAGCTTTGCAAGCAGGCTCCGCCGGCGACCGCTGACGGGCGCTGGGCTCGCGGCGCTGCAAGGCGGCGAGGCCCGGGCCTGGCGCCGCCTGCGCAGCCTTGGTCGCGGCGTGCCGGCGCTGCAGCGCGGCAGGGGGCGGGGCCGGCCGCCCGGAGGCCCAAGTGGCGGGGACGCCTCCCTGCCGGGTCAGGTTCTCAGAGCGGGTCTCCGGCGGCGGCGACGGGGGCCGGGCCGCGCGTGACCCGCCGCAGTCACGCCGTTCTTAATCACTAGTAGCTGGTGCTCCAGGCTGGCGGCGCTCACCTTTCTCCTAGCCGGGTGACCCAGGGGATTTATTTTATGTTGGCTTTCTCTGAAATGCCAAAGCCACCCGATTATTCAGAGCTGAGTGACTCTTTAACGCTTGCCGTGGGAACAGGAAGATTTTCGGGACCATTGTAAGTGCTTAGGAGTTACTGTCTTAACTTGGGGGCTTGACTTGTAGCACCCCGCGTTCACGTCTGAAGCAGTACTGTTATGCCAGAAAGTGTTTCACCTGTCAAAGTGAAATGTGCTGTGAGAAACTAGTTTAATTCCAGTTTCTGGAGGGCGGGTATTATGGACCTGTTTAAGTAGGATGCAGTGATTTATTCTGAGGGATTCCCGTTAAAAAGCAGAACTCAGTATATACTGAAATCAATGGTTTTTTGTTTTTTTGTGTGTGTTGTTTTACTTGATTGTAAGTATTACACAAAACAACCTGTAAGTTTTACATTTCTTAATAGGTGTTTAATTTAATTATTTTAAATCTTAAGTGTGTTAGTGGGATATTTTAGAATTCTTTTTTTTTTTTTTTAATTAGACAGAGTCTCGCTCTGTCGCCCAGGCTGGAGTGCAGTGGCGTGATCTCGGCTCTCTGCAAGCTCTGCCTCCTGGGTTCACGCCATTCTCCTGCCTCAGCCTCCCGAGTAGCTGGGACTACAGGTGCCCGCCACCACGCCCGGCTATTTTTTTTGTATTTTTAGTAGAGACGGGATTTCACCATGTTAGCCAGGATGGTCTCTATCACCTGACCTCGTGATCCACCCGCCTCAGCCTCCCAAAGTGCTGGGATTACAGGCGCGAGCCACCGCGCCCGGCCTAGAATTCTTGGAGATAAAGCAAGTACATTTGGAGTAGTTGCCGTGACAGCATTACTAGACCCTAATTGTATTTTCTTTTTTAATTTGAAGGCACAGAGCATGGAGAATGATGAACTTCCGTCAGCGGATGGGATGGATTGGAGTGGGATTGTATCTGTTAGCCAGTGCAGCAGCATTTTACTATGTTTTTGAAATCAGTGAGACTTACAACAGGCTGGCCTTGGAACACATTCAACAGCACCCTGAGGAGCCCCTTGAAGGAACCACATGGACACACTCCTTGAAAGCTCAATTACTCTCCTTGCCTTTTTGGGTGTGGACAGTTATTTTTCTGGTACCTTACTTACAGATGTTTTTGTTCCTATACTCTTGTACAAGAGCTGATCCCAAAACAGTGGGCTACTGTATCATCCCTATATGCTTGGCAGTTATTTGCAATCGCCACCAGGCATTTGTCAAGGCTTCTAATCAGATCAGCAGACTACAACTGATTGACACGTAAAATCAGTCACCGTTTTTTCCCTACGATTACAAAACTGCCAGTCCTATATGGAGTCTGATCACAAGACTGCAGTTTCTTCACAGATCTCAGGAAGTTGTCGTGGGGCAGAGGCTTTTTAAAAACATGTGATTAGGGAGCTATCTTTATCTGAATAATAACGAATTTTTAGGTAAAACCTGAGATAGAGTACTACAAAATCATGTTGATGACTTCAGATTTTGGAAGTTAAATCATGTCTGTTATTTGCATTCTTTAGAAACTTGACTAAGTACCTGAATTCATATTTCTATTCTACTGTGCAACATAGTGATGATTCAGAAATTTTTCCTTTGGGGAAAAAAATGAATATGAACATTTCCATTGTGTTAAGTGTAAAAAGGTCCAGACATGATCATAAAATTTAAATTTTATACAATTACTTGGCTTGCTTTAAAATTCTTCACACTTAAAACACCGATTCATTCTATTGCAGCTAAGCCAGCTGTCTAGACTTGCTGTCAGCTTATGAGGCATTGCTAAAAAATTATTGAGGAAATGGCTGTCTTGATAAGCAGAATTTGTTCTTCCTCTTGGTAATGGCTAAATTATTATTAATGCTTTTAATGGTTTTATTTTTTATATTTTTCTTTTTTGTGGAGAATGGGGTCTCGCTATGTTGCCCAGGCAGGTCTCGAACTCCTGGGCTCAAGCTTTCCTCCTCTCTCTGGCTCCCTAAGTGCTAGGATTACAGGTGTGAGCTACCATGCCCAGCTATTTTTAATTAAAAAAATTTTTTTTTTCCATGACTTGTGACACAGTCTCAGAAGGCCCTGAGAACGTACGCTCCAATGCTACTGATTTAGAAAACTATCTGGGAAGAAACTAAGTGTTAAATGTTGAAAGGCTAGAAATAACTTACAAATAGAAGATGGAAACAATGTGTTCAATGAAAATCTAGCAGGTTATTTATTATTTATTTAAATTATTATTATTATTTTTGAGACGGAGCC